>NC_000002.12:109913860-110216890 GCF_000001405.40 Homo sapiens
TCCCAGTGCTTTGAGAGACTGAGGTGGGAGGATTGCTTTGGGCCAGGAGTCCAAGAACTAGCCTAGGCAACATAGCAAGACTCCCATTTAAAAAAATAATAAAATACAATGTGCTAGAATATTTGCCCTTTGTAAATATTTGAGGTTACAGTGAGAATTACAGATATCGACCTGAAAAATGTGGGAGGAGAGTTGTATGTATGTGCATATTTTCTGGAGGGAGAGGTTATCCATAGCTTTCATCAGATTCATTAAAGGCAGGGTATTTGAGCCAGAAAACAATTCAGCACAGTCAGAGGCCAGGTCACCAGTCCCTGTAGGTGTACTGTTCACTCTAGCCTCTACTTATTCCGTATGTCTTTCCTGTACCAACATGTAGATGTATGGATGGTGCAAAAGAGTATCTGCTTTTTAAAATCCCAGTAGAGTTATAAATTCTTAGAGTAGAACTCTTAGTTTAGAAACATCTTTCCTGTATATCTTCATCAAATAATTATATTTCTCCTGTGATTGTTTCGTGTCTGTAAGTTGGTGGTACCCTCTCTTTCAGTTTGAAGGAAGAAAGTACTGTGAACATGACTTTCAGATGCTCTTTGCCCCTTGCTGTCATCAGTGTGGTAAGTTTTACTGCTAAATGTCAAGTAAAAAGTAAGTTTCCGGCCAGGCGCGGTGGCTCACACCTGTAATCCTAGCACTTTGGGAGGCGGAGGGAGGAGGATCACCTGAGGTCAGGAATTCGAGACCAGCCTGGCCAACGTAGGGAAACCCGGTCTCTACTAAAAATACAAAAATTAACTGGGCATGGTGGCAGGTGCCAGTAATCCCAGTTATTCAAGAGGCTGAGGCAGGAGAATCGCTTGAACCCAGGGGGCAGAGGTTGCAGTGAGCTGAGATTGCACCACTTCACTCCAGCCTGGGCAACAGCCAAACTCCATCTTGCGGGGAAAAAAAGTAAGTTTCCACATTACTTCAGTCATTTCACACTGGTGAAGTATCGATGGTAAAAATGGTTTTTAGTGCTCATTATGAATAACTGTTGGATACTTCATCACTCCTCTTCCCTATTGTTAACATAGAACAAGCTGGAGGAGTATCAAAACCTAGAGTTCATTGATTTTTAAGGACATTTAAGGTAGAGGTATTTTGGGATGAACTAGGACTCCTATCGGGTGGTGTTTGGGAGTGTTCTTTTCCTGTGTTAACACAACCTTTACCTACTTGCTTTTGGTTTTGCCCGGAAAGAGGCAGGGAAGAAATCAGTGAGGTGCTTCAGAAGCTTAGGGATGCTTAAACATTGCTTGCACGGCGCATAAGTGATGGACTTGCTTGCACGTTGGCCACTTCACTGGTTGCTAATACCTCTGCCAGGTTTCCAGAGATTGAAGAAACTGGGTAGAATGTTCTAAAGGTTTAATGAAAGAATAAATTAAGTATGGGTTATAAGAAACTGTGCTGTAGATTTCAGTTGTCTATGTTGACAATGACCAGAAATAACCAAAAGGCATTCAAGAGAGCCTAGTAGCTCATTTGGAAAGGAAAGCTAGATTCAGAGATGACACAAAACAGCCCAAAAATGTGGCTGCTGAATCAAAAACAAAAATTCGGATGAAATAAAAACTTTTTTGCTAATGTGCTTACTCTGGTAGACACATAAATAAAAAGTTCTTCTACTGGCCACGTGTGGTGGCTCACGCCTATAATCCTAGCACTTTGGGAGGCCAAGACGGGCGGATCACCTGAGGTCGGGAATTTGACCAACATGGAGAAACCCCATCTCTACTGAAAATACAAAATTAGCCGGGCGTGGTGGCAGGTGCCTGTAATCCCAGCTACTTGGGAGGCTGAGGCAGGAGAATCGCTTGAACCCGGGAGGCAGAGGTTGCAGTGAGTCGAGATGGTGCCATTGCACTCCAGCCTGGACAACAAGAGCGAAACTGTCTCCAAAAAAAAAAAAAGTTCCTCTATTGAGAAAGGCTTCAACGGTTTTTTTCCTCACTGTTTTTCCTTAATTGCTCTCTCAGTAAATAAAGTGCCATGCCTGTTACTTAGGATGTTACTTAGTAACATCCTTTGTGTGTTGCTTTCCCACAGGTGAATTCATCATTGGCCGAGTTATCAAAGCCATGAATAACAGCTGGCATCCGGAGTGCTTCCGCTGTGACCTCTGCCAGGAAGTTCTGGCAGATATCGGGTTTGTCAAGAATGCTGGGAGGTAGGTGGATTTTCATCCTTGTCAGATGTGGGTGGACAATGTGACTGTGACAAGATCATGTGTATTCTCCATGTGGGATGTAAGGCAGTTCTGTAGGACACTGAATTGAGGGCATGGGAACTCAGACACTGCAGTGTGTTGACTGAGTGCTGCTGCTGGGAGTGGACCCTTGTGTTGCTGTTCACAGGGCATAACTGCTCCATGCATGGCTGAACTACCAATGGGGGATGTACCTAGATGGAGTTTCTTAAAAATCAGTCATATTAGGGTTGGAACACATTTTTCATGTGGCTTGATTCTGCCCCGTGAAGCACAGGAGTGATTTTTTTAAGAAATGGTTTGTTTAATTTCTTTTCAGAGATAAGGGAAGCATATTTCTTTTTAACCATTAGAAAGAACCTAAAATTTTAAATTTAAGTTTTGACTCTGTTTAGACACCTGTGTCGCCCCTGTCATAATCGTGAGAAAGCCAGAGGCCTTGGGAAATACATCTGCCAGAAATGCCATGCTATCATCGATGAGCAGCCTCTGATATTCAAGAACGACCCCTACCATCCAGACCATTTCAACTGCGCCAACTGCGGGTACTGGAATTGTTTCTTTTTTATTACACAAGCAGTGGGAATGAAAGATTACATTTATCTATATTTCTGTTACTCTAGCAAACCAAATTGTTTTTCTCCCATTTTTAGTCTAGAAAATTTTAAACCTATAGAAGAGTCAGGAGAATGATATAATGAAACCTGTATACCCTTAATTTCATTTCACCAGTTGACATTTTGCCATGCTTGTGTGTATACAGTCCACATTCTCGTTTCACCCTCCTATGTATGTGTGCACATGTGCCTGTATACGCATACCTCTAAAATTTCTCATGACTCCCAGTATGCATCTCCTGAGAATAAGGGCATTTTCCTATGGAACCATGATACATTTTGTAAATTTTTTTTTTCCTTGAGACAGGGTCTCGCTCTATTGCCCAGGCTGAAGTGCAGTGGGCAATCATAGCTCACTGCAGCCTCACCCTCCTGGGCTCAAGCAGTCCCCCCACTTCAGCCTCCAGAGTAGCTGAGACCACAGGCACACACCACCCTTCCTAATTTTTTTAAATTTTTTGTAGAGATGGAGCCTTGCTGCGTTGCCCAGGCTGGTCTCAAACTCCTGGGCTCAAGCAATCTACTCATCTCGGCCTCCCAAAGTGCTGGGACTATAGGCATGAGCCACTGCACCTGGCCAGAACCACAATACTCTTATTATGCCTAAGAAAATTAGCAATAATCTTATAATATCAACTATCAGTCCATATTAAAAATATTCCCAGTAGCCCCAGAAATATTTGTCATCACTATGTTTTTCCAGTCGAAGATCTAAAAACAAAAAAAGGTCTTATCTCTGTACATGCATAACTTTTACAGTTGTAATAATTAGATATTATCTTAAAAGATGTTGTTATATTTATTTAATTTGGCTTGGTTTATATCTAAAAGAAATATATTTAATTTTTTGTCTTCAATAAGTTATGATAAATTGTTAGGCTATGAATTTTTCTCAGTTTGCCACCTAGTATAAAAATTTAGTGCATAAAGATTCTTGGCCGGGCGCAGTGGCTCATGCCTGTAATCCCAGCACTTTGGGAGGCTGAGGCGGGCAAATCACGAGGACAGGAGATCGAGACCATCCTGGCTAACACGGTGAAACCCCGTCTCTACTAAAAAATACAAAAAAAATTAGCCGGGCACGGTGGCGGGCGCCTATAGTCCCAGCTACTTGGGAGGCTGAGGCAGGAGAATGGCAGGAACCCGGGAGGTGGAGCTTGCAGTGAGCCGAGATCGCGTCACTGCACTCCAGCCTGGGAGACAGAGCGAGACTCCGTCTCAAAAAAAAATTAAAAAAATATTCTTTACTATAGTTAATGTGAACTTACTTGGTAAATTATAGTAGGGATGGAGAAGAAACAGTAGGCCAAATGCTAAGAAAACAGTTTGGGCCAGGTGCAGTGGCACACGCCTGTAATCCCAGCACTTTGGGAGGCCGAGGCGGGTGGATCATGAGGTCAGGAGATCGAGACCATCCTGGCTAACATGGTGAAACCCCATCTCTACTAAAAATAAAAAAATTAGCCAGGCGTGGTGGTGGGTGCCTGTAGTCCCAGCTACTCGGGAGGCTGAGGCAGGAGAATGGCGTGAACCTGGGAGGTGGAGCTTGCAGTGAGTGTGGATCGCGCCACTGCACTCCAGCCTGGGCAGCAAAGCAAGACTCGTCTCAAAAAAAAAAAAAAAAAAAGAAAGAAAGAAAACAGTTTGGTTGTATAAGTTCAGCCATCTCATCTTTTGTGATTGAATTATCAGTTTGTGCCTTATCTCGTTTTCTTGCCTGTCCTTCCTCTTGGGGATTCACCTCTGTCCACTTTTCATTAGCATCTCTCCTAGAGAATTACATAAAAGGGATGAAATTCAAACAAGTCCATTTGACTAATTGGGACCATCTCTGACCAAATGTTTATTGATGCAGGAGACTGAAAATAATATTTAATTTGAGTATTTGGAGAAGGAAAATTCTGGGCATTTTGTTGTTTATGAAAATAAACCTATTAACCTATAACTCTTTTCAACAGCTTGTGACAATTTAAATAATTGTTAGTAAATGGAACTAGTCTCCCAACTTCTCAGTTTGCTTGGAAAGGTCGTGTGTTAGTCTATTTTATGCGCCTGTAACAGAATACCACAAACTGGGTAATTTGTAACCAACAGAAGTTTATTTGGCTCATGGTTCTGGAGGCTGGGAAGTCCAAGATCAAGGGGCTGGCATCTGGTGAGGACCTTCTTCTGCATCATTACATAGCAGAGGGCATCACATGGTGGGGGAAGAGGAGGGGGGAAGGAAGAGAAGGAAGGAGGCTGAACTCATCCTTTTATAAGGAACCCACCCCCTCAGTAACAGTGTTAATCCATCTGTGAGGGCAGAGCCTTCATGATGTAATCACCCCTTAGAGGTCCTACCTCTCAACACCTCTGCATTGGGGATCATGAACTTTGGGGACACAGTCACACCATAGCAGGTAGTATTACTGAGTCTACCCTCAGCACTGTGATTATTCCCTGTAGCTTTTAAAGGAAGACAAATGGACTAAAATGGAATGTGATAATACAAGAAGGAAATTATGAATATGACTGGTGTGGTGGTATGTATCTGACCTAGTCTTGCATCTTATCCTTTTAAGATACAGATGTTTTGGTAGGAGTCTGAAACCTGTTCGGGCCTATTAATTCAGGTTATTCTGATCACCTCTAAAGGGGAAAAAAGAAATTTGCAGGGATTGTCATAGTAATATCTTTAAAAACCTTCTAAAAAGTGTGCTAGCCCCATCGGTTGGCCATTTTTCTCTCTTAGTATTAAGCTGGGTGTCTTTCTCACAGACAGGAAGGATCTGACTGCCGATGCACAGGAGCTGAAAGGGGAGCTATACTGCCTGCCATGCCATGATAAAATGGGGGTCCCCATCTGTGGCGCTTGCCGACGGCCCATCGAAGGGCGTGTGGTGAACGCCATGGGCAAGCAGTGGCATGTGGAGGTGAGTTCTAAATGGTAAAGGGTAACCAATCCTTTCAAATCTCCATGATTAAGGAGTAACCAATACTTTCAAATCTCCATGATTAAGGGGTAACCAATCCTTTCAAATCTCCATGATTCAGGGATAACCAGTACTTTCAAATCTTCATGATTCAGGTGTCCTGGCAAGATTAGGAGACTCTAAAGATTAAACGTGGACATTTTAAAGACAATTGACTTTGCTGACAGCTAAGAATATAGAAGGTACACTGCTTTTGTGAATGTCTCAGTAATGATACAAGATGTGCACTTTTGCTCCTAAAGCCTTCTTGAAGCAGGAAGTGCCATGGTCTGTATCCAGCAGCAGCTCCTCCTTTATAGGTGCTACTGAGATGCTCACCTCTATTCTCTTTTTGGGCTATTATAATAGGCTGTGTCTTAAAGTAACCTTCAAAGACAGACACCTGAATTACAACTGCAGAAGTATTATGTTATGGGGCCACCTATGGCCAAATGAAATGACTGTCTCAAACTTTCCTTCATCTTCTCTGAAAATAGGTTAACTCTGGTGTTTACTTTATTAGATATAAAATATGGCAATTCAAAAATGACCTATAGCAATTTTTTTTCAGCATTTTGTTTGTGCCAAGTGTGAGAAACCCTTTCTTGGACATCGCCATTATGAGAGGAAAGGCCTGGCGTATTGTGAAACTCACTATAACCAGGTATTGACCTTAGTCACTGGATGCTAGATAGACTTTTATGAACCTAAGCTTATCAGTAGTTTAGCTACAAGGAAATCTCTTGGAAGATGTACATTGTTCAGTAGAGATTTGTTTTTAACTTTTTATTTGGGAAATAATTTCAGACTCAGAAGCTAACTATAAAAATACAAAGAATACCTGTATGTCTTTCATTCAAGTCCACAGTTTGCTTTATCATTTCCCACGCTCAGTCTTCCTGTGTAAAACACATACTTACATAAATATTATATACAAGTACGATGGCTGTTTCTAAAGCATTTGCCAATAAGTTCATCATACTCCTTTACCCCTAAATACTTCAGTGTATATTTCCCAAGAATATGGGACTCTCTAACATAATTGTAGTTATCAATATTGATACCGTACTTTAACCCATTTATTCCAGTTTTATCACTTGAGTCAGTAATATCCTCACAGCATTTTTTCCACTCCCAGACTGGACCCAGCCTAGGGCTGTGATGTTTCTTTAGCTTTCTTAAATCTGGAACGTTTCCAGAGTCTTTTAAAATTTTTGATGACATTGACATTTTGGAGGGATGCAGAGGGCCCCTAACCCCTTTTTAATAGACTACTTTCCACTTGGGTTCACCTGGTGCTTCTCTGTGCTTAGATGAGGTTATACACAGCAGGTTGTGGCCTCATACAGTGGCAGGGCATCTTCTCAGAACCTTGCCCCTGGAGCATTTTATACCTCTCCTGCACTGGTGATCTCCCAGGCATGGTGCTGGCTGATAACATCACTGTGAATTACAATTTCCTTCCCTCCTCTGTAAGAAAGAAGCAATCTGTGGGCAATCATTCTATGACCATGGAAATGTCCTGTTCCTCATCAACCCGCCCTAGATTCAGCACCCCTTGATGATTCTTGTCTCTGCGCCAGCTGCAAACAATACTTCTCCAGCCCCATGCCCTCCACCCATAGTCTGGTCCTCAGCGCTCTGCCTGAGCAAGAACCCACCTCCTCTCCCGTCTATAGGTTTATTCATTTATCTATTTCTTATCCATATGGACTCACAGATTTCTATATTTTGCATCACTTATTTGGGTGTTCAAACTGTCATCCGGGAAGTTTTTCTTTTAATTGATGAGAGTGAATTACTTTCATTGTAAGAAGTAAAAACTTGTCAAAGAACTTTTACTAATTTTCTCTAGTAGTGATAAATCCTCAATTTAGATAGCCAGCTATTTTTAAATGTTCAGTGTTCTAAAAATTCTAACACATCTTGAACTTTGACCACCTTTTTTTATTTTCAGCTATTTGGTGATGTTTGCTTCCACTGCAATCGTGTTATAGAAGGTGATGGTAAGTATCTGTGTGAGTTTTAGATTGGTGCCACTTTGACACAAAAACACTTGGGGAATGTGGAAATTCAGGTTGGTGATTGCTATGGTTTGAAATGTGATCGTTATCAGTTACTTTTTCTCTATCTTTGGCGTATTTTCCAAGTAATCTGTAGCAGTAAGATGATAATATCAAAGAGTTGGATTTGTTACTGATTTATGACACTACTTTTGGCCACTGCTGTAGTGTTGTATGCCAGCAATCATGGGAACTGTCCCTGGTGGACCCTAAGACCTGTTTCTGTGTCCAGTTTCAGGAAGCTCTAGAACAACGTTTATTAGGAAGAGTTTAATCTGCTATCGTAGTTAGCAAGAGGCACTTTAACCTGCACATGCTAAAAGCTGGCAGTTATCAGCAAGCATATCTAGGACTTACCACCCTTGTACTGTGGTAATTAGGCTGGGCTGATTGATTGGAACAGAAAGGAAGCAGCTGTGTTTGCTAAGACTCGCTAACACACTTCTGCCAGAGACTTCCTGGCAAAGTTTTGAACGATACTGTTTTCAGCATGATTCATGGCTGCCTGCAGACATCACCTAATTCAGGAAATACTTTTGAAACTGTTCATGTGCAGTTTGTGAAAACAATCCAGGAAAACAATCTTTAGTGCCATTGAAAATAAAACTTACCTCCCTCCTCTGTGAAATAGATGCCAGGTGAAAGAAGCTGCAGAGGAAACTGTCTTGTTATCATCAGCTCTGGAAAAAAGACTCCTACAGAGGCAAATAAGTTAATGTCTGGATTTTTGAAAATTATTTACCTAGTTCATATTTCCTAGTTGGGCCAACAGCAGTAGGGACAGAAACAGCAAGCTCACCTAAACAACATGATGCATGGACAGTTGCCACATGTGCCCAGGCCAAGGGGGCACAGTTGCTGGTGTAAGACATGGCACACATCATTTATAACTTCACAGGATACTTAAGGATGGGGGAAGATTAAAGTCAGCCCTCCGTATCCAGGGGCTGGATCCAAACATCCGTGGATTCAACCAACTATGGATCAAAAATATTTAGAGAAAAATAACAATATAACAATACAAATAGTACAGTATAATGACTATTTACATATCATTTACATTGTACTAGGCATTATAATTAACCTAGAGATGATCTAAAGTATACGAGATGGGACCAGGCGCAGTGGCTCACACCTGTAATCCCAACACTTTGGGAGGCCGAGGCAGGCAGATCAACTGAGGTCAAGAGTTCAAGACCAGTCTGGCCAACATGGTGAAACCCCATCTCTACTAAAAATACAAAAAATTAGCTGGGTGTGGTGGTGCATGCCTATAATCCCAGCTACTCGGGAGGCTGAGGCAGGAGAATCACTTGAACCCGGGAGGCAGAGGTTGCTGTGAGCCAACATCACACCATTGCACTCCAGCCTGGGCGACAAGAGCAAAACTTCGTCTCAAAAATAAATAAATAAATGTATACAAGACAATGTACATAGGTTATATGCATTTTATATCAGGAACTTGAGCGTCTGAGATTTTGGTATCCTCACAGCATCCTAGAAATAGTATCCTGCACATATTGAGCAACAACTGTATACATAAAGGTTGAGGGCCGGGTGTGGTGGCTTACACCTGTAATCCCAGCACTTAAGGAGGCCGAGACAGGAGAATTTCTTGAGGCCAGGAGTTGGATACCAGCCTGGGCAACGTAGCAAGACCTCCATCTCTACAAAATAAAAATTAAAAATTAGCCAGATGTGGTAGCACACACCTATGGTCCCAGCTACACAGGAGAATGAGATGAGAAGATTGCTTGAGCCCAGGAGTTCGAGCTGTGATCGCACCACTGCAATACAGCCTGGACAACAGAGCGAGACCCTGTCTGAAAAACAAAAGAAAAGAAGCTCTCAAGAAAGAGGTTCTTGGCTGGGCATGGTGGCTCATGCCTATAATCTCAGCATTTTGGGAGACCGAGGCAGGCAGATTGCTTGAGCCCAGGAGTTCAAGTCCGGCCTGGGAAACATGGCAAGACCGTGTCTCTATAAAAAATACAAAAATTAGCCAGGTATAGGCTGGGCGCAGTGGCTCACACTTGTAATCCCAGCACTTTGGGAGGCCAAGACGGGCGGATCACAAGGTCAAGAGATCAAGACCATCTTGGCCAACATGGTGAAATCTCGTCTCTACTAAATACAAAAATTAGCTGGGCATGGTGGCACGCGCCTGTAGTCCCAGCTACTTGGGAAAATGAGGCAGGAGAATCGCTTGAACCCAGGAGGCGGAGGTTGCAGTGAGCTGTGATTGCGCCACTGCACTCCAGCCTGGCAACAGAGCGAGACTCTGTCTCAAAAAAAAAAAAAAAAAAAAATTAGCCAGGTATAGTGGCATGCACTGTAGTCCCAGCTACTCAGGAGGCTGAGGTGGGAGGATCACTTGAGCCTGGGAGGTTGGGGCTACAGTGAGCCAAGATTGTGCCACTGTACTCCAGCCTGGGCTATAGAGCAAGACCCTGTCTCATTTTTTAAAAAAAACGTTCTTGAGAACCTCCACCAAGTGCCACAGACACAGTCGTAGTTCTGTTTTAGAGTTGAAATTCTAAGCTGCCCTGCTCCCCATACTGATGTATTTCCATGTGACCAGATCTCTTTCCTCTTTCTCCAGTGGTCTCTGCTCTTAATAAGGCCTGGTGCGTGAACTGCTTTGCCTGTTCTACCTGCAACACTAAATTAACACTCAAGTAAGTGTACGGTTTTGTCCAGTGTGAATCCTAAGACTGAAAACTTTGGGGGGACACTGAAAAAAAATCCTAGAATTTAGAAAAAGAGAATTATTTGATTTCTTATTTCCTCTTTCTGTTCAGGCCTTCTGAAAGTAAAGGTTCTTCCTTTAACTGTTCCCTGTTCTTTCTTCTATTCCTTCTTTGTCCTACTCAAAGGGATAAGTTTGTTGAAATTGACCTAAAGCCAGTCTGCAAACACTGTTATGAGAAAATGCCAGAAGAATTTAAGAGGCGACTTGCCAAACGGGAGAGAGAAGCAAAGGATAAGGACAAGCAGAAAAAGAAAAAGCCAGTCTGTTTGTAAACTTTTCTATCCCTGTGTCATCATTTTCACTACTTTCTCCTTTGGTTAGTCCTTTGGAATATGTTTTTGTTCTGTTTCTGTCTTTTGCTTTCTTCCCCCCCTGCAACTTTTGGGCGTGTATTTGTAGTCATCAGAAATTTGGGCCAAGGGGAGCGGATCACGAGGTCAGGAGATCGAGACTATCCTGGCTAACACGGTGAAACCCCATCTCTACTAAAAATACAAAAAAAACATTAGCCAGGCGTGGTGGCGGTCGCCTGTAGTCCCAGCTCCTCAGGAGGCTGAGGCAGGAGAATGGCTTGAACCCAGGAGGCGGAGCTTGCAGTGAGCCGAGACCGCGCCGCTGCACTCCAGCCTGGGTGACAGAGCAAGACTCTGTCTCAAAAAAAAAAAAAAAAAAGTGTAAGTGGATTAAAAGAGAAACTTGGTCTAGTTCATAATATTTTTAATAGGGCTTTCCCTGGCTGCTGGAAAACTTAGGCCAGTAAGCATCTCTTTGTTTAAAGTCCTACAAGACAATTTGAAATAATTCATTGTTCATGCCAAAATTCTAAGTACTGTTTTTCTTAGCAAGTGTAACATAATCAGGAACAATGGGTACGAGTAAAACATTCTTTGGATGATATTCAGAGCCTTATTAGCACTGCATCTGAATAATAGGTCATTTTGCCTCACTCATTTGCCAAAGTAGCCATTTCTAAGTTAAGGAAGTTTTTAGATAGGCTCATAGCCTTGTATTTCGTTTTAGATTGTAAGCTCAATGGTAGGGATACTATATTGGTAATTATGTTTTCATATAGCAACCACCACAGTATATTCTTGGTGCTTAATAAATGTTTATAATTGTTAACAATAACCTGTTGTATATTGTTTAATTTGAATGGTATATATATGAAATACGTATGAAAATTGAAGTATTCATGAATATATAATAGAAACAAGTAAATGAATAAAATGACCTGGTTACTATAGATAAGCCAAATTTTGAACCATCTAGAACAATGGTGTAGTCTTCCCTCTACTCAATGTAAATGCTGGGTTTTTTAATTATTATTATTCTTAAGAAAGGAGATACAGGCCAGGCACAGTGGCTCACACCTGTAATCCCAGCACGTTGGGAGGCCGAGGCCAGTGGATCACTTGAGGTCAGGAGTTTGAGACCAGCCTGGCCAACACAGTGAAACCTCATCTCTATTAAAAATACAAAAATTAGTAGGGCGTGGTGGTGTGCACCTGTAGTCCCAGCTACTTGGGAGGCTGAGGCAGTAGAATCACTTGAATCCAGGAGGCAGAGGTTGCAGTGAGCTGAGATTGCACCATTGCACTCCAGCCTGGGTGACAGAGTAAGAAAGACTCCATCTCAAAAAAAAAAAAAAAAAAAAAGAAAGGAGATATACAGCTTAATAAAAAATTCAGCAAGCCCTGAGTCACTGTGTGCAGTGTGCTGGGAAGACACCCACTACCAGGGCATTCCTCTTCCAGTGCTTGGTCTGCCCAGCTCTGCATCCACCTTAAATGTAGAGAATCCTGGGGGCTCTGTCTGAGTCTTGCATTCCATTTCCTTCCCTGTAGAGGTGAGACAGGTCATTACATCTCCCTGTGGGAAGTGTTGGATGGGGTGAGCACAGAGCATGCTAGACCATAGTGGCAGGAGCCCAGGGAGGGGAGGAGAGGGGAGGCTTCCTAGAGGAGCTGGATCTTGAGAGATGAACAGAAGTTGGCCAGGCGGGGAAGGAGGATAGGGAGTGGGCATCCCAGGCCATGGCAGAAGGACTGCTTGAGCCCAGGAGTTCCAAGACAAGCCTGGGCAACATAGCAAGACCCCAGTTCTACAAAAAATTAAAAACTAGGCAGGTGTGGTGATGAGACCCCGTCTCTACAAAAAATCAAAAAGTTAGGCATGGTGGCACATGCCTATGGCGACCAGCTACTCTGGAGACTGAGGATGGCTTGAGCCCAGGTCAAGGCTGCAGTGAGCTATGATCGCACCGCTGCACTCCAGCCTGGGGGACAGTGAGACCCTGTCTGAAAAAAAAAATTAAATTAAAAAAAATCTACTTGGGAAATACTTATAATAGTAAAAGCACGATCTAAAATACTATACATGATCATAAATATGTGCAAAATGGCCTTTTGAAAAGATGGAGGGAATACATCAAAATGTTACGGAAATGGTTTTTAAATTTTTTGTTTGGAGTTTTTTTTTTTTTTTTTGTAGAGAAAGGGGACTCTTCAGATGGTGCTTTCAGCTTGCCAAAATTCTATAATAATAGGAAATGGTAACTTTATTTTTTGAACTTGCTCTGTTAAATCAATTAAATGCATATGCTACAATATTGTTTTCATAATTTTTTGGCAAAATTTTCCCCATAGATGGAGCCATGCTGAGCTTTAGCTGCTTTTAAGCAGCTCCTGTCTTAATTATCACAAATTCTAACTTAGTAGAGTTAAAAGTAAAGCCTTCACTCTGATGAACCAGTCACGCTGCCTGGTAAAATTTTAGATCTCAGAAGCCATTTACCCTTGCAATAAAAATTAGTGACATTCTGGCCAGGCGTGATGGCTCACACCTGTAATCCCAGCACTTTGGGAGGCCAAGGCAGGCAGATCACCTGAGGTCGGGAGTTCGAGAGTAGCCTGACCAACATGGAGAAACCCTGTTTCTACTAAAAATACAAAATTAGCCGGGCATGGTGGCACATGCCTGTAATCCCAGCTACTTGGGAGGTTGAGTCAGGAGAATCGCTTCAACCCAGGAGGTGGAGATTGCAGAGAGCCGAGATCGCACCATTGCACTCCAGCCTGGGCAACAAGAGTGAAACTCTGTCTCAAAAAAAAAAAAAAAGAACAACTAGAGCAGTGGTCCCTAAGTGAAGCTTCCTCTGTATTTACATCCTCTCCTTATCACTTGCATCACCATCTGCCTCCTGTCAGATCATCGGTCACATCAGATTCTTATAGGGGCACAAACCCTATTGTGAACTGTGCATGTGAGGGATCTAGGTTGGGTGCTCCTTATGAGAATCTGATGCCTGATGATCTGTCACTGTCTCCCATCACCCTCAGATGAGACCATCTAGTTGCGGGAAAACAAGCTCAGGACCCCCACAGATTCTACCTTATAGTGAGTTGTGTAATTATCTCATTATATATTACAATGTAGTAATAGAAGTAAAGTACACAATAAATGTAATATGCTTGAATCATCCTGAAACCATCTCCAAAGTACACAATAAATGTAATATGCTTGAATCATCCTGAAACCATCTCCACCACCACCGTCTGTGGAAAAATTGCTTTCCATGAAACTGGTCCATGGTGCCAAAAAGGTCAAGGACCACAAAAAAGGTTGAGGACCACAAAAAAAAGAAGTGCATCAGAGGCCAGGCACGGTGGCTCACGCCTGTAATCCCAGCCCTTTGGAAGGCCTAGGCAGGCAGATGGCTTGAGTCCAGGAGTTCAAAACCAGCATGAGCAACACAACGAAACCCCATCTCTACTAAAAATACAAAAAATTAGCCAGGTGTGGTAGCATGCACCTGTAGTCCCAGCTACTCGGGAGGCTGAGGTGGAAGAATCCCCTGAGCTCAGGACGTCGAGGCTGCAGTGAGCCATGATCATACCACTGTACTCCAGCCTGGGCGACAAAGTGAGACCTTTCTAAAAAAAAAAAAGAAAAAGAAAAAAAAAAGCATCAGCATATAATGTGATAAGAATCAATGTTAGAAATATGAATGGGAGGCCAGGCATGGTAGCTCATGCCTGTAATCCCAGCACTTTGAGAGGCCGAGGCAGGCGGATCACCTGAGATCAGGAGTTCAAGACCAGCCTAACCAATGTGGCGAAATCCTGTCTCTACTAAAAATACAAAAATTAGCTGGGTGTGGTGGTGGGCACCTGTAGTCCCAACTACTCAGGAGGCTGAGGCAGGAGAATTGCTTGAAACCAGGAGGCAGAGGTTGCAGTGAACTGCAATTGCACCAGTGCACTCCAGCCTGGGTGACAGAGCGAGACTCCATCTCAACAACAACAACAACGACAACAACAAATATATATACACATATATATATATATGTGTGTGTATATATATGTATATATATGAATGGGATACAGAGATTGCTCAGAGAGACTGGGTGATTGTAGGGCATCTGCAAAGATTTCCCAAAGGTGGTGAAGGCTGCACTGGGGTTTGAAAGACATGGAAGGAGCTTTCCAGAGGGAGAAAGGGGAAAGGGCGGAGGGCGGGGTGGGGGGTGAGTGGGCTTTTTAGGCAAAGAGACCCGCCTGTAAGAAGAGCCTGGTGTGATAAGAGAATGTTGAGAAATCCCATTTAGTTGAGGTTAAGCTCTGGTGAGAGATAGGAAGTTGGACACGGGTAGCTAACGTGGACCTATGCCTAGCACAGCACCTGACGTGGCAGAGGCAGTCAATAAATATCTGCTGATTAATTGTCAGACATTGGTTGGCTTTTGGGATACTGACAACACAGTGTCTTGTCAGCTAAGAATCAGATCCTGGATGGTGGGGGTTTCATCAAAGCCATTCTACCATACACAGTCCTGCCAAGCCTCTCCAGGCAAGAGCCCTTTATCTCACCATACTATTGCAACCACAAAAAAGGGAATAGTACAAGAAAAGATAGGCCATAATAGATGACTGATGCCAGAGGAATGGGATAGTAATGTGATAGGAACTCAAAGGATAGAAAAAGCGAACACTGTAGTAGAGTGGTCAAGGAAGTTTTCACAAAGGGGTAGGACTTGAGCTTGGCTTTGAACAATAAGGGAAAAAAGTGAAGGGAAAACCCACAGAAGGGGAGAAATTAGCTGCAAACTATCTATCTGATAAGGGATTAATAACCAAAAGATAGGGTGGGCGCAGTGGCTTACGCCTATATTCCCAGCACTTTGGGAGGCTGAGGTGGGCAGATCACGAGGTCAGGAGTTCAAGACCAGCCTGGCCAACATGGTGGAAACCTGTCTCTACTAAAATACAAAGCAAAACCAAAATGAAAACCACACAAATTTCATGTTTTTGTTTGGGATTATTGCCTGACTCTCATTCCACCTCTGAGAGATCCCTCCACCACTCCAGAAACACCAGCACAGCCAGGTGGTCATTGCACCTCTGAGAAACCCTCCTCCACTCCAGAGACACCAGCACAGTCAGGTGGTCGTCCCACCTCTGAGAGATCCTCCACCACTCCAGAAACACCAGCACAGCCAGGTGGTCATTGCACCTCTGAGAAACCCTCCACTCCAGAGACACCAGCACAGTCAGGTGGTCGTCCCACCTCTGAGACACCCCTCCCTCAGCCAGGTGGTGGTTCCTTCTCAGAATTTCAGCCCCACTTTCTATTTCTTCAATCATTAAGGTTCTGAGAACCCCAAACTCTTACCTTGGTTCCTCCAGCCTTGGGGTTGGCACAGTTTTAGATCTGTGGCATCTTTTTGTCAAATTCCCTGTATTCAAGGGAGTGGTAAGAGAGGGCATTCTTGCCTTGTGGTGGTTTGTAAAGGGAATGCTTCCAGCTTTTGCCCATTTAGTATAATCTTGGCTATGGGTTTGTCATAAATAGCTCTTATTATTTTATGTTCCATCAATACCTAGTTTATTGAGAGTTTTTAACATGAAGTGATGTTCAATTTTATCAAAGGCTTTTTCTACATCTATTGAGATAATCATGTGGTTTTTGTCATTGATTCTGTTTATGTGATGGATTACATTTATTGATTTACATATGTTGAACCAACCTTGCATCCAAGGGATGAAGCCAACTTGATCATAGTGAATAAACTTTTTAATGTGCTACTGGATTCAGTTTGCCAGTATTTTATTGAGGATTTTCACATCAATGTTCATCAGGGATATTGGCTTGAAGTTTTCTTTTTTTGTTGTGTCTCTGCCAGGTTTGGGTATCAGGATGATGCTGGCCTCACAAGATGAGTTAGGGAGGAGTCCCTCCTTTTCAATTGTTTGGAATAGTTACAGGATAAATGGTACCAGCTCCTCTTTGTACCTCTGGTAGAATTTGGCTGTGAATCCGTCTGGTCCTAGGCTTTTTTTGATTGGTAGGCTATTAATTACTGCCTTAATTTCAGAACTTGTTATTAGTGTATTCAGGGATTCGATTTCTTCCTGATTTAGTCTTGGGAGGGTGTTTGTTTCCAGGAATTTATTCATTTCTTCTAGATTTTCTAGTTTATTTGCGTAGAGGTGTTTACAGTACTTTCTGAGAGTAGTTTGTATTTCTGTGGGATCAATGGTGATATTTCCTTCATCATTTTTTATTGTGTCAATTTGGTTATTCTGTCTTTTCTTCCTTATTTGTCTAGCTAGCAGACTATCTATTTTGTTAATTTTTTCAAAAAAACAGCTCCTGGATTCATTGATTTTTTGAAGGGATTTTCATGGTCACTACATGGTGACATTTTAGCAATTTTAGAATAAATCCATAGACTAAATCACAGCATGCATATATCATTTATATCTTAATGGCTCGTTTAATTATTTTATTTTATTTTACTTTTTTTAGAGACAGGGTCTTGCTCTGTTGCCCAGGTTGATAGGCAGTGGCAATTATAAGTCACTATAGCCTTGGACTCCTGGGCTCAAGTGATCCTTCTGTCTCAGCCTCTTGGGTAGTTGAGACTACAGGTGTACACCACCACACCCTGCTAAATTTTTAGTTTTTTGTAGAGACAGGGTCATACTGTGTTGCCCAGGCTAGTCTTAAACTCCTGGCCTCAAGTGATCCTCCCCCTTTGACCTCTCAAAGCACCGGGATTATAGGCTTGAGCCACCATGCCTAGCCTTAACTGCTCATTTAAACCTGAACAAATCTTCATTAAGCATACTAGTAATTTTTTTTCTTTTACTGAGCTCTTTCGCCCAGGCTGGAGTGCAGTGGCTCCATCTCAGCTCACTGCAACCTCTGCCTCCCAGGTTCAAGCAATTATCCTGCCTCAGTCTCCCAAAAAGCTGAGACTTAAAATGAATGGTTGGGAAAGAATAAGGCTAAGCAGTATGGATTGAGATGCAGGGTGGGGCCCATAGACATCTTTGAGGGTCTGCACTGTCCCCTAAGATATGCACTATCCCCATGCCAGAGGGAAGAGGGACTGTAACATTAAATAGCAAATAAATAGCAATGTGACAAGGAGAGAGGAAGAGAAAAGGATAAAAGAGAAAAAGGAGAGAGGAGAAGTGGGGAGACTTACCTGAGGAACAACAAAATAATTTATGCTTTAATGTCACGTTTTGCCTGCTTTTTGGACAGAAGGGCTCACATTTTCACTTTGCACTTGCCCCTCTGAGGGCAGTGTCTCTCCATACTCCCTTCTCCTCCAGGCAGGAGTTGCTCCTCCCCCTTCTCCCTTGGGCCTGAGGACAGGGCTGAGAGGGTGGTGCTAGCTCTGCCTCCCCAGCCCTAGAGATTGTTCTGGACCTGCTACATTTCACCCCCCACCCCCACCTTTGTAAGTAGTCCTTTGATTAAACTCTCCTCATATCCTCCTAATTTGAGTGTCACATGTTTTTACTGCTTGAATGCAGAGCAATACATCCTCCCACCTCCACCCCCAAAGACCTGATTGTTGTCCTGTATTTCATATGAAGTTGAGCTGCATAATTTAGAGCTCTGCGTCGGTTAATTTGGCACATAAAACAACGTTGTATATTGACTGATTGATGAAAATACTGTGACCAGAGACTTGCAGGAACCCAAACCTGTATGTCCTCTAGGAGCAATGGTTCAGTATTTGCTAATTCACTGTTTGTGGTCACTTTATAACCAGAATAATGAGAATCAAATGTACTTCAACTTTTGAGTTTCAGTACACTTCTAAAAATCTAATTCCCTGCTCACCAGGGCTTTATTTTTCTAGTCTTTTTTCCCATGCTGAGGTAATGGATTTTGAAAATACCAGGTTTGAAGACTACAGCCACTGTAAGCCCCCCAAAAACCCTGGTGAATTGTTTGTAATTAGCAGTGCAGATCAGTGGCTCCCCTACTCTACCAGGAATGGAAACCACCTGTGGACTTGTTTCAAAATACAGTGCAGGGGACCCAACACCAGACCTAAGTCAGCATTTTCAGAGACAGGATTTGGGCATCTAAATTTTAAACAAGTGCTGCAAATGATTCTACCTGGCAGCCAGGTTTGGGAAACGCTGATGTAACTCTTACTTATTATGTATCCATATGTTTATGTTGTTTGTTTCTTTTTGCTCGTCTCCTTTTCTGCCTCCTGACAGCCCCATTATGGTGTCATTGGCTTTATTGTATGTCTCCTATTATTTTACCCCTCTCTCTCCAGTTTCTAGAAAATTTCTCCACAAACTGAGAGCTGCAGAATTGATGACTCAGAGTGAACCGAGGAGATCACTACTGTGCACAAGTTTGCCTCCAAACAACTGGGTGATGCCTCCAAACAGGTCAGATGTTTTTCACCATATTTTAGAGACAGGAACATGTAGCTATTGGGTACCTGATGTGTGACCATGAAAATCCCAGGAATTTTAGGGGATATCTTAAAGTAACTCTCAATATTAATGCTGCTAAATTTAAGGAGTCAAATTGGAAAGAGTTGTACATTTTAAAAATATATTATGGATAATTTAAAATATATACAAAAGTAGAAAGAAAAATATAATAAACTCTCATGCCACTGTCATACAGCTTCACACTGATTAACTCATAGTCAACCATGTTCCATTTGTATGCCCCCTCACTCCTCATCATTTTATGCATAAACATCTCTAAAAAGATATGATCATCTCTAAAAAGTAAGACTTCTTTATAAAATGTAATAACAACATCATTATCACATCTAAAAATGTAATAATCCTTTAAAATTATCAAATATCCAGTTAGTTCAATTTTCTCTGTCACATAATTTTTTTAACAATTTTTTTGTTCAAACTAGGATCCAAATTGAAATTGGCCAATTGGCCAATATGTCTTTTAAGTCTCTTTTGAGGCTGGCTCATGCTTGTAATCCAAGCACTTTGGGAGGCTGAGGCAGGAGGATTACTTGAGGCTAGGAATTCAAGACGAGCCTGGGCAACAGAGTGAAACTCCGTCTCTACAAAAAAAATTTAAAAAACTAGCCGGGCATGGTGGCACATGCCTGTAGTCCCAGCTACTCTGGAGGCTGAGGTGCGAGGATGGCTTGAGCCTAGGAGTTCGAAGTTGCAGTGAGCTATGACTGGACCATTGCACTCCATTCTGGGTGACAGAGTGAGACCCTGTCTCAAAAAATTTTTTAAAAATTTCTTTTGATCTATAGATTTCTCTCCACTCCCCTTTGTTTGTTTGTTTGTTTGTTGAAAATGGATGGTTTGTCCTCTAGAGTTTTCTGCAATCTGGATTTTATTAATTACATCCCTCTGGTGTCATTTAGCACATTCCTTGGTTGCCTGTATTCCTCAAAACTCAGCATTAGAACTGGAGACCTGGACAGATTCAAGTTCTAATTTTTGGCAAAAGTGTGTCTTAGGTGTTAGTGTGTTCTCGCATTGGGAGAAAAAGACATTTTTCTTTTTTGTGTGATGTTAGTAGTCACTGATGGTCATTGCCCATATCCACTAACTCATCAGGGATTGCTTGTGGTTATATTTTAATTGTACATTTCTTTTTCATTTCTCAGCTGGAATACTTCAATAAAGAGAAGCTTTCCATTATCTACAGTTTGGTTACTCTGAATATAGTTTGACTCAGAAAAGCAGTATCCCACCTTTCAAGATGCTTGAATCTTCCCCTCTGCTTACCAGTTTTCTAAATAATGAAGTGATTTTCTAAGCATTCTCTAGTTATATATCTGTATCATTAGAAATGCACAGACTTTTAGCATACTTAATATGTTTCAATGTTTTGCCATTATTATCCTTATTGGTGGAGAAATGGCCTTATTCTGGCTAGCAGAAGCTCTTTAATTTTGTCCCTGAGCCCTTCGGACATGCTGCTAGCCATCTCAGACAGCCTCCTTGGTTCCTGGTATGACAAGATGTTTTAGGTTTATTTGTGTATTTCCTTCTCCAGACCTGGAATCATCCATTTCTCCAAGGATCTCTGCTTCTTCTTGTAAAATAGGCTATTTAAGGACTACAATCTGAGCATTAAGGGTGAGTCCTTTTCCTCATTCTTCCAAAGATAACTTTGAAAGAAGTTTTTAGTATGTCCTGCCTTTGGTATTTTAATATAAGCAAATATGTTTATATATTCATATTCTATCTTAGATGAATAGCAATATGCTATACACATTTATCTCTACCTTGCTTTTTCACTGAATATATCCTGGCCATCACTTCATAGTATCCAGAGACAGACTCCATTTCTTTTTATGGCTGAACAGTACTCCATTATGTGAAGGTTCCACTTTTTCCCACCAGTCCCCTCTTAATGGAAACCATTCCACACCACTTACAGAAAGTCTCATTCAACAAACAGTTTTTGAAAACCTTCTGTTTTCTGGACACTATTTTAGGTGCTTGGGAAATACCTGTGCACAAATTAAAGATCTCCACCCTTGTGGAGATTGTGTTCTATCAGGAGTACATAGATAGTTAAGAATAAATGGAAGATATAAAGAATCATATCGTGTGGCAGAAGGTGATAAGGGCAATGCAAGGAAGTAAAAGATCAAGGGGGAGGGGAGCAGGAGGGCAGTGGTGGGCTGAAGAGTTCAGTAGGGTGGGGATCAAGGTCTGCCTCCCTAAGAAGGTACGATCTGAGCAAACACTTGGGTGTCTGGGGAATGCATCATCCAGGCTAAGGGAATAGCTAGAGCAAAGGCCCTGGGGAATGTTTGAGGAGCATAAAGGAAGCCATTGAGGCTGGAGTGGAGTGGAGTGAGTGAGGGGAAGGGGAAGGAGATGGAGCCAAAGACAGCAGGGCTCCTGCGTGCCCTGCCTTGTGAAGGCATTGGAGAAGGTTTGGCCTCTATTTTCAACCACCACTGTTGACTTTGCCCCTACCTCTTGATTGTCACATTGCAGTGTTTTAAAAAGAATTCCACAAAATCCTGTGGAATCTAGGGGATAACTGGCAAATAGAATTGGGTGGAATTCTCAGGCTGAATATGGACTTTGTTCATTTTCCCAGCTGAAACTACCTAGTAGCTGCAGAGTAGAGTAGAGATGCCTCTGTGCTAGTAGGTCTGGGTTTGCAATCCCAGTGCTGCCATTTTCAAGCTGTGTGACCTGAGGCAGTCTGATGCTCCTCTCTGAACCTGCATTTCCTAAGCTCTAATGTGGATGTTGTAATCAGTACTTCTTATGGGCTGAATTGTATCTCCTCAAAATTCATGTGTTGAAGTCCTAACCCCCAGTATCACAGAATATGGTAGGGTCTTTAAAGAGGTAATCCAAGTAAAATGAGGTCCTTAGAGCAGGCCCTGATCCAATAGGACTGTCCTTATTAGAAGAGGAAACTTGGACACAGATACACACAGAGGGAGCACCGTGTGAAGACACAGAGAGGAGATGGCCAGCTACCAGCCAAGCAGAGAGCCCTTACTGTAAACCAACCCTGCCGCATCCTGATCTCAGAATTTTGGCTTCCAGAACTGTAAGGAAACACATTTCTACTGTTTAAGCCACTTGGCTGGGAGTACTTGGTTATGGCAGCCTGAGCAGACTAAACCAGCACCTCAAAGAGTTGTTATAGGGTATGCTTAGTGGTAACTGGTTCCTAAAGGCCTTGCTTTCTAAGGCTGACTCCTCACCCTGCAAGGATGCATTCTCCCCACTGGCAGATATGCAACCAGGAACAGGCATTAACACGCTTTATTCCCAGAGTTTTAATATTTTCCATTGCATAAAATATTTGTTCATGAAAATGACAAAATTGCTATTAGATTCTATCACCACATCTCTGTTGATTTTACTTTCTGCAAACACATACAAGTAATGTAGGCATACAGTTAAAAATGAAACCTTATCCTGTAGTTCCAGCTACTAGGGAGGCTGAAGCAAGAGAATGGCATGAACCTGGGAGGCGGAGCTTGTCGTGAGCCCAGATCAGGCCACTACACTCCAGCCGGGGCAACAGAGCGCAACTCCGTCTCAAAACAAACAAACAAAACAAAACAAAAAAAACTTATAGACAAGTACAAAATGAGAAGAAAAAGTCCCTTTCCCTTCATGCCTCTACTTCCTGCTGTATTCTCAAAGGTAAGCACTGATTACAGTTTACTTATGGATCTTTCCAGGAAAATATTTTATGCATTTATCAGAAAATGTAAGTATATGCATCCTTTAAAATTCTGCATAAATCAAACTCTGCAGGGTACTATCTTCCCATCCTCATTTGATATTTTGTAGATCTTTTCCTATTGGCTGTACAGATCACCTCATTCTGTCTCCTGGGTCATACAATATAGCTCACATAATTCTAAGTCTGAAGGTTGGTCCAAATGGTTCCAAGAATGCAGGTACCAAAAAGTAGTCTCTTGAAGAGGCCATCAGAGACCTGGCTGTTTGTATCTTCCTCCTCTGCCATCCACAGTGTCATCTTCACCCAAGGTGGCTGGAGAAGCTGTTAGGAATATGTGGTTTTTTAAAAATTACATTCATAGGAAAAGGGGAGGGAAGAGAAGAAGAAAACCTCTCCCCCTAAGCTCATGGCTCTTTTTAGTCAGGCTGAGCCAACTAAAGTCATGTACTTCCCTTAGATAGGTAACTGTTGCCAGGAAAATGCCCTGTGTGGATTGGCCTGGACTAAGCAGGATCCTCCTCTAAAGAGAGAGATGAGATGAATGCCTGACCCAAGTCTGGGATCTTGGGTGGGAAGCGTGTGGATAGTAGGTCAGAGGTCAGCAGTGTCTGTGGTGTAGGATGTAATCCCATCTCCACAGAGCTGCATACAAGTGTGTTTAAGTGTGTGCAAGTGATTAACTTTGATTAGTAGTTTCAACTCTTTACAATGAACATATTTATCTTTTTTAAAAAATAAAGCCATTTTAAAAGATCTTGCCATAAAACAATCATTCCTTAAGTCACCACTTAGGATAGACCTAGAATATTTGTCCTTTCTCAAGAGCACCAGAGAGTTTTCTGGTAATCCACGCAATAAACAGTTATAAAAGGTAATTGTTGAGATCAGGGGAAGATGGCAGATAGGAGGCAGTGCTAATGTGTAGCTCCCACATGGATGGACAAAACACCATGTGGAGACTCACACTGTGACCCTGTTGTGCTCCAAGAACTATCATAGGAACATACTGGGAAAACCAAAAGAATTCACGGATCCTTTGAAAGAAGACGCACACCACTGTAAATTCTGTGGAACAGGAGAAAAACTGTGAGTTCCCAAAGTGTAAGAAGGGGGAAACCTACCTTTGAACACACATCCCCACTGGGGAATCTAAAAATCCAGATCATAGGAGAAGGATTTAATCTTAACCAGAGATGAAATGAGTTTAGGGAGATGTAAGAAAAATAAAAGTATGAGAGTAGTAGTGGGAAGTGCCTTGAATGGACTCCCAGTCTCCAGCTTGAGCCCTAGGAAGCCATCCCTGACTGTATCTCACACAGCCACTCAGGGAAGGCAGCCAGTGGAACTGGAGAGGAGTTGCAGGGCAAAGGAAGCTCTCAACTGAAATTGGTAGTGGTTTTGACCGGGCACAAACTTTCTCGAGCAGAGTCTGGAGGATGAGCGGGAACTGCTGTGGATACAAGCAAGCGAGTGCAGGAGTGCAGGAGCTGCTGCTGGCAGAGTGGGCAGACAGGGAGGGGTGAGGTCCTTAAGCCACGCTTGCTTTCTCAGCAGGGTAGCTCACGGCCTGAGCAGGAGCACTGTGGGAGTGAGACCGACCTCGCCAACTGCTTGGGAACTGGGCGAGAGCTCGTATTAAGGGCTATCCAATGCTTTCCTGGAAAACTATATAACACAGCAGAGGGCCAAGATCCACTCTAGAACAGTACTCCATTAGCCTAAGAACCACTCCTTCATTCCCCCACAGTGGCTACTGCAAGCCCTGTCCAAGGAGAGTCTGACCCCAGACCCACCTAACCCTGCCCCCACTTGATGGTATTTCCCTAGCCACCCTGGTAGCCCAGCACAAAACACAGAACCTCTTGGGAGCTTTATGGCCATGCCCATCACCTGAGAAACCAAAATGCTTACCCTGGCCACCTTAGGACAAGCTTAGAGCCCCCTACTACTATGGCAGCTGGTGCTCTCTTGAAAGTGCCACCTCGTCGCTGGAGGCCAACCAACTCAAGCCATTACAGCAACTCATGACAGAATAATGCTGATCTTAGGAAGGAGAAGACAACACCTAATTCTACTGCCTGCAACATCCTGGCTAAACAGAGGTCCTGAAGATGTCCACGTGACAATTTCACTGTTATGACAACCAGCATTCAAGAAAGCCAGCACACTAAACCTATCTATAACCAAGGACTCTCACAGAGTCTACTTCACTTCCCTGCCACCTCTACCAGAGCAGGTGCTGGTATCCATGGCTTGGAGACCTGAAGACAGATCACATCACAGGAATCTTTGCAGACATCCCCCAGGACCAGTCCAGAGCCTGGTATCCTCACTGGTAGCTAGACCCAGAAGAGAAATAACAATCACTGCAGTCCAGCTCTCAGGAAGCCCCATTCCTAGAAGAAAGGGGAGAGCACTACATCAAGGGGTTACCCAGTGGGACAAGAGAATCTGAACAGCAGGCCTTGACTTTCAGATCTCCCCACTGTATTAGTCTACCCAATTGAGAAGGAAGAAAAGTAATTCTGGTAATATGACAAAACAGGGTTCTAGAACACCCTCAAAAGATCATACTGGCTCGCCAGCAATGGATCCAAACCAAGAAGAAATCTTTAAATTGTCAGATAAATAATTCAGAAGGTCAATTATTAAGCTATTCAAAGAGATACTAGAGAAAGGTGAAAACGAACGTAAAGAAATTGAAGGCCAGGTGTGGTGGCTCACGCCTGTAATCCCAACACTTTTGGAGGCCGAGGCAGGTGGATCACAAGATCAGGAGATCAAGACCATCCTGGCTAACACGGTGAAACCCCGTCTCTACTAAAAATACAAAAATTAGCCGGGTGTGGTGGTGGGCACCTGTAATCCCAGCTACTCGAGAGGCTGAGGCAGGAGAATTGCTTGAATCCGGGAGGTGGAGGTTGCAGTGAGCCGAGGTTGCACCACTGCACTCCAGCCTGGGTGACAGAGTGACCCAAAATAAATAAATAAATAAATAAAATAAAGAAATAAGAAAATACAGGATATGAGTGAAAATTTATCCAGGAAAATAGATATCATAAAGAAAAAACAATCACAATTTCTGGAAATGAAAGACACCTAGAGAAACACAAAATGCAATGGAACATTTTAACTACAGACTTGAACAAGTATAAAAAAGAACTTCAGGGCTCAAAGACAAAGCTTTCAAATTAACCCAATCAGACAAAGACAAAGGAAAAATAATTTTAAAAAATGAACAAAGCCTCCATGAAACTTGGGATTATGTTAAATGGCCAAACCTAAGAATGATTGGTGTTCCTGAGGAAGAAGAGAAATCTAAAATTTTGGAAAACTAATTTGAGGGAATAATTGAGGAAAACTTCCCTAGCATTGACAGAGATCTACACATCCAAATACAAGAAGCTCAAAGAACACCTGGGAAATTCATTGCAAAAAGACCATAACCTAGGCACATAGTCATCAGGTTATCTAAAGCCAAGACAGAGGAAACAATCTTAAGAGCTGTGAGACAATAGCACCAGATAACCTATAAAGGAAAACCTATCAGATTAACAGAAGACTTCTCAGCAGAAACCTTACAACCCAGAAGAGATTGGGGTCCCACCTTTAGCCTCCTGAAACAAAATAATTGTCAGTCAAGAATTTTGTATCCAGCAAAACTAAACATCGTAAATGAAAAAGAGAAAAGTATTTTTCAGCCAAACAAATGCTGAGAGAATTTGCCACTACTAAGCCAGCACTACCAGAAATGCTAAAAGGAGTTCCAAACCTTGAAACAAGACCTTGAAATACATCAAAATAGAACCTCTTTAAAGCATAAATCTCACAGGGCCTATATAACACGATGAAAAAAATTATTAAGGCAACAACTAGCATGATGAATAGAACAGTACCTCACATCTCAATACTAATGTTGAATGTAAATGGCCTAAATGCTCCACTTAAAAGACACAGAATGGCAGAATGAATAAAAATCCACCACTAAGTGTGTGCTGTCTTTGAGAGACTCACTTAAATGTATAAGGACTCACATAAATTTAAGGTAAAGAGGTGGGAAAAGATATTCCACGCAAATGGAAACCAAAAGTGAGCAGGAGTATCTATTCTTATATCAGACAAAACACACTTCAAAGCAACAACAGTAAAAAAAAGACAATAGGCACATTATACAATGATAAAAGAAATAGTTAAATGGGAAAATATTACAATCATAAATACATATGCACCGAACACTGAAGCTCCCAAATTTATAAAATAATTACTAGTAGACCTAAGAAATGAAATAGAAGGCAACATAGTAATAGTGGGGGACTTCAATACTCCATTGACAGTGCTAGACAGGTCATCAAGACAGAAAGTCAATAAAGAAACAATGGACTTAAACTAACTCTGGATCAAATGGACTTAACAAATATTTACAGAAGATTCTACCCAACAACTGCAAAATATACACTCTTTTCTTCAGCACATAGAAAATTTTCCAAAATAGACCATATGATAGGTCACAAAGCAAGTCAGTTAACTTAAGGAAATTGAAATTATATAAAGTATTCTCTCAGACCACAGTGGAATAAAACTGGAAACGACTCCAAAAGGACCCCCTAAAACTATACAAATACATGGAAATTAAATAATTTGCTCTTGAATGATGTTTGGGTCAACAATGAAATCAGGATGGAAATTTAAAAATTCTTTGAGTTGAACAATGACAGTGAAACAACTTATCAAAACCTCTGGGATACAGCAAAAGTGGTGCTAAGAGGAAAGTTTAAAGCATTAAATGCTTACATCAAAAAGTCTGAAAGAGCACAAGTAGGCAATTTAACATCATACTTCACGGAACTAGAGAAACAAAAACAAACCAAATCCAAACTCAGCAGAAAAAAAGTAAATAACAAAGATCAGAGCAGAACTAAATGAAATTAAAATTAAAAACACAAAACATAAATGAAACAAAAAGCAGTTTCTTTGAAAAGATAAAACACAATTGATAGACCATTACTGAGATTAACCAAGAAGATAGAAGATCCAAATAAGCTCAATTAGAAATGAAACTGGAGATATTACAACCAATACCCCAGAAATACAAAAGATCATTCAAGGCTACTATGAACACTTTTATGCACACAAATTAGAAAATCTGGAAGAGATGGATAAATTCCTCCCATATTAAATCACGAAAAAATAGAAACTCTGAACAGACCAATAATTAGCAAGATTGAAACAATAATAAAAAAATTTGCCAACAAAAAAATGTCCAGAACCAGATGGACTGACAGGTGAATTCTATTAGACATTCAAAGAAGAATTGATACCAATCTTACTGAAACTATTCCAAAAGATAGAAAAAGAGGGACTCCTCCATAAATCATTCTATGAAGCCAGTATCATCCTAATTCCAAAACTGGGAAAGGACATAACAATAAAAGAAAACTACAGACTAAGATCCCTGATGAACACAGATGCAAAAATACTCAACAAAATACTAGCTGAATCCAACAGCATATCAAAAAGGTAATACAATAGGATCAAGTGGGTTTCATACCAGAAATGCAAGGATGGTTTAACATTCACAAGTCAACAAATGTGACACATCACATCAACAGCATTAAAAACAAAAATCATATGATCATCTCAATCAATGCAGAAAAAGCATTTGATAAAATCCAGCAAAACTGGTATACAAGAGACATACCTCAAGGTTATAAAAGCCATCTATGACAAACCCACAGCCAACATGATACTGAATGGGGAAAAGTTGAAAGCTTTCTTCCTGAGAACTGGAACAAGACAAAGATGCCCACTTTCACAACTTTTATCCAGCGTAGTGCTGGAAGTTCTAGCCAAAGCAATCAGACAACAGAAAGAAATAAAGGGCATCTAAATTAGTAAAGAGGACGTCAAACTGTTGCTGTTCACCGATGATATAATTGTATGCCTAGAAAAGCCTAAAGACTCACCCAAAAAGCTCATAGATCTGATAAATGAATTCAATAAAGTTTTAGGATACAAAATCAATGTACACAAATCAGTAGCACTGCTGTACACCAACAACAAGACTGAGAAACAAATCAAGAACTCAATCCCTTTTACAACAGCTGCAAAAAATAAAATAAAATACTTTGGAATATACTGAACCAAGGAGGCGAAATATCTCTACAAGAAAAACTGCAAGACAGAAAGAAATCACTGATAACACAAACAAATGGAAGCACATTCCATGCTCATGGATGGGTAGACTCGATACTGTGAAAATGATCATGGTGCCAAAAGCAGTCTATGGATTCGATGCAATTCCCATCAAAATACCATCAGCATTTTTCATGGAGCTTTAAAAAGCAATCCTAAAATTCAAATGGAACCAAAAAAGACCCTACATAGCCAAAGCAAGACTAAGCAAAAAGAACACATCTGGAGGCATCACATCACCTGACTTTATACTACAAGGCTGTAGTTACCAAAACAGTATGGTACTGGTATGAAAACAGGCAAGTAGACCAATGGAACAGAATAGAGAACCCAGAAATAAAGCCAAATACTTACAGTTAACTGATCTTTGACAAAGCAAACAAAAACATAAAGTGGGGAAAGGACACCCTATTCAACAAATGGTGCAGGGATAACTGGGAAGCCACATGTAGAAGGGTAAAACTGAATCCTCATCTCTCAACTTATACAAAAATCAACTCAAGATGGATCAAAGACTTAAATCTAGGCCGAGCATGGGGGATCACAACTGTAATCCCAGCACTTTGGGAGGCCAAGGTGGCCAGATCACATGAGGTCAGGAGTTCAAGACCAGCCTTGCCAACATGGTGAAATCCTGTCTCTACCACAAATACAAAAAATTAGTCAGGCGTGGTGATGGGTGCCTGTAATCCCAGCTACTAGGGAGGCTCAGGCATGAGAACCTGAGAGTTGGGAGTTGCAGTGAGCGGAGATTGCTCTACTGCACTCCAGCCTGGGTGACAGAGTGAGATTGTCTCAAAAAAAAAAAAAAAAAAAGAAAAGAAAAGAAAAGAAAAAAGACTTAAAATCTAAGACCCAAAATCATAAACATTCCAGAAGATAACATCAGTAAAACTACCCTAGACATTGGTTTAGGCAAAGAGTTCGTTAACTACCAAGAACCCAAAAGCAAATGCAACAAAAACAAAAATAAATACATTGGACCTAATTAAGTTACAAGTTTCTGCATAGCAAAAGAAATAATCAGCAGAGTAAACAGACAACCCACAGAGAGGGAGAAAATATTCTCAAACTATGCATCTCACAAAGGACTAATATTTAGAATCTACAAGGAACTCAAACAAATCAGCAAGAAAAAAACAAATAATCCCATCAAAAAGTGGGCAAAGGAAATTAATAGACAATTCTCAAAAGAAGATGTACAAATGGCCAACACACACATGAAAAAATGCTCAGCATCACTATCAGGGAAATGCAAATTACAACCACAATGAGATACTACCTACTCTTGCAAGAATGGCCATAATTTAAAAATCAAAAAACAATAGATGTTGATGTGGATGTGGTGGAAAGGGAACACTTTTACACTGCTGTTGGGAATGTAAACTAGTACAACCACTATAGAAAACACTGTGGAGATTTTTTAAAGAGCTAAAAGTACAACTACCATTTGATCCAGTAATCCCACCACTGGGTATCTATCCAGAGGAAAAGAAGTCATTATATGAAATAGATATTGCACACTCATGTTTATAGCAGCACAACTCACAATTGCAACAATTTGGAACCAGCCTAAATGCCCATCCACCAATGAGTGGAAAAAGAAAACGTGGTGTATATGTGTACATATATATACATATACACCATGGAATACTACTCAGTGATAAGAATGAATGAAATAATGGCATTCACAGCAACCTCATGGAGTTTGAAACCATTATTCTAAGTGTAGTAACTCAGGAATGGAAAACCAAATATTGTATATTCTCACTTATAACTGGAAGCTAAGCTACGAGGATTCAAAGGCATAAGAATTACAAATTGGACTTTGGGGACACCGGAGAAATGGGGGAAGGGTGGTTAAGGATAAAAAACTACGTATTGGGCACAACGTACACTGCTCGGATGATGTGTGCACCAAAATCTCAGATATCACCACTAAAGAACTTATCTATGTAACAAAAACCACCAGTTCCCCCAAAACTACTGAATTTCTTTTTTAAAAAAGGTAATTAAGATACCTTGTAGACAAGGACCTTTGATTACACATTGGTAGAAATTTCACTTTACCATTTCAGCCACCATATGCCTGCTGTCTGCCCGGGGCTTGGGATTCAAAGACAAATGTTTCCAGTTCCCTTCCTCCCACAGGTGCTTGTGGCCTGGTGGGAAGCAGGCAACATGTGCACATAGATCAAAGGAAGCACCAAGTAGCTGTTTTCACGAAGGGTGTGGTGAGCACAGAAAGGAAGCCACCTGTTGGCCTGGAGAAGTTGAGGAAGGGCTCTCAGGGGATGTTAGAACTGAGTGGTAACAGTCAGAGGAGAGGGGTGAAGTGCCATGCCTGGCATGCCTGCCGAGAAACTGTGGCCACATGCAGTTCTCATTGCAGGCCAGCCTCCAGCTAGGACACAATTCTGGTGTTGCAATGCAGGTCAGTGTCCTGTATTAGTTTTCTATGCTGCATAACACATTGCCACATGGATTCTCTGCTCGGTGTCTCACAAGGTGGGAATAAAGGTGTCAGCAAATTGTGTTCCTTTCTGCAAGGCCCTGGGGAAGAATTCACTTTTGAGCTCATTCAAATTGTCAGCAGAACTTTAGTTCCTTGCAGTTCCCTTCATCCTCGAGGCAACAGCGTCCCATCCAGGCACACTGAGTCTTTCATAAGCTTCAAATGTCTCCTCTCCCCTGTCTTGCTCTTTAGGGTTTAAGGGTGATTCCACCAGGCCAACCCAGATAAATCCAGGATAACCTCCCTATTTTAAAGTCAACTGATTAGAAACCTGTCCACAAGGCTCTTTTGCCTTGTAAAGTAACAGATTCATAGTCCCAGAAATTAGGGTTTGAATTCTCTTAGAGGACTATAATGCTGCCTGCCAGTCTCCCACCTGGAACTTGCCAGAAATCAGCACCTAGCACTAAGTCTTTATTTAATTTTTTATGTTTAGAGAGCAGTATTGCTGTTGCCCAGGCTGGATTACAGTGGTGCAATCACCACTCACTGCAGCCTCAACCTCCTAAGCTCAAGCCATCCTTCATCTCTGCCTAGACTAGCCAACTATAGGTTTGCCACCATGCCCAGCTCTTTTTTTTTTTAAAGAGATCTGGTCTGGATATGTTGCCTAGGCAGGTATCAAACTCTTGGGCTTGGACAATCCTCTTGTGTCTGGAGTTGGTTCCTTCCGGTGGGTTCCTGGTCTTCAAGAATGAAGCCATGGACCTTGCTGGTGAGTGTTACAGCTCTTAAAGATGGCAGGGACCCTGCAGTAGCAAGGTTTATTGTGAAAACAGAAAGAATAAAGCTTCCGCAAAGCTGACCGGGACCCAAGCAGTTGTCGCTGCCGGCTGCGGTGGTGGCCAGCTTTTATTCCCTTATTGGCCCCTCCCATGTTCCGTTTCTGTCCTATCAGAGTGCCCTTTTTTCAATCCTCCCCGCAATTGGCTACTTTTAGAATACCGCTGATTGGTGCATTTTACAGAGCACTGATTGGTGCGTTTTACAATTTTCTTGTAAGACAGAAAAGTTCCTGATTGGTGCATTTTACAATCCTCTTGTAAGAAAAGTTCCCCAAGTCCCCACTGCACTCAGGAAGTCCAGCTGGCTTCACTTGTCACTCCCGCCTTGGCCTCCCAGAATGCTGGGATTACAGGCATGAGCCACTGGCTTGGCCTAGCACCAAGTCTTGATGAACCACCCAGAGGGACATCACACCTCATGCCAGGTGACAGGGATTGTCACAGTCCCGCCAGGCTTCTCCCTCCTCTGGGAGGAGTCAGTGAAGTTGGTTGGTACAGGAGCCCAGGACCACCTGCTTTGCCCGCCAGGGCTTACCTGACAGTTGGCCGGCAAGTACTTACCATTATTATTGTTTTAACTTCATGATCAACGTTTTAAAAAATCAGGAGCGGTCTCATTAAAACTCAGATTTCCGCTTTCTCTTGAAAATTCAGCAGCTCTGGCAACCCTGAGTTCCAGGTCAGGCTGGAACTGGGGGCGCCCCATGGGAAGAGGGGAGGGCGCGCGCCCCCTCTCGGGAGGTATTTGCCTCGAGAGGCCCCACTAGGAGCCCACACTACGCTCTCCTGGGGGGTCCCCTAGGACGGGGAGGGAACTAATAATTACTGGGCCCTCCCCAGCGGCAGCCGTGGCTCCTACATTAGCTGGTTTAATTCTCCAAACAGGTCTTGGAGGAAGGCATCCTTCTATTCTACTGATCAGAAAGCTGGACAAAGTCCCACTGCCAGGCTACACAGTTGGTGCCATTTGCGGAGGTGACCTTTGACCTTTAACCCACGCGGCCACCCGCCCGAGCTCTTACCCCTGCTGCCCCTCGCGCGTCCCACTCCCCGTCCCTGCCGGATCCGCTTCCCTGCGCTGGGCCCAGCGCGCCGCCAGGGAAGGGGCCGGAGCCTGGGAGCCCGCCCCGCCGTCGCCCGTCCTCCGCCCGCAGGCCCACCCGCAGCGGTCACGTGAAGGACCGAGCGCCGCGCGCCCAGGCGGGGCCTCCGGCCTGCACGAGGAGGGCAGAGTCCGTTGCGGCTGCCGCCCCGACGCCCGCGCATCCCCGCTCGCCGCGCCCGCCGCCGCGATGTCCGGGGCCGGCCTAGCCGCGGTGGTGAGCTGCCTGCGCCCGCAGCCCGGCGAGGAGCCGCAGACCCATGAGGTAAGGAGGACTTCCTGGCTGTGCTCGGAGGGCGCCCGGACGGCAGCGCCTCCTGCCCCTTCGTTGCCCTCCTGGTGCCGGGCGCCTCCGGGACTCCCAGGGAGAAAGCGAACCCGCTGGAAGCCACGGCCGGCTGCAGAGAATGAGGGCCCTTGGGGGTCAGCGGGACTAGGAACCCCTCTGCTTTCGGTCTTTCTCGGTTCCCTGCTCATTGGGCTGCTCAGCTGGGAGGCGCACCGCCAGCTAGAGCGCAGCCCGCACGTTGTAGTCAAGCGACCCGACAAGCCTCCCACTCTCCGGGGCTGAGCAGGGATCGGTGCTGGGGCTCCAGATTAGGGGCCATCCTCACTCAGTGAGGCGCGCACCCTTGTTTGGTGACCAATGCGCGTCCCCACAGAACTCCAAGGCAGCAGGAAAACGCCCGGAAAGAAGGCTGCAGGATGTGGGCCCCGGGAGTGCTGATGCAGCCCCGGGTCTTCCGATGCCTGCGGGACACAGCAGAAGGGCTGCGCAGCCGCTCAGGGTCTGTTTCGCTGCGATAGCCTGAGCTTCTTCGAAAGAGTTTGAGCTTCCAAGCGACCCTTCTTGATCTATTTTCTTGCACTGGACAAGAACTAAGACAGTGGAGAGGGAGGCAGGACTTCAATGGCAGGAGCCCCTGCTCTGATTCAGGAAATCTGAGGCCTGAATTACAGTATGATGGGCCGTCAGAAGTCATGAAGATCATGGGTGACAACGTCGGTCAGGCCCTGGCACAGTGCCTGGCACAGTCATGACAGCCAATCTTTAGACCCCTCAGGGTCCATGCTGCATCTCCTTTGCGTTGTGCAAGTGTGTGGGAGGTGGAGAGCGTTTTTGTTCAGTCTCCCTCTTAGTCTTGAACTGGCCCCCTTCAGCTCTGGGCTGCTGCATTATCACCCCTGCCGCTTCCCACTGGGCTCTTGAAGCCTGCTGGAGAGGGTCCACAGGGCAGGCTTGTGTGTGGAGTTGAAAAGCTCTGCCAGTCAGGGTGAGGTGGCTCAAGGCTGTAATCCTAGCTGCTCCACAGACTGAGATGGGAAGATTGCTTGAGGCCAGGAGGTTGAGGTTGCAGTGAGCTATCACTGTGCCACTGCACTCCAGCCTGGGCAAAAGAGCAAGACCCCATCTAAAAAAAAAAAAAAAAAAAAAAAGCTCTGGTGCATACGTCTCCCTCTCTGGCCTGCAGGTCAGAGAGGTTTTGATGGAAAAACCTCCACACCAAAGGGGCTTGACCACATCCAACAGATGCATTCTACCATATGTCCTATCCCTCGAGAGAGCAGGTAAAGGAAAGGAGGGGGAAGTTCCTTTGTCCCCAGCTTTGGCCTTGCTTCTGCCATCTGAGATAACATCATTGATTGAGTCATTAAATCAGAGAAGGCATCTAGATCTTCTTCCCTCCCCAGGTTCTGACCTCGGGCACTCAATGGCCAATATAACTGGGTTAACCTTATTTAAGAATTAGTTTGGATTCATGTAACTAGAACCTGCCTAGTCACCTGAAATGCATTAACCCCCTCTCCTTTCAAATACTTATTTTTAAGACTCTTTTGTGATTGGAGTTTCTTTTTTTTTTGGCTACTAAGATGGCAATCTACTTCTTTGGGGGAATTTACCAACACTTTGAACTTTGAAATAGAAAGAACCCAATGCTAGTGATTCTCAATTTTGCCATTGGTTAGCATTAGCTAAGGAGCTTTTAGGACTGTATCCAGTTCAGCCTCTACCCCTGAGATTCTGATGTAATTGATATGGATGCGTCCTGGGCAGTAGTAAGTTTCAGGCTACTGAGTGATTCAAAAGTGCCACCAGGGTTGAGAGCCTGTGTCTTATGCCATTCCTTTGTGACAGTTCTATGTTAACCTCTTGATACTTTTATGTGCTTCTTTTTGAATGTTCTTGTTCTTAAACCTGTTCGTGCAGATCCTGCATTACCCTGCTTTGCGGTCTTAATCCACTGGTGCTCCCTTTTAGCAATTTGCAGAGCTGTTGTTTGCAGTAACCAGGAGGGCTTGAGAAAGTGTTCCACTCAGGTGGTCCAAGGAGCAACATAAAGCCAGTGGGCTAGGTAGCAATGATTCAGTGAGGGAGAGGAGTGGGGTTTGTGATGACCTGATGGCATGTCCCCTGCCCAAAGAAGACCACAGCTACCCACCTCCAGTTGACCACGGCTATCATAGATTGCAAAAATGGCCAGAAAGTCTTCCCATCCCTGAATACATACCCTTTTTGCAATGTGCCTTTGCAACTCCTTATATCAAGAGGTGGGATCTGTTTCTCCAGCGCTTGAATCTGGGTTTGGCCATGAGACTTGCTTTGGCTGATGGGACATTAGTAGATGGGATACAGGCAGAGGTGTGAAAGGCACTCAGACATTGGTGCTTGCTCTCCTGATGCGCTTGGGAAACTTTGACCACGACCCGTGGAAGAGCCCTGGCTAGCCTGCTGCAGGACGCACATGGCCAAGATATGTGAGCAAGGCTGTTCTAGACCATCCAGTCCCAGATGACCACAGAGATCAGCTAAGTTGGCCCAGACCAGGACTGCCCAGCTGACCCACAGAATTGGGGAAAATAATAAGTGTTTATTTAGGTGACCAAGAATCAGGGTGGGTAGCAAAAACTTATTGAAATACAGCGCAGCATGGCTGAATGTTATAATCTTTTAAAGCGAAGCCAGAAGTTCAAATTTTTGTGTAAGCTCCAGCTTTTAAAAAATTGGAATGAGTAACCAGCATCTAAAAACACTCTCTGGGCCAAACAAAACACAACTTTAGGCTGCACTTGGCCTGTCAGTTGTTGGTTTGCTACTTTCTTTATAGAGGAACATAAGGTCTTTACCCTAATACCTCATTGCCACCTACTCAGTCACCCTTCTCCCACAACTGCTGTGCCCTGTCCTATCCCCCGCAGCTGTTTCTTCGTATAAAATGTCCACAATGTGTGTCAAGACCCCAGCTTTTCCAGGCAGTCTTTTTGTGTGGAAATAGAAGCTGCTGGGATTGCCAATCTTCATGGAGAAAGTGAAATTTGAGACAGGTGTCCAGTGAAGGAAAGTGGAAAAAAATACTCCTGGTTTTAAGTGAGCGTGAGATCAGGCACGGAGGTGGGTTCATAGAGGGACAGTGGACAAGTCCACCAATTTTGGCCAGAGAAAAGTGTTCCTATAGGGGAAGTGAGGGAGATTAAATTGGAGACAGGAGTAGAGGAGAGATTGTGGAGCCCCCAAATGCTAAGCCAAGGGTTTTGCACTCGATTGGACAAAGAGAAATCGCTTTAGGCAGAGAGAAATCACCTGATGCTTTTGAATGGGGGGGTCTCATGAGGAAAGCAGTAATCTATTCTATCAGTATGCAGGAAGAGCTTGTGGGAGGACACGGTGTACTGAGGGAGACAGAAGGTACAGTAGCCTCTCTTATCCATGGTTTTTTTGGTTTTGTTTTCTGCGGTTCCAGTTACTCTAGGTCAACTGCAGTCCAAAAATATCCAATAAAAATTTACAGAAATAAACAATTCATAAGTTTTCAATTGTGCACTGTTCTGAGTAGCATGGTGAAATCTCCGGATGTCCTGCTCTGTCCACCTGGGACGTGAATCATCTCTTTGTCCCACGTATCTATGCAGTAGACACTACCTGCCCACTAGTCACTTAGTAGCTGTTGGGTTATCAGATTGAAAAGACATAGTATATACAGGGTTTGGTACTATGCTCAGTTTCAGGAACTAACTGGGGGTCTTGGAACCTATTCTTCTCAATTAAGGGGGGACTACTGTGTAGTGTTTTTAGTAAGGAAAGGAGCATTGGAATTGGAAAGAAAAATGGAGAAGTGGAAGAATTTAACTTAAAATTTATGGGAACTTCTCTTTACCTTAAGTTATAGTTAATTATGTTAATGTTCTTACCTGTATAACCAAGACATATTGGCTGTTTTCAAAACACTTCTTCTTTTTCTTTTTCTTTTTTTTTTTTTGTTGTTGTTGTTGTTTTGAGATGGAGTCTCGCTCTGTCGCCCAGGCTGGAGGGCAGTGGCGCGATCTCGGCTCACTGCAAGCTCCGCCTCCCGGGTTCACGCCATTCTCCTGCCTCAGCCTCCCGAGTAGCTGGGACTACAGGCGCCCGCCACCACGCCCGGCTAATTTTTTGTATTTTTAGTAGAGATGGGGTTTCACTGGGTTAGCCAGGATGGTCTCGATCTCCTGAGCTCGTGATCCGCCCACTTTGGCCTCCCAAAATGCTAGGATTATAGGCGTGAGCCACCACACCTGACCTCAAAACACTTCTATCAACAACTTTGCATTTTGCCTAGGTTATTTTTGACTGACTTAAAGGTATTTGGGGGCTTACAATGGTTTATTACTACCACAGTTAATACTGAAGGAGGCGTTTGCTGGGTTCATAGAGAAGGAACTTTCTTGCTCTCTCCACTGAGAGCCTCTGGAGTCTTATCTTTCCCTCCTTCCTGCATTCCTTTCACCCTCTAAGGGATTCCAAGGGATTCATCTTCCCCAGAATGAAGGCTTACTGAGTTGAGGGGTGGGGATGGAAGAGAAAACACAAAATCCTTAACAACATTTTTAAGTCTTGGGAGGAGGAAAATAAATATCACAGCTCTGAGAAGAAGAGAAAGAGAAAATCAAGAGAAGGCAATTATTGTCATGGTGCAATTAAAATAGAAAACAGGAGGGGTGCAGTGGTTGTTACCTGTGATCCCAGCACTTGGGGAGGCCAAGCTGGATGGATTGCTTGAGCCCAGGAGATTTTGAACAGCCAGGACAACATGGCAAAACCTGTCTCTACAACAAAAATTAGCTGGGCATGGTGGCGTGCACCTGTAGCTCCAGCTACTCAGGAGGCTGAGGCAGGAGAATCGCTTGAGCTTGGAGGTGGAGGCTGCAGTAAGCCATGATCATGCCACTGCACTCTAGCCTGGGCAACAGAGTAAGACCCTGCCTCAGAAAAAAAAAAAAAAAAAGAAAGGAAAGGAAAATAGAAGAAATACTAGGAAAATGGCTATATTTACATCAGTGGTTTTCAGTCTTGACTGCATGTTCAAATCATTTGTGAACTTTAAAAGATTAATCGTGGGAGGGTCCATTCCAAGATGGCCAAATAGGAACAGCTCCAGTCTGCAGCTCCCAGTGTGATCGATGCAGAAGACGGGTGATTTCTGCATTTCCAACTGAGGTACATGGTTCATCTCATTGGGACTGGTTGGACAGTGGGTGCAGCCCATGGAGGGTGAGCTGAAGCAGGGCAGGGCATCGCCTCACCTGGGAAGTGCAAGGGGTCAGGGGATTTCCCTTTCCTAGCTGAGGGAAGCTGTGAAAACTGTACCTGGAAAAACAGGACATGCCCACCCAAATACTGTGCTTTTCCAATGGTCTTAGCAAATGGCATACCAGGAGATTATATCCCGCCCCTGGCTCAGTGGGTCCCACACCCACGGAGCCTTGCTCACTGCTAGCGCAGCAGTCCAAGATCGAACTGTGAGGCTGCAGCCTGTCTGGGGGACGGGCATTCACCATTGCTGAAGCTTGAGTAGGTAAACAAAGCATCCAGGAAGCTTGAACTGGGTGGAGCCCACCACAGCTCAACAAGGCCTGCCTGCCTCTGTAGACTCCACCTCTGGGGGAAGGGCATAGCTGAACAAAAGGCAGCAGAAACTTCTGCAGATTTAAAACATCACTGTCTGAAGAGAGCAGTGGTTCTCCGAGCACAATGTTTGAGCTCTGAGAATGGACAGACTGCCTCCTCAAGTGGGTCCCTGACCCCCGTGTTGCCTAACTTGGAGACACCTCCCAGTAGGGGCCGACTGACACCTCATACAGCCAGGTGCCCCTCTGAGAGAAAGCTTCCAGAGGAAGGATCAGGCAGCAACATCTGCTGTTTTGCAATATTTGCTGTTCTGCAGCCTCCGCTGGTGATACCCAGGCAAACAGGGTCTGGAGTGGACCTCCAGCAAACTCCAACAGACCTGCAGCTGAGGGACCTGACTGTTAGAAGGAAAACTAACAAACAGAAAGAAATAGCATCAACATCAACAAAAAGGTCATCCACACCAAAAACCCATCTGTAGGTCACCATCATCAAAGACCAAGGGTAGATAAAACCACAAAGATGGGGAGAAACCAGAGCAGAAAATCTGAAAATTGTAAAATCCAGAGCACCTCTTCTCCTCCAAAGGATTGCAGCTCCTCACCAGCAACGGAACAAAGCTGGACAGAGAATGACTTTGACGAGTTGACAGAAATAGGCTTCAGAAGGTCGGTAATAACAAACTTCTCTGAGCTAAAGGAGGATGTTTGAACCCATCGCAAGGAAGCTAAAAACCTTGAAAAAAGATTAGACGAATGGCTAACTAGAATAAACGGCGTAGAGAAGACCTTAAATGACCTGATGGAGCTGAAAACCGTGGCACAATAACTATGTGACGCATGAAGAAGCTTCAGTAGCCAATTCGATCAAGTGGAAGAAAGGGTATCAGTGATTGAAAATCAAATTAATGAAATGAAGTGAGAAGAGAAGTTTAGAGAAACAAGAGTAAAAAGAAATGAACAAAGCCTCCAAGAAATATGGGACTATGTGAAAAGACCAAATCTATGTTTGATTGGTGTACCTCAAAGTTATGGGGAGAATGGAACCAAGCTGGAAAACACTTGTCAGGATGTTATCCAGAAGAACTTCCCCAACCTAGCAAGGCAGGCCAACATTCAAATTCAGGAAATACAGAGAACACCACAAAGATACTCCTCGAGAAGAGCAACCGCAAGATACATAATTGTCAGATTCACCAAAGTTGAAATGAAGGAAAAAATGTTAAGGGCAGCCAGAGAGAAAGGCCGGGTTACCCACAAAGGGAAGCCCATCAGACTAACAGCGGATCTCTCGGCAGAAACTACAAGCCAGAAGAGAGTGGGGGCCAATATTCAACATTCTTAAAGAAAAGAATTTTCAACCCAGAATTTCATATCCAGCCAAACTAAGCTTCATAAATGAAGGATAAATAAAATCCTTAACAGACAAACAAATGCTGAGAGATTTTGTCACCACCAGGCCTGCCTTACAAGAGCTCCTGAAGGAAGCACTAAACATGGAAAGGAACAACCGGTACCAGCCACTGCAAAAACATGCCAAATTGTAAAGACCGTCGATGCTAGGAAGAAACTGCATCAACTAACAGGCAAAATAACCAGCTAACATCATAATTACAGGATCAAATTCACACATAACAATATTAACCTTAAAGGTAAATGGGCTAAATGCCCCAATTAAAAGACACAGACTGGCAAATTGGATAAAGAATCAAGACCCATCAGTGTGCTGTATTCAGGATACCCATCTCACATGCAGAGACACACATAGGCTCAAAATAAAGGGATGGAGGAAGATCTGCCAAGCAAATGGAAAGCAAAAAAAAAGCAGGGGTTGCAATCCTAGTCTCTGATAAAACAGACTTTAAACCAACAAAGATCAAAAGAGAAAGAAGGCCATTACATAATGGTAAAGGGATCAATTCAACAAGAAGAGCTAACTATCCTAAATATATATGCACCCAATACAGGAGCATCCAGATTCATAAAGCAAGTCCTTAGAGACCTAGAAAGAGACTTAGACTCCCACACAATAATAATGGGAGACTTTAACAACCCCCTGTCAATTTTAGACAGATCAACGAGACAGAAGGTTAACAAGGATATCCAGGACTTGAACTCAGCTCTGCACCAAGCAGACCTAATAGACATCTACAGAACTCTCCACCCCAAATCAACAGAATCTACATTCTTCTCAGCACCACATCGCACTTACTCCAAAATTGACCACTTAGTTGGAAGTAAAGCACTCCTCAGCAAATGTAAAAGAACAGAAATTACAACAAACTGTCTCACAGACCACAGCGCAATCAAATTAGAACTCATGACTAAGAAACTCACTGAAAACCGCACAACTACATGGAAACCGAACAACCTGCTCCTGAATGACTACTGGGTAAATAACGAAATTAAGGCTGAAACAAAGATGTTCTTTGAAACCAACGAGAACAAAGACACAATGTACCAGAATCTCTGGGACACTTTTAAAGCAGCATGTGAGGGAAATTTATAGCACTAAATGCCCGCAAGAGAAAGCAGGGAAGTTCTAAAATCGACACCCTAACATCACAATTAAAAGAACTAGAGAAGCAAGAACAAACACATTCAAAAGCTAGCAGAAGACAAGAAATAACTAAGATCAGAGCCGAACTGAAGAAGATAGAGACAGAAAAAAAACCTTGAAAAAATCATTGAATCCAGGAGCTGGTTTTTTGAAAAGATTAACAAAATTGATAGACCGCTAGCAAGACTAATAAAGAAGAAAGGAGAGAAGAATCAAATAGATGCAATAAAAAATGATAAAGAGGATATCACCACCGATCCCACAGAAATACAAACTGCCATCAGAGAATACTATCAATACTTCTACACAAGTAAACTAGAAAATCTAGAAGAAATGGATAAATTCCTGGATGCATACACCCTCCTAAGACTAAACCAGGAAGAAGTCGAATCCCTGAATAGACCAATAACAGGCTCAGAAATTGAGGCAGTAATTAATAGCCTACCAACCGAAAAAAGTCCAGGACCAGACCGATTCACAGCTGAATTCCACCAGAGGTACAAAGAGGAGCTGGTACCATTCCTTCTGAAACTATTCCAATCAATAGAAAAAGAGGCAATCCTCCATAACTCATTTTATGAGGCCAGCATCATCCTGATACCAAAGCCTGGCAGAGACACAACAAAAAAAGAGAATTTTAGACCAATATCCCTGATGAACATCGGTGCGAAAATCCTCAATAAAATACTGGCAAACTGAATCCAGCAGCACATCAAAAAGCTTATCCACCAAGATCAAGTTGGCTTCACCCCTGGGATGCAAGGCTGGTTCAACATACACAAATTAATAAATGTAATCTATCACATAAACAGAACCAAAGACAAAAAACACACAATTATCTCAATAGATGCAGAAAAGGCCTTTGACAAAATTCAACATCCCTTCATGCTAAAATCTCTCAATAAACTAGGTATTGATGAAATGTATCTCAAAATACTAAGAGCTATTTATGACAAACCCACAGCCAATATCATACTGAATGGGCAAAAACTGGAAGCATTCCCTTTGAAAACTGGCACAAGACAGGGATGTCCTCTCTCGCCACTCCTATTCAACATAGTGTTGGAAGTTCTGACCAGGGCAATCAGGCAAGAGAAAGAAATAAGGGGTATTCAATTAGGAAAAGAGGAAGTCAAATTGTCCCTGTTTGCAGATGACATGATTGTATATTTAGAAAACCCCATCATCTCAGCCCAAAATCTCTTTAAGCTGATAAGCAACTTCAGCAAAGTCTCAGGAGACAAAATCAATGTGCAAAAATCACAAGCATTTCTATACACCAATAACAGACAGAGAGCCAAATCATGAGTGAACTCCCATTCACAATTGCTACAAAGAGAAAAAAATACCTAGGAATCCAACTTACAAGGGACGTGAAGGACCTCTTCAAGGAGAACAACAAACCACTGCTCAATGAAATAAAAGAGGACACAAACAAATGGAAGAACATTCCATGCTCATGGACAGGAAGAATCAATATTGTGAAAATGGCCATACTGCCCAAGGTAATTTATAGATTCAATGCCATCCCCATCAAGCTACCAATGACTTTCTTCACAGAATTAGAAAAAACTACTTTAAAGTTCATATGGAACCAAAAAAGAGCCCTCATTGCCAAGACAATCCCAAGCAAAAAGAACAAAGCTGGAGGCATCACGCTACCTGACTTCAAACTATACTACAAGGCTACAGTAACCAAAACAGCATGGTACTGGTACCAAAACAGAGATATAGACCAATGGAACAGAACAGAGGCCTCAGAAATAACACCACACATCTACAACCATCTGATCTTTGACAAACCTGAGAAAAACAAGCAATGGGGAAAGGATTCCCTATTTAATAAATGGTGCTGGGAAAACTGGCTAGCCGTATGTAGAAAGCTGAAACTGGATCCCTTCCTTATGCCTTATACAAAAATTAATTCAAGGTGGATTAAAGGCTTAAATGTTAGACCTAAAACCATAAAAACCCTAGAAGAAAACCTAGGCAATACCATTCAGGACATAGACATGGGCAAGGACTTCATGACTAAAACACCAAAAGCAATGGCAACAAAAGCCGAAAGAGACAAATGGGATCTAATTAAACTAAAGAGTTTCTGCACAACAAAAGAAAATGCCATCAGAGTGAAAAGGCAACCTACAGAATGGGAGAAAATTTTTGCAATCTAGCCATCTGACAAAGAGCTAATGTCCAGAATCTACAAATAACTTAAACAAATTTACAAGAAAAAATCAAACAACCCCATCAAAAAGTGGGCAAAGGATATGAACAGACACTTCTCAAAAGAAGACATTTATGCAACCAACAGACACATGAAAAAATGCTCATCATCACTGGTCGTCAGAAAAATGCAAATCCAAACCACAGTGAGATTCCATCTCACACCAGTTAGAATGGCAATCATTAAAAAGTCAGGAAACAACAGGTGCTGGAGAGGATGGGGAGAATAGGAATGCTTTTACACTGTTGGTGGGAGTGTAAATTAGTTCTACCATTGTGGAAGACAGTGTGGCGATTCCTCAAGGATCTAGAACTAGAAATACCATTTGACCCAGCAATCCCATTACTGGGTATATACCCAAAGGATTATAAATCATGCTACTATAAGGACACATGCACACATATGTTTATTGTGGCACTATTCACAATAGCAAAGACTTGGAACCAACCCAAATGTCCATCAGTGATAGACTGGATTAAGAAAATGTGGCACAAATGCACAATGGAATACTATGCAGCCATAAAAAAGGATGAGTTCATGTCCTTTGTAGGGACATGGATGAAGCTGGAAACCATCATTCTGAGCAAACTATCGCAAGGACAGAGCACCAAACACCATATGTTCTCACTCATAGGTGGGAGTTGAACAATGAGAACACTTGGACACAAGACGGAGAACGTCACACACTGGGGCCTGTCATGGGTTGGGGGGATGGGGGAGGGATAGCATTAGGAGAAATACCTAATGTAAATGACGAGTTAATGAGTGCAGCAAAACAACATGGCACATGTATACATGTGTAACCTGCACGTTGTGCACATGTACCCTAGAACTTAATAATAATAATTAAAGATTAATCCTGGGTTCTACCTCCCAGAGGTTCTGATGCAGTTGGGGTCTGCATGTGACCTGGACTTCAGTAGGATCTTTAAAAGTTGTTAAGATGATTGTCATATGCTGTGGGGATTGAGAATCACCACTCCCACAGTTGCCAATGCCTCCCATAGTTGGGATGCTGTTTTGAGGTTTGCAGCCACATTTAAGCTGCATCTGGGGAAACATCTGCTATTTGGTCTTTGCTATTTTCATGGTAGATATGGACAGTGGTTCGCATGTAAACTTGAAAAGTATGTGAAGTTGTGGAATGGGGTGTCTAACATAATCCACATTCTTGGGTTGGGTAAAAACAGTTTGTTTTATGGGAAAATACAAATGGCCTTAGTTCAAATAAACATGCTTATTACAGTAAAGTCTGTCTTCTAAGAGTACCGCTTCCCACACGGAACGCAGGACACTTAGAAGTTGCGCACAAATGGGAGGGAGGAGGAGAAGGAAGGCAATTAGAACCAAAGCATAAAGGAGATGCGATTTTAAAAGGAGATAGATGTCAGAAATGTAATACCAGTTAAGAATGGGAAAGCTTTGAAACGTTAGTGTAAGGGTGAAATGGCTATTATGATAGAATCAGCAGATTTTAAAACAGCAAGGATGAGTTCAGATGGCAGTTGGTGGGGGTGATGAGGTGCTGGTCATTCAATGTCTGGGGTCTGGGATCTGTCTCATGGAGATGACCCCGAGGGCCTGACTGGCTGAGGCATTGCTGGTGAGTGTTTTTTTCCTTTCTCTACCTGGAGGGCATATGAAGGATGCATCTCAAATCCGTGAGTGTTGAACTGCTTATGTTTGTGGACAAATGGCCTCACTGGGACTGTAAGGATGTTTGTAGCATCACTGGGGACAACAGTGGCCTTAAAAGATCTTTGCCAGCAATTTTTTTAAAAAGCCTCAATGTCAGAACTCTTCAAGTATGATCTTTTTGAGGCTTAATGGAATTTTCTTAAAGTTGGTGTGTGTTCATTAAAAAAAAAAAATCAACTCTTGCTGATGCGAGGCATTTTCTACCTAAAATATATTTCTAAGCATGTCCTGGGAACTGTATTCTTCCTCAGTGTTAAAGATTTTCAATGAAAAAAATAATTGATATTAATGGTTTTCCTACTAGAATGTTTTTTAAATATGTAAAAGAAAAATGTTTGGCTGGGCATTGTGGGTCACGCCTGTAATCTCAGCACTTTGGGAGGCCGAGGTAGGCGGATCACTTGAGGTTAGGAGTTTGAGACCAGCCTGGCCAACATGGTGAAACACTGTCTCTACTAAAATTAGAGAAACTAGACTGGCATGGTGGTGCGTGCCTGTAATCCCAGCTACTCAGGAGGCTGAGGCAGGAGAATCGCTTGAAACCGGGAGGCAGAGTTTGCAGTGAGCCGAGATTGTGCCACTGCACTCCAGCCTGTGTGACAAAGTGAAACTCTATCTCGAAAAGGAAAAAAAAAAGAAAAATGTGTGATAAGTGTTAAACACATTTACATGGTGCTTCTTAGATTTTAATAAACTGCCTGTAAGAATTGCCATACCAACCCTGAGCATACCTGTTACTCAAAAAGCGATCGGCTCTTACGGCAGTTAATTCATCTATGAGATTATTGTTCTACATCAACTTTTTTAATCCAAGTATTTGTCTTTCATTTTGGGCATTTTAACAGCTTTTTTAGATTATAATAGACATACACTAAACTACATTTATTTGAAGTATGCAGCTTGATGAGTTTTGGTGTATGAATGCCCTTGGGATAGTAATGCCATGATAAGAATAATGAACATATCAGTCACCCCTATATGTTTTCTTATGCCTGTTTGTAATCTCTCTCTCTCTCAGTTCTCTTCGTTCCACTCTTTTTTTTTTTTTTTTTTTTTTTTGAGACGGAATCTCTCTCTGTCGCCCAGGCTAGAGTGCAATGGCACAATCTCGGCTCGCTGCAACCTCCGCCTCCCGAGTTCAAGCTATTCTCCTGCCTCAGCCTCTCAAGTAGCTGGGATTACAGGTGCATGGCACCATGCCCGGCTAGTTTTTGTATTTTTAATAGAGACGGGGTTTCGTCTTGTTGGCCAGGCTAGTTTCAAACTCCCGACCTCAAGTGATCTGCCCACCTCAGCCTCCCAAAGTGCTGGGATTATAGGCATGAGCCACCATGCCCAGCCTGTTCCCATCTTCCTCCCCCTGCCAACACACGACCACTGATGTGGGTTCTGTCACTGTAGGTTAGTTTTCATTTTCCAGAATTTTATGCAGATGGAATCATACAGTGAGTACTCTTTTCGGGGGGTGGTTGGCTTCTTTCACTCGGCACAGTTATTTTGAGATTCATCCATTTTGTTACATCTATTAGTTACTCATTCCTTTTTATTGCTGAGTAGTATTCCATTGTAGAGATACAGTACACTTTGTTTATCCACTCACCTGTCTGTGGACATTTTGGTTTCTAGTTTTGGGCTGTTAAGCTGGGATGAACGTATGTGTATGTGTGCAGCTTTGGGATGAGGTGTCTCACATGAGCCACATACTTGGGGTGGATGTACTAGTCTTTGTGTGGACATATGCTGTCTTTCCTTTTGGAAAACACTTCAAAGTAGCATGGCTGGGTCATACTTTTTAACGTTTTAAGAAACTACCAAACTGTCTTCCAAAGTAAATGTGCCATTTTCTATTCCAACCAGCAACGTATGAGAGTTCCAGTTGCTCCACATCTTTGGCAAAACTTGCAAATATAAAAGGAATTTTGTGTTTTGTGTTTATATGTATATAAATATATTAGGTAGTGTAAATACACATAGTATATAATTTTGTGTTACAGATTTGTTTGTATGTATATGTATATATACAGTAATGCGTCACTTAACAACAGGGATATATTCTGAGAAATGGATCACTAGGGGATTTCATCATTGTGCAAATATCATACAATGTACTTACACAAACTTAAATGGCATAACTTACTAGACACCTAGGCTGTAGACTATTTTTCTAGGCTACAAACCTGTAGAGCATATTACTGTACTGAATATGGCAGGTAACTGTAACACAATGGTGTATTCGTGTATCTCAACATAGAAAAGGTACAGTAAAAATATGGTATAAAAGGTAAAAGATGAATAGGGCACTTCCCATGAATGGAGCCTGCGGGACTGGCAGTTGTCCTGGGTAAGTCAGTGAATGAGTGGTGAGTAAATGTGAAGGTCTAGGAATCACTGCACACTACTGTAGACTTTAGAAACACTGTACAGTTGACTACATTTATAAAAAATATTTTTCTTTCTTCAATAACAAATTAACCTTAGCTTACTATAAATTTTCTACTCTATAAACGTTTTGATTCTTTTGCAATAGCAGCTTAAAACACATTGCATAGCTATACTAAATATTTTCTTTCTTTATATCCTTATCCTATAAGCTTTTTTCTATTTTTAAACTTAAAAAATGTTAACTTCATAAACTCTTTATTAAAAACTAAGACACAAACGTATGCATTGGCCTAGGCCTACACAGGGTCAGGACCCTCAATATCACTGTCTTCCACTTCTGCATCTCATCCCACTGGAAGGTCTTCAGGGGCCATAACACTTATGGAGCTGTCACCTCCTGGAATAACAATGCCTTCTTCTGGAATCCTCCTGAAGGACTTGCCTGAGGCTGTTTTACAGTTAACTTTTTTTTTTAATAAGTAGGAGTGCAATCTAAAATAACCATAAAAAGTATAGTGTAGTAAATACATAAACCAGTAACATAATCATTTATTATCATTATCAAATATTATGTACCATACATAATTGTATGTGCTAGAATTTTATACGACTGGCCGTGGAGGTTTGTTGACACCAGCATCACCACAATTTTGTATTTTGTTGTGCTATGACCTCACTAGGTGGTAGGAATTTTTCAGCTCATTATAATCTTATGGGAACCCTGTTATATATGTGGTTCATTGTTGACCAGAATGTTATGGGGCACATGACCGTATATATATTTGTATATACATGTGTACCTAACCATATATTAATATATGTATGTATGAATATACCATTTAGGTACAAATACATGCTCTAGTCAATGCTTATTTACATTTCCTCTGAGAGCCTATATTTGAATTCAAGAAAGTGGAGTGTGTCTGGACCTGGTCCCACTGCAGGATTCTCGGTGCTCAAAGAGACATTGGAGGTGTGGAGACAACACTGTTTAGATGTTGGCTACCTCTGGGAGAGTGGGTCTGTGGAGAGGCGAAGGGGAGCTTCCTTTTATACTCAGTGCATACTTAACAAAGGAAAAAGAAAAGTATCCTCTCCTCCTCTGACTTGGTCTCCCTTACTCTGTCTCAATGGGGAACAGGACCTTCTCCTGGCAGCTGCCTATGTTTTGGATGCCCAGTACAACAGAAATGTTCCATTTGAAACTCACCTCAGGCCATCAGGTAACTAACATGTTAAACCATCATGTAGAACCACCTGTCCTTCAGCACTTGATACTCTTGAACTTGAACCCAAACTGAAGGCATTGTTTACACAGATATTTTGAGAAGTATATAGGGTACAGCACATAGATTTGGACGTAATCCAATACTTTTTTTTTTTTTTTTGAGACAGGGTCTTGCTTTGTTGCCTGGGCTGGAGTTCAGTGGTGTGATCATGGCTCACTGCAGCCTTGAACTCCTGGGCTCAAGTGATCCTCCCACCAAGGCCTGGGATTAGATATGTGAGCCACCATGCCTGGCTGAATTTTTTTTTTTTTTTTGAGTTATAAGAGCATGGGCCTCACACGCAGGGAAGCATTCAATAAATAGATTAAGATCAGACAAATGAGTAAAATGAGCAATACCCAGCATAGAAGCTAGGGCATTCAAGGGAAGAACTTGCCATTGTCTTTTCCTTTTATGTCATCCTCTTAGAGTTACCTCAAGTGAAAAGGCTTTTTTGTCCTGTCCATTGTTTTGTGATGCAATCCATATGTTTGCTCTTCTCATGGGAATTCAGCTTTTTCTCTGTCACCCCCTACAGGTGCTCAGCCTGTTTATCACTAGGGCTCAGCCTCAGGGCCTCCCAAGGCAGCCAATACCTCATCCCTGGATGTTGCCGAGCATGTTTGGGGTACTGTCCCCACCTGGGGAGAGACTGGCATGACCTTTTGCCAGATCTCTTCTGAGTCTATCATGTTAAGATGGGATGATGTACATTTTAAAATTGGGTTAGGCCACCATGCCACATCATAATGGGCCACTTTAACTGAGGGTTTAATCTGTGTCCGTCACTGTTCAAGTCCTCTGCAAGTATTCTCTTATTACTATCACAACAACCCCATGGGAAGGTATAATCTTAGCTTGAGACTGTTAAGAAAATGTGCTTTGAGTTATGATCATATGCTTGATTTTTTTGTGTTAGTGTTTATAGTATATGATCATTAAATACTGCCTCCTGCTCCCTAGAATTTAAAGGAAACATGACTAAGCCTTAACTTTCTTATTTTACCCAGCATTAGTTCTTTAAAGAGATGTTTGGGTGCTGTGTAGCTCCTGTTCGTTGTTTATAATCACTTTTGTCTTTTTCTCCTCCAGACGTTACTATTTTTATAACCACTAGACAACGCAGGTTGCCGCATACTTCTTTATTTGTGTAGACCTCGCTCTTGCCCTGTTTGAAGAGCCTGAGTTGCTTCCCCTGCCTTTCTTGGTAAGCAAGCCATAGCAGATGGCTAGCCAGATTTGGTCATAGATGATTGGGCCTTGTGCCTCTTCTTTTTTTCCCCTCAAATTTCAACAAATATGAATTAGATGTTATTTATTTTTTTTGCTGGGGGATTAGAGAAGTTCTGTCTACTCACCAAACACATGCTTCCTTCATAACGCATTTTAAGTGCAGTGGGAGATTTTGGTCTTCTGTGCACACACACACAAAATCAGAGATGGTTCAATGATGTTTTCAAAGCCAATTTACTTACTGCCAAGTAGATGATGTTCTCATATAGTGTAATATGCAACTTGTACATGCCACATTTTCAGCTTTTTTTCATAGTCATAAATTATTAGAGTATTTATTGGTGCTTAGGGGCTGATCACATTTGATTTTGAGTAATGTATCAAATTCACCAGCCAATCCAGAGAGGTCTAAATAGTAGACCAGTGCCCTGCCCATGTTGATTTCTGATTCGTCATTACTCTTACCTCTGTCTTAATAGCTGTCATTTGCTCCCTGCTTGCTATCTGCTGGGTGATCTCAATGCTTTCTCTGTATTCTCCTTAAGCCTTACAGGGACTCAATGGGATGTGCCTGCTGTTATTATACCCATTTTAACAGATAAGGAAGCTGAGCCTAGAAAGATTGTATAACTTGTCCAAGGTTACTAGGCAACAAAGGCAGAACTAGGCTTCAAGCCTAAGCCTGATTTCAAAGCTTTTGCTTTTTAACAACCACACAGACCCTTTTTTATTCTTCCTTATTTCAGTTATCAATTGCACAAACATATTTACAAACCATCCTAAAACTCAAACACTTAAAACAAGGGTTGGGAAACCATGGCCTGTGGGACAAATTCAGCTGCTGCTTATTTTTGTACAGCCTATGAGCTAAGAATGGTGCTACAAATGGAATGTTTGTGTGTTCCCAAAATTCGTATTTCAAAACCTAGTCCCAGTGTGGAGGTATTTGGAGGTGATCAGATCATGAGGGCAGAGCCCATCTCATGAATGGGATTAGTCCCCTCATAAAAGATGCTTCAAGGAGCTCCCTTGCCCCTTCTGTCAAGTGAGAACGCCACAAAAAAAATGGCTGTCTGTGAACCAGAAAGTGGGCCCTCATCAGACACCAAATTTGACAGTGCTTTGATCTTGGACTTCCCAGCCTCCAGAGCTGTGAGAAATAAATTTCTGTTGTTTATGAGCCACCCAGTCTATGGTATTCTTTTATAGCAGCCTGATCAGACTAAGACAAATAGTTTTTACATTTTAAAATGACTAGGAAAAAGGACACTGAAGATTAATATTTTGTGACACATGGAAGTGATATGAAATACAAATTTTGCTGTCTGCAAATAATGTTTTATGGGAACATAGCCACACTTATTAATTTATGTGTTGTCTTTGGCTGCTTTGGAGCTACATCAACAGTTTAGTGGTTGTGACAGAGACTGTAAGACTTGCAAAGCTTCACATGTTTACTTTAACAGAAAGAGTTCACTAACCCCTAGCTTTAGAGAACAACAGCCTTTTATTATCTCCCATGACTCTGTGGGACATTGGCTCAGGTGGTGTGGCTGGGGTGGTAGATGTCTGGAAGCTCTTAGATCTCTGGAGGCTGGAACATCAAGGTAGCTCTCTCACGTGGCTGGCAGGAGCTGCTGGCTGTAGCTGTGGCCCCGGCCCTCTTCTATGTAGCTGCTCCACGTGGCTTAGGCTTTTCCCAGTGGGTGGCTGGGTCCAGGAAGGAGCATCCCAGTGTGCTGCACCATCAAACCTCTGCTTGCATCATACTTGCTGATGTCCTGTTGTCAATCACATGCCAAAACCTGAGTCAACTTGGGAGGCCACTGCAAAGGGGGTGAAAACTGTAAGTATGGCTCACTGGGGCTGCCCAAGTGACATCCACCAACTGTCTTACAATAAAGATCCGGCAATTAATGAATTCTCTGGATAGAAGACTTTTATCCCAATAACAGTCAACACAAACACAAAATCTGAAGAAACAGAGCTGTGCATTCACAAACCTGGACAGAGTGTTGTCTATCCCTCCTTAGCACTGGTCCACTCTGGCCAAGGTAGGAATCCCACAGAGTGGTCTTCTTAGCCATTTGCCTCTTTTCCTGAGTCCTCATCCCCTGTCTGTTATTGGTCATGTATAACTTTGGGTTGGCTGCCTGAGTTTCAGAGTGTTCCTTCAGCCAGCCCTTGTACTGTAAATCTCCAAAGTCCAGTGTGTTCTGAGGGCTTTGGCCCCCATCCAGCATTACCACGCAAGTCTTGTTTTAAGCAAGGATGTCCTGAAATTGCCTAAGGCCCTTTTGCAAAGCTGGACTTGACATTGGGTCTCTATAGCTCTTCAAGAGTCAACAGACTGAGAGCTAGAACATTTGCAAGGGGCTGCAGCCCAGTCTGTGCACAGACCCATGAGGGCTGGAACTAGGGGGCAATGATAGTGTCCCCTGCTGCTTTCAGGCCCACAGCCAGCCCCTTCCTCCTGTCTCTAGCTCTCACTCAAGACTTTTCCCTCTTTTTAGCCTAAGTCAAGTTGTCCCTTTCTCCATCTCTTCCTATCTTCCACCTGTCTCTCCCTATTGATGGAGGAACGTGCCCTTGTTAGGAAGTTGTTACTGCATCCCAACAGCCTCAGGCAAACCTTGGGCTGCAGTCATGGGCTTCAAGTCTAGCAGGTACAGGAGTCTGGAGTTGGCACCCGTAATCTACAGAGGGAGGCCCATCAGGACTTCGGTCTTGATCTCAGTGGGCTCCATCCTCGTCTCTAACCAGCCTCATATAGGCAGCAGGGCTGCAGTGGCAGTGATGTTTATGGAAGGACCCATTATTCCCAAACACATCTTTGGGGAATTACCTTACCGTTAGAGAAATGGGACTTCTAGGTGTCTGGAATTTGAACATGGGGAATTTGAGAGCATAGACGATCTCTGCCTCTGACCTCCCCCTTTTCTGGGGAAATGTGTTCTTGGTCCTCAGCCTGCTGGTGCAGCCCCTCCCAGGAATCCCTGCCAGTGTGGGTCATGGAGATTGTGACTCAGTGGCAGATTTCCCTTTCAGAGGAAGAAGCCATTCTAACCGGCAGAAAATGTTGCTGCAATTTTCAGTAAAATTAAGGGACATGGCAAATTCTCAGAGGGTGCCAGGCAGGAAAGGTAGGGTAGTGGCAGGGGACAGGGGGTGGTACTGGATAACTAAAGCTGAGCCTCCCCATGGCAAGCCCTCGTGCTCAGCCTCTGTTTTCTCCTTGCAGGCCACCTCAATAGCAGAAGTACTCTGCCTGACTGCATACTTTGGCAGACTGGTACATTTTGCAAAAGTCACTCCTCAAATGGTTTTCTGGAAGGATACAAAAGACATCTGCACCATGGTAACCACAGTGGCGAGTGTTCATTGTAGTACCTGTAAGAGTTTATGACCGAAGGCAGGAGCCATGAAGAAAAAAGACTCAATAGATTTGCTTTTGATGAAACAACAACACTTCCATACAGTGAACGCCATAAGCACAACTGCAAGCAAACCGCAAACTGAAGAACAAATAGGGCAAAATGTGGCAGTGCAGACATTTCAGCATATCAAGAGCACTTCCAAATTACAGGAAAAAAAAGATATCTCAATAGATAATTTTGCTGAAGATAAGTGAAGGCAACTCATAAGGAAAAAATATGTAAAATGGCCGATAGGAAAGATGTTTAACGTCACTAATTAAAAATTATAGAATAAAACGACAATAAAATACCATGTGTTTGCCTATAAAACAATCTTAGCAAGATTGAAAACAAACTTTTTGTAATTTCAATTTTTAGTTTAGATTCAGGTGGTACATGTGCAGGTTTGTTACATGGGTATATTTCGTGATGGTGAGGTTTGGGGTACAACTGATCCCATCACTCAGGTAGTGAGCCTAGAATCCAGCAGGTAGTTTTTCAACCCTTCCCCTCCTCTGTCCCTTCCCCTCAGGAATCCCCAGTGTCTACTGTTGCCATCTTTGTGTCCATGAGTACCCAGTGTTTAGCTCCTACTTATAAGTGACAACATGCAGTATTTGGTTTTCTGTTCTCTGTTAATTCACTTAGGATGATGGCCTCTGGCTGCATCCATACTACTGCAAAGGACATAATTTCATTCTTTTTAAATGACTGCATAGTATTCCATGGTGTATATGTACCACATTTTCTTTGCCTAACCCACCATTGATGAGCACCCAAGTTGCTTCCATGTCTTTGCCATAAAACAAATGTTCTTACACCCTACAGGAGAGAGGAATAAAACTGTCTTTCTGGAAGGCTCTTTGGCAGCTCCTTTCAAAAGCCTTGAAGGTGAATATATTTTAACCCTGGACTTCCATTCCTGGGAATTTATCTGTAGGAAAGAAGGATGCATTCAGAGATTTAGCCACAAAATTGGTGGTGGCTGACGGTTTATAATATTGAAAAATTGGAAACAACCTGATTTCCAGACAAAAATTATAAGACATATGTCTTAAGTAGAATGTGATATATTCATGCAGCCTCCTGTGCTGTCCTCTCACTCCTTTGCTCCATCTGTTATTTGAAAGGCCCTGGGAATGAGACCTGCCTTTTTAGCCTGGCCTGCAAAGCCACCTTCCATAGGTCCTTATCACTTTCTGCTGCTTCCCTTTGCCGCCACTCCCAGGACCCTCTGCTTCCCAACATGCCAGCCCAGTACTTCCTCAAGAGTCCTTTTATTCTATCTTCTTGTCTAGCTCTTGACCTTCCTGAGTTTTTATTAAAGCTCTGCTGTGCTGTAGGTTACATCAAAGAGTGCCTCCTCCATGAAGCCCGTCAAATATCTTAACCCTTGGTGATCCACCTGTCCTCGCTCCCCTGGGACAGCCACACTGGTTTCCTCCAGTGCGGCAGTTGTGAACCAGCCTCATTTCTTAGCTGTTTCCCCCGCCTGTGGGCGGCAAGCCACTCAGGTGCCAAGGCAAGAGACTGAAGGCAAAAACTGTTCCAGTATAATAAAGAAAATATACAGAATAAGAATAGTTATACTAGAAATAGATTATAGATATGATTATATATGAATATCATTAATCATTAGTTTGTTAACATTACTCTTTATTCCAATATTATAATAATCTTTGTTCTACAATTATAACTTAGGAAAAGCCAGGCCATACAGAGATAGGAGCTGAAGGGACACGGTGAGAAGTGACTGGAAGACAAGAGCGTGAGCCCTCTGTTACGCCTGGAAAAGGCCACTAGAGGGCTCCCTAGTCTAGCGGTAACGCCAGCACCTGGGAAGACGCCCCTTACGTAGCGGACCTCGGTCTAGCGGTAGCGTCAGTGCCAATGGAAGGCACTATGGAGTCTCCCTTTCCTTGGGGGAGTTAGAGAAGACTGCTGTACCACCTCTTGTGGAAGGCCTGACACCAGTCAGCCCCGCCCACAGCCATCTGGAGCCCGGAACGTCTCCCTGTGATGCTGTGCTTCAGCGGTCACGCTCCTGGTCCACTTTCATGTTCCACCCTGTACACCTGGCTCTGCTTTCTAGATAGCAGTAGCAGAATTAGTGAAAGTACTAAAAGTCTTTGAAATGCATAGAAGAAATAATGGCATAAGCTGTCCTCTCTCTCTGCCTTACTGCCAAACAGGGAGGGCCCCCTGTCCGGTGGACACGTGACTCATGTGACCTTATCAATCATTGGAGATCACTCACACTCCTTACCCTGCCCCTTTTGCCTTGTGTCCAGTAAATACCAACACAGCCAGGTATTTGGGGCCACTATAGGTCTCCGCGTCTAGGTGGTAGTGGTCTCCCGGGCCCAGCTGTCTTTTCTTCTCTTTGTCTTGTGTCTTTATTTCTACGATCTCTCATCTCTGCACACGAGGAGAAAAATCCACAGACCGTGTAGGGCTGGACCCTACACCCGTCCCGTGCGGCGTGCCCTTTGAGGGGAAGGAGCTCACTAGATCCTCTGTGCCTTACCACCAAAGGGGCTAAATTCAAGTTTTTTTGATGATGGTACATTGTTCTTTTCTACTTATATTTTTCTAAAATACACTAGGTTCTTCTTTTGGCCATCTTCACCTTAATCTCTTGCCCATAAACCTGACATTAATAAAGATTAATAGGGGTTGTCTGTATTCTAGATATTCTCATCTCTGTTACTAGGCTACACCTCCTTTCTTTTACATGTCAAATTGAAGAGGTCAATAGGGTGTAGTGTGGAAGGATGTCCCAGTGTGATTAATAGCAAGGGCTGAGCCCTCAGACTGTCTGGGTTCCAGTCCCAGCTCTGCCCTGGATAGCTGTGTGATCAGGGGCTACATGCTTACCCTCTCTGTGCCTCAAGCTCCTCCTCCAGGAATAGTGCCCACCTAATTGGTGTGGTGAGTCTAAAATCATCTACAAGAGGTGCTTGTTATAGTACATGGAACACAGTAAAACGTCAAACATTAGTTATTATTAATGTCGTATTACAAAAGTGGTACTATGCTGTCTATGAAACGTGCTTTTTCACATAACATTGTACCTCTCCTGGGTTGGTGAACACCCATCCACTGTCCTTGGACAGTGTAATACTGACATCTCTGGCCTGTGTCTCTCACAGCTGACCTTGATCGATCTGATTATCTGTGGGTCCCTGGAAGCTATTAACATCCACAGCATCAGATGGTCAAGGGCCTTAAGGCCGGTCTTCCTAATTAACTTCCCTGAAAGTCGTCAGGTAAGCATATGATTTAGGATACGTGATGGTTTGTTTTTGCCGAAAGTTAGCTGGTTTCTTGTAAGTAAAGTAACATTTTGTCTCCATAGATCTGAAGGGCTTTCCAAAGCCTCCAGAACACCCTGCCCAATATCCTCTATGTCTTCTATTGTTCATGTTCAGTGTGCTGATGTTCTGCCTGATGGCCTTGAAGCTTTTTGGGAATCGATGAGCACACTTCTCTGGAAGTTTCTGCCTGGGAATTCTCCCATATTTAGGTTGAGCCTGTTGGCGGCACAATCTGTCACCAAACACAATCTTCCATGTTCAAACACTGCAGGAGTGCTCTTGAAAGGGAAAAAGTGTATCAGTGTATTAATTTACGTGTGTGGTTTTCACTTTATGTTTTTGGTTCCTCTTTAGTGGTCTGAAAACAGCAGAGGGATCGCCTTAGTTTGAAAACATTCTGGAGATAGCATTTGAGCTCTACGTGCTGGTCACTACAGCGAACAGCCCTGACATCATGTCCGCGCATCCTTGATCCGTGTTCATGAACATCTTTTACCATAACAGAATTCACACTATTCAAAGCGGCTGTCTCCTGACTCTAGTAGGGCTGTGAGAGGACAAAGAGTGATTTTCTGTTTAGTCCTATTCACTGTAAAAGTTTTGAAGAATATAAAATTTTACAGCACTAGTAGCCTATCCTCTCTACTTAACACTAAATTTAAATGAATTCTTTCAAAATGGAAAGGAACAGGAGACATCTCTTGAGATACAATTCTTAATATTTGAGCCCACTTTCTATTCTGGAATCTTCTTTGAGTCTTGAATTTAAAGACATAAGCCATCTTTGTAAAGGAATCATGTCTGGTTCTCCTAAGCATTGATGCAGTTTTTTGGCTACATCAAACAGGAAATAAATGTAAACATCACTAATTGTTGGGGTGATCAGACCCAACACCAGGTTGTGGGGGTGACAAAGTCCGGCGGAGTCAAAGGATTGAGAAAAGACAGTTTGAGAGACAGAAGTGGGACCAAGGGGCCATCGCAATCATGGAGGCTGCAAAGGCCCCAAGCTCTGGGAGCCCAGTGCTATTTATTGGTAATCCAGCAAAGAAACAGGTGGTGAGAATGTGGAGGTTGAAAGGGCGCATTGCATTAAGCACATGATTTACACCTGTGATGGTTTAGCATTTGCTCTGCTACTTGAGATAATGGAGAGCATGTTCTTTTAACTCAAGATACAGTCGATCCTGGGAGAGCAAGGAGCATGGAGCCAGCAAGTGTAGACACGTTCCAGAGCCACGAGCCCTGGATTCTGTCCAAGTCACGAGGGGTTTTATGCCCTGGGCTTAGATTATGGTGCATCAGGGTAGCCTTCCACCCTTTAGCACAGAGCTTGGTGTTCCAAAGGCCACAAAGGGTTTTAGACCCTGGACCCCAGACATGTTCCAAGACTCTTTTACCTTATGTCAGACTTGCAAGCCCTGCCTCAGCTTCTCCCAACACTCAGCTTTTTCCCAACAGTAATTGCCACCTTGCTTGCAAAATGCCAATTCTCCACACGTGTGGAAATTACTTAGGAGAAAAACCTCATGGAATGACTTCTTGTTATGGATTTACCTCATGCATAAGGGTAAAGTTATTAAGTGGTACTGCACAGAGTAGCTAGCTCTCCAGCTCTAGAGAGTGGGCAGAGCCTCACTGCAAACGTCAGTCCACATCTGCTCCAATAGTGACCTCAGAGAGGCAGGTTTTCTGTCATCTTGTGATGTGTAGGTTCATCAGATCAACTTGTTCTTGGTTGTTGCTCACTCTTGGGCCTGGCCTTGGCCCTGGCCCTGCTTATGTTCTCTTGGGTCTTTCCTCAGACCCCTGGCTGACAGCCTAGCCAGCACCCCTTGACGTCCCCTCCTGTAGGAAATTAAGTTTCCATTAAAGGTAGAGTGAGCACCTGTCACAACTTGCCCTTCCACAGTTATCACCGGGTACCTTTCATGCATCGTCCCCTGGGTGGTTAGAATATGATCTGGCCCCAGCCAAGGCAGTTGGGTGTTCCACACAGCAAGGATTACCTGACTTTGCAGTGCACAGCCCTCTTCCCAGCCATGCTTCTTATTCTCTTTGTAATTCCTAGCAAGTCACTGTCCTTTCTAGGCCTCAATTTTCTCATTGTGGAGGGAGAAAACTGAATTGGGAGATCACTAAGGTCCTGCCACTGTGAAAATTGGTGCCTCTGTAAGGTACTAAGAATTTCAGAAGGGCAGGTGTGAAGCAAGCTGTTCAGCATTAGGGATGGTGATGGCTCTGAGGCCCCATCACACCCTATGGGGGAGAGCGAATGTTACAGGAGGCTTTCTGGTGCCTCGTGCACATGGACTGTGCATGTGGGATTTTGCCTAAGGTCAGCCTTATATGCATTGTGGAACTAGGGTATGGAAAACCATGAAACATGATTATTTTCTTCTAGCATGCCTGTCTATGACTTCAACTGGTGGTATTCTTTGTACTTTATAATCTACATTATCATTAATACCTACATCTTCAAGTCTGTCTTTCTGGCCATGGTGTACAGCAATTATAGGAAGCATTTTCACATACTGTGTGTGTGTGTGTGTGTTTTGTAGTGATGAACAGAACTTGTTATTTACCCAATTCTATTATCTATCATAATAGTAAATTAGCTACTATAATAGACAAAAGTATGACTCTCAGTTAAATAAGAGATTTTTAAAAAATCTTGTTACAAAAGAAAAAAATAAAAAAAAACCATATTGTGTTTATACCCTTAGATAACTTCCCTCCTCCCCGAGTCAATTTAAATCTTTATCCCACCTCAAAAACAGCCCAGATTGACCCCTGGGAACATCCAGGAAAGCAATGAAGAGAGGGGTGAAATGCTCTAGGCCAAGAACTCCCAGCCTGCAGGCCTCAAAACCCTTGGAGGCTGCAGTTTTGGTCACATCCGTGAGTCTTTTTGAGAGTACGCTGCTCCTGATACTTGGACCGCTGCACTCCAAATGACCCCACAGCCAACCCCATGCTTTATGACAATGGCAGTGGAGGAGGAGAACAGACCACTTGATTCTCCTGATGGAGATTTTCTCTTTTCTCCCCATCAAGTCTGGATTTTCATCTCCAGGGTAACAAGGTACAGGAAGAGCAATCAATTGCTGCTGCAGCCAGTAATAACCAACCCAAGCCAGTTTATGGAAGCCCACAGGAAGCTTCTCTGAGCAGTATAGGTAAATCAATGTAGACCCACAACAGTGTTTTCCCCACTGGACCTGGTGATGCCACTTGGAGGGAAAACAGGTGGGCCCAGCCCGAACTCAAACACTGTCTGCCCTGAACCCTCAGCAATCCACACCTAAGTGGCTGAAGTCAGGGGACTTCATGCTGCTAATGTCAGGGGACTTCATGCTGCTCAGATCAGTGGCTCTCAAGTCGACCTCCACTCTGAACATGGCATTGGCAAGGGGTCTCTCTGCCAAATCGGCTCCTGCTGTATATTTGGGAGTCACACAGACACATCTACTACCTCTAGCGTCCCTCAAGAGTTTGCTGCTGCACAAATACAAAATCAAGTCATCCTGGTTTCTCGGTGTCTTTCCTGATGCTGTTTTAGATGAGTAATGCCTGCTTGCTTTGCCTAGGCTCAGGGCACTGTGCTCCTAGGACTAGTGGCCACAACCTTGTCCTGCTGAAGGCCCGCAGGAAGCCCTTAGGACACGAGCACTTCCACTGTCTGGTGCTCTTGAACTGGTTATTTTAGGGAGATAGGGTGTGTCCAGCTATGGGCTGGTCTCTGTGGGGCTGTGACAATTCAAAGTGACAGTAAACGGACTCAGTGTTAAAAGGTTCTCTGTGCCAGGGGTGCGTGGTGGCAGAGGCTGAGATGGATGGGTCCCAACCCATCAGCCCTGCCTTACCTGTGCTCTCTAGCTACGCCCTCATCCATCTGAAGCATGTGGGTTGAAGGGGGAGGCAAGTAAGGCTATCCATGCACAAGGCATGCACAAGGCTGCCCCACCCTGTGGTCTGTCAGTAGTGCATGTCTCTTTAGGACGCTGGTATGTGCCTCTGGTTTTATAGCTCTTTGCCCATGGCAGCTCCGATGTCAGGTGGCCTGGGCCCTGCACAGGTCGGTGGGAGGGTGCAGGCCCTGGGTGAGGAGATCAGGGACATGATGGCTCATTGGACCTCAAAGGTGATGGGAAAGAGAAGTGTCTTCCCTGGCTCCCCACACAGCAGTATGTTGGCCTCCAGGGCTGTTCCATCACCCATGACAGCATGGACCGCGCTGTAGCCACTCTGGAAAGCGACCCTTGGAAGGGAGCTTGTGCGGGAGATAGGAGGACTGATGTGCACCCAGCAGTGTCATGGGGACAGGGCGCTGGCCAGCTGGGTGGGACTCACCCTCCTGACACCCAGTTTCCAGGATACTCCTTCACCCCCACCCCAGGGCAGATCCCTGCCCTAGATTTTCTCCCTCTCATGTCCAGCAAATGCTGTGCCAGAGCCCTGGAATTCCATGGGGCAAGCTAGGAAGATGGAGAGCTGAAATGAGGAAGTCATCACCTTTTCCAAAGAGAAGGTAGGCCCAGTACCACCCGGGTGCCCCTTGGGCAAGCTCTCCGGGCTGGGGAACAGGAGTAGGGGCTATGTCAGGTGCAGACAGAAGCAGGGAATCTTCCAGGAGGCACTGTAGAATGTTCCATTGCAGCAGCTCATACCCTGTCAGGCTTAGACATTTAGACATTGAGACTTGGAGATCCCCGGCAATTCATATTCAAGGTCAAAGGGCCAGTGACAGAAAGAGGAAGGCCCACTGTGTCATTCACAAAGTGCATCCAAACCCATCATCCCAGGTGACCCTCACAATAACCCCGTGAGATTTGCAGGCCAGGAGCCTCCTCAAAGGAGGAGTCAGGAATGTCGGGGTTAACAACTCCTCCAAGTCAGGACCAGGAAATGCTATCTCCAGCACCAACCTAGGTTCCCTATGCTTCCTCCCACACCACAGCTTATGGGCGACTGCCACCTCATGGACAGAGCCCTTCCCTGTCCAATTTCCACCAGGCTCCTTCCTCTGATCATCCCCTCAGACACCTTGTTTTCTGAGGCCAGTCACTCTGGGAACTGTTGTCCTTGGCAAGTGGGGACCTGGGACTTTGCAGAAAGCAGATGCTAAGGTCATACTTGGCTGGGACCAGCATTGGACAGCAAACCTCACCTTTTATTTTTAAATTTTATTTATGTACTTATTTGAGACACAGTCTCATTCTTACCCAGGCTGGAGTACAGTAGTGTGATCATGGCTTGCTTCAACTTCCGCCTCCCCAGCTCAGGTGATCCTCCCATCTCAGCCTCCCTAGTAGCTGGGACTATAGGCTTGTACTGCCATGCCCAGCTAATTTTTGTATTTTTTGTAGAGACAGGGTTTGGCTATGTTGCCCAAGCTGGTCTCAAACTCCTGGGCTCAAAAGATCCTCCTGCCTCGGCCTCCCAAAGTGCTGGGATTATAGATTTGAGCCACTGCGCCTGGAGAAACCTCACCTTTTGAAACTCATGCCTTGTTTGTCCTCCTGCCAGCACATTGGTGCTGCCTCCTAAGGAAGCAGCAAACATCCATTATCAACAAATATGCTGACCTTCTAGGGTGATTTAAGATTGGTGGTCTTTGATAGTGATAGTAAAGTGATTGAAATATTTATTCCATCCTCTACAAAACTCAAGTAAAAATAGTTTTCTGCATGTGGTCCTCAATATATTCAGTCCATGGGTTCAACCAATCACAGGTGAAAAATATAAAAAAATAAAAATAAAAAAGCAATACAGCGTAACAACTATTTACATAGCATTGACACTATATTAGGTGTTATAAGGAATCTAGAGATGATTGAGAGTACACAGGAGGATATGTTCAGGTCATATGCAAATACTACACCATTTTCTATCAGAGACTTGATTGAGTCTCTGTGGATTTTGGTATCCTTGGGGATCTGGAATCAGTCCCCCACGGACCCTGAGGGCTGAGTGTGCGTCCATCCTGGGATTGATCAGTGTCTCCCCAGAGTCTCCGAGAGGCTCAGTCTTGCTCTCTCAGTGTGATTTTGTGATATTATAAGCATGTGACTGGTCTGTGTCCCCAGTCCCTGGCAGTAGAGTTCTTAAGCCCTTGCAGTTTTCTGAGACCTGTAGGGGTGACAGGAGCTTCTTTTTTTCTGAGGTGACTCTTGGTAGGCTCCTAGGAAGCTTCAGGGTGGCCCTGGTCAGAAAGACCACACACATGATGAGAGGGTTGAAACAGTCTGTGTGACCTCTGCACCCCCAGGGAGAGAAGAGGGCTGGAGATAGAGTGAGTCACCAGTGGCCAGTGATTTAATAAATCATGCCACATGATGGAACCCCCATAAAGCCCCCAGGCAACTGGGTTCTGAGAGCTCCCACGTTGGTGACCACAGGGAGGTGCTGGGAGGGTGTTGTGCCCAGAGGGTATAGGAGCTCTGTGCACCCCCTGCCACGGTGCCCTGTGCATCTCTTCCTCTTGGCTGTTCTGGAGTAGTGTCCCTTATAATAACCAGTGATAGGAAGCTGAGTGCTTTCCTGAGTTCTGTGCATCATTCCAGCTAATCATGGAGCCTGGGGATGGGGTTATGCAAACCCTCCATTGAAAGCTGGCCAGTCAGAAGTACGAGAGGCCTGGGGCTTGTGATTGGTGTCTGAAGTGAGGGCAGCCTTATGGAGCTGAGCCCTTAACCTGTGGGGTCTGCACTAACTCTGTTTAGTAAGTGTTAGAATTGAGTTGTGCATAAAAGCAGTTCGGACTAGGCTGGCCATAGAGGAGATGACAGGCCTGGTGCAGATTCACCTGGGAAGGGAAGGCAGCTGATGAACAGGGGCTGCGGGATACTCTCCTGGGCTGCCAGGAGCCAGTCTATGGCCCCAAAAGCATAGTGTGTAGGGTTTTAGCCTGGAATCCAGGAGAGACTGGGGAGAAGCCCCAGTCTGCCCTCCACCTCCTGCCCCGCCCAACCAGTTCCTCTAGACTGATGTTCTCCTCTCTCCTATGACTTTCTACCCTAGGGGGGGTCTCTGTAAGCCAATAATTGATTAGAAAAGTGAAAAGAAAGCAAATGAAACCAAGAGTCAGAGTCTTTTAGTGGGCTGGGCTTAGGGTTCCTTCATCAGATGGATGTCTCTGTCTTTCTTGCATATTGATGACTGGATGCACTGAATGCAGTTGCATTACAGGAAAAAGATGTCCACCTCACACAAATAATGGAAGAGGGTTCCAAAGCCCCAGGCTCACCAAATGCAGGAGAAGCCACCTTCTCATCATCTAAAGTGTGCTGCTGCCTCAGCAACGGGCCCAGAGAACACTCAAAACGAGTGTTAAATTCCAGGCCCACATCACAGCGCTGGGGGAGGAAACTGCTCTGGGTCCATCGGGGCAGACCTACTCCTCCTAGCACCTAGATCCTTCCATCCTGGTCTGGGACTACCTGTTTTTCATCAAACTTACTTTACTGCAAGTTTCTTTCTTTCTTTCTTTCTTTTTTTTTGAGACGGACTCACTCTGTCGCCCAGGCTGGAGTGCAATGGCGTGATCTTGGCTCACTGCAAGCTCTGCCTCCCAGGTTCACGCCATTCTCCTGCCTCAGCCTCCCGAGTAGCTGGGACCACAGGCGCCTGCCACCGCGCCTGGCTAATTTTTTTGTATTTTTAGTAGAGACGGGGTACTGCAAGTTTCTTTACTCCACCTACAACCCAGACACTGGCACAGTTTCCCTCCCATCCTTAGAGATAGAGGGTAAAACCACATGTTTGGAGGTTTAAAGATTTCCCAGAAGTCTTTTTCTAATTTTCTGGTATTAAATTGGAAAGGAAATAGAATGCACAGATGAAACATGCAAGGTGATGAATTTTCGCAAAGTCAATGTGCTGTGCAAGTAAGACTCAGGTCAGAAAACAGATTTATCCCAAATTTATCTGATAAGAGGACCCCAAATGCTTCTCAGGCGTGCTGACTGCTCAGCCTCCTACTCCATGACATCTCCATCCGTGCAACACCACCTCCCCACAGCTCCTGTGGAAGGCCTGGATTGCTGCCATGTGAACTTGGAAATGTCAATTCTCCTTCTGGCCATGCTGGGTTGAAGTTAAATGATTTCATATATTGTCTTCCTCCGTTAATCCTTCCAGTGGCTTCTCTTTATATCCACATTAAAACCCAAGTACCTTTCTTGCCTATGTAGTAGGCAGCCTCACTAATGGCTCCCCGTGATCCACACCCCTGGGATACACATCCTTGTGCAACGCCCTCCCTTTGAGTGTGGACTAGACCCTGTTCTAATCACAGAATATGGCAAAAGTGATGGGATATCTCCTCCAAGCTTTAGTTGTTAGTAACCATGGCTGACATTTTCTCAGATCTTCTCAGCTCTCTCTTCTCCCCTCTCTCCCTCCTCTCTTTCTCCTTTCCTCTCTCTGAACCCTGGCTCTGGGGAGCAGCTGCTCTGTTAGGAGCTGCCCTAAGGGGAGGCTCCTGTGGCTTAGGACCCAGAGAGGACAACAGAGGGGAACTTGGCCCTTCAGTCCACATGGAATCCTTCCAATAGCCCCATGAATGAACTTGAAAGTAGATCCTGCCCCAGTTGAGTCTCAGAGGAGACCTCAGTCCAGCCCCCTGAGAGACCATGTGGTAGAAGCACCCTGTTGAGCTGGGCTGGGCCTGGGTGAGCGCCCATTGTTACGGGCGGTTACGGGTGGGGCAGTGTTTCCACGCAGCAGTGGGGCCATCATACGGTGGACCTGGCCCAGGATCTGCTCCACCCTTCCCTCCCTCCCCTGCTCTCCCCCCAGCTCCCTCCAGCCACGCTGTCCCCCTTTCTAAGCTCCTCTCTGGACAAACTAATGTCTGTCCTAGAGCCCCTGCACAGTTCCACCTCCCCACACTGTGCTGGAAATGCCTGCAGGGCTGGCTCCCCCTTGTCATTCTGCTCATGGCATGACTGTCACCTCAGGGAGGCCTTTTCAGATCCCCCCACCATGAAGTGGCCCCCAGCCTCCCCTGCATCAGTTGCTTTACTTCGACACAGCACTTGCTCCTTTCCCCACTTATATGTTTTGTGGCTTGGTCCCGCTCCCCCTCCAGATGGTGCGCTCCTGGAGGGCAGGGACCATACCATATCTGTCTTTTTCACTGCAGCACCCAAGCTGAACTCAGACCCTGGAACAAGGTAAGTGCTCTGGGTATCAAGACTGAATGAGTAAATGAGAGGATCTGGAGCCCCTCACTCCCACATCCTACCACGGACCAGCTCGGACTGTGGAGATGGATGCTGACAATAGGAAATGCAGGTCAGGTTGGAGGCAGGGGAATGGCCTGAATGACCCCTGGCTCTTCCCTGGCTCAGGTGCTCCCGCAGAACACAGTGGGCACATGTCTCCCCCTGGTGGCCAGAGCTTGCACTGCATCCAAAGAAGGAAAACCACAACACAGAACTTGCAAGGCAAATCCACGCTCCCACATCCCAGGGGGCAAAAATCCAAGAGGATTGAGAGAAATATCAGAAAACCCTCTTATTCCTACTGCCAGCACTGGCCTGGGGTCCAGACACTTCCAAGGCCTCCTCACCACATCCAGGGAGGTGGCCCCGGCTCCACTTCCACAGTAGGAGGACCTGAGGCTCCCACACTGGGGTCTTTGCCCTTGTCCAGGGATGCGTGGTCCATGCTCTGCTGCTCCAAGTCTCAGTGCATCAACCACCCTGCCTCTCTCTGCTCAGAAGGAACTCCAGGGGTAGAAAGCATTTTCTAAGAACCTTGGAGCACAGTGGGTCACCTATGGAGAGCTGGGGCAACGGAGGCTTTCTGAGCCTGTGGGACTCTTGGGGTGACCCACGCCAAGCACCTCAGTATGTAGGGAAGGAAACTGAGGTCTTCTTTCCTGTAGCCCCTTCAGTCTAGGGGGCTCATCCTGGTTGAAGGTGCCCACAGCAGTGGACACAGGACCCCAGGCCCTGCTTTCCCCTGACTGCCGTGGAGGTGGTACCAGACCAGGCTGACCCAGGGGACCTTAGGGATCCCCCAGCCTGGCCTCTTTGCATCTCTCCCCTTCCCATGCTATGGGCCCTGGTCATGGTTCTGGTGATTGGATGCTGCTGTCTGTAGCAGAGCTGCCTCAGCCTCTTTCTTCTTTCCCTTTGTTACCTACCCAGGATCCGCTTCTCCTCCCATCCTACCCTTAGTCACCCCCTGTGATGTCAGCTTGTGCGTGTCTGTGGGTATGCACCTTTGGGGATGCTGAGAGGAAACAGCCTCTCCTGGGAAAAGTGAGTCAGGGTCTGCAGGATTTTAGGGGCTCCGATTCCCAAAGCAACCCCATGGGATATGGTTCAGCCCTGGCCTAGGAGATGGTAACTGGACTCTGCCCATGTCCTGTGTCCTGGGCCAGCCCCTCCTCTCTCTGGGCCTGGGTTTCCCAAGTGTCTAATGAGGGGTTGGACTGGAACTGCATATGGAAGTCTCAGTGTGGACCTGTCTGGCTCCCTCCATACCTGGTGGGTGAGTGGGATGTGCTCTGGGGTAACCTTGGGCCTCCACATGAGTGGGCATGCGTGAACCTTGAAGGAGATGCCTGGGCCTCATGCCCATGGCCACACATGCACACACGGTCTGCATGGGCCCCAGGCGGCAGGTGCACCAGAGCCACACTGCACAGCACATTGCATGGCACCAGTGGTTCCTCCAGCGCGTGTCCCACGGTTCCTGTCTCCTGCAACCAGGAAGTAAGCCAACCTTACTTAACCACATGGACTTGGAGGAAGGGAGTAGTTCCCCAGGGGGAAACTGAGCCTCTGTGACTATTAGAAGTGGCCATGGATGTGGGACCGGCGAGAGCCCCAGATCTTTACAGTCATGCCGGTCACCTACACCCCTGCCTCTTGCAGGAGCGTGTGTCCCAGGGAAGGGCAGGACTGGTCCCAGCTCACAGAGATTCAGGGAAAAGTGAGTGCCTCAGCTGGGGTTAGATTTGTCTACACACAGCAGAAAGTTCAGAACAGTTGTGGCACAGACAAGAGAGAGCGCTTTCTTTCTCCTGTTAAAGAACTCTGGAGGTGGCTGTCCATGCTGACCCGGGCTGTCCCCATAGCCATCAGCCAGCACCTGTCCTGCTGTCCCAGAGTCTCAGTAGCTGACTTCTGTCCTCAATGCTGTCTCTGGACCCCAGAGGGCTGTGCTTCAGAGATAGGAAGAGGAGAGAAGGAAGGACCAAGACCTGCTCAGCTGTGTGAGTTCCAGGCAGACAGCCTCTGCGAGCCCCTCACAGTGCCTCTGCTCATGCCCAGTTAGCTTGGACTTGTTCTGGTCACCTTAGCTACAAGGTAGGTTAGTCAGGAGCGGTAGCCTTTTCGCTTGGCAAGTTGTTGCCGAGGATAAAACCGAGCCCTCTGTTCTTAAGAAACAGGGAAGTATGAAAATCCCGGGTGAAGACCAGCGTTGTCTCCCTGCACTGAACTGCAAGATGAAGGGGAGGAACTGAGTTACCCTTAGATAAATTGGGAATTTATTTGTCTAAAACAGACTCTCTTTTCTTGGTATGTATTCATTGAAGAGAGAGAAAAAGTCATGGCTCTCAGCCAGGATATGTGAGTAGGAAGGCTGCTTTCAGTGCCTAAGCAGGATGATAGGAAGTGATGTGTTGGCTTCCACCTGACTGTAATTTGTAAGGAGCTCTGAGAAAATCCTCTTCTGTTTCATCAATGGGGCAAGGCCAGCACAGGGGTTTATGGAGACTTCTAGGCAAGCAGCATGTTCCTAAAAGCTAAGACTAATTTAAATCTCTAAACTAAAAAAGTAGAATGGTTTGACCCCACCATTTTGACTAGAGATATTTCAATTCTCATAGTGAAGATTAATAATACAAATAATCCACGCAAAATGGATAACGGTTAAAACTATATGTGATACAACTTACGATGACCAAAAATTGTTGGAAGAAAAATATTTTGGAAAATATTTTGTTGTGTTTAATTTGATCCTGAAAAGTTGACTTAAAGAAATACTGATCCCTAAAGAAAACTTACGATAGCAGAATCTGTAGTCAGTTAATTTTGATGTGGCCCAAAACAGAGTCATTTAAATAAAAAAAAATCCTGATAAAATAGTTTTGGTGAATTAAAAATAAGAGTTGATGAGCTAGAGGCTGGGCATGGTGGCTCACATCTGTAATTCCAGCACTTTGGCAGGCCGAGGCAGGTGGATCACTTGAGGCCAGGAGTTCAAGACCCACCTGGCCAACATACAAAAAGTAGCCAGGCATGGGTGAGGCATGTCTGTAATACCAGCTACTCAGGAGGCTGAGGCAGGAGAATGGCTTGAACCCAGGAGGTGGAGGTTGCAGAGAGCCGAGATGATGCCACTGCACTCCAGCCTGGGTGACAGAGCAAGACTCTGTATAAAAAAATAAAAAATAAAGTGGATGAGTTAGAATTGGGTTTCTATCCTTTATTTTTATAAAATGGATCAAGGTTTTAACATGTCTGAATAAAATTTGCCATGGACAGCTGCCCAACCTTGACCTGCTCAATCTCTTCCAGACCTTCTGCCAGAAAGTGGGCCTGCTGTGCACGCTTCAGGGTAAGCTGCAGCCCCAGGACTGGACATTGTTGGACGAACTGCTGCAGGGCCTGCAAACACTGCTGCTCATGATTTTGTGGCAGGCTTCCCGTGGCCTCTTCCTGCACTACCACGTGGAGGCCCTAACCCTGCGTCGCATCAGTAGCTTCCGCCAGTACAAGTATGACCTGGTGGCAGCGGGCAAGGCTTTGGAGGGCATGTTCTGCAAGCTCAACCACCTCCTGGAACACCCGCACCAGCTGTTCTTCCTCTACCTGCTCCCCACTCTGTCCCGCTTCGTCTCCATCGGCCTCTACATGCCCGCCACCAGCTTCTTGCTCCTGGTCCTTGGTTTCAAGGCTCTGCAACTGTGGATGCAGCTGCATGAGGCCGGAGTGGGCCTTGAGGAGCTCAGGGGGGTCCCTGACCCTAGTGTCCCCCCTCCCCCAGCACAGGATGGTAAGCACACAGGTCCCAGACAGGGGCTGGATGGCTCTGAAGCTGGTAGCCCTGATCTACCTAATACTGCAGCTGGGCTGCATCGCCCTCACCAACTTCTGACTGGACTTCCTGCTGGCCGCCACTATGGTGCTGCCGCTGTGCTCGCCGAGCCTTTGGGCCCTGGACCCTCTGTGCTGTCCTGCTGGTGTTGACAAGCCCGGCAGCCACGCTCCTTGGCAGCCCATTCCTGTGGCGGGAGCTGCAGGAGGCACCACTGTCACTGGCCAAGGGCTGGCAGCTCTTCCTGGCAGCACTGGCCCAGGGTGCGCTGGAGCACCACACCTAAGGCGCCCTGCTCTTCCCACTGCTGTCCCTGGGCCTCTGCCCTTGCTGACTACTTTTCTGGAATGTGCTCTTCTGGAAGTGAGATCTGCCTGTCCGGGGCACCAGGCTGGGACAGAGACTCCCCAAGGACCCCATTCTGCCTCCTTCTGGGGAAATAAACAAGTGCCTGTTTCAGCTGCTTTAAAAAAAAATAGAAAAAAAAAATGCCCTGGAAAATACTGTGTTAGCAAAAAGATTTAAAGATTGGTATAATTCTGATTTAAATGTTTTATTTAGCACAAAATCAAACATTGCATAGGAACAAAATTTTCTGAGACAAAATGGCTGGGTTTAAATGGGTTTAAATGTCTAAAAAATACTTAGCTAACAGTGTGGTTAAATTTTTACTTATTTTATTTATTTTTGAGATGGAGTTTCATTCTTGTTGCCCAGGCTGGAGTGCAGTGGTGCGATCTCAGCTCACCGCAACCTCCACCTCCAAGGTTCAAGTGATTTTCCTGTCTCAGCCTCCTGAGTAGCTGGGATTAGAGGCGCACACCACCACACCCAGCTAATTTTTGTATTTTCAGTAGAGATGGGGTTCGCCATGTTGACCAGGCTGGCCTCGAACTCCTGACCTCAGGTGATCCACCATTCTCAGCCTCCCGAAGTGCTGGAATTACAGGCGTGGGCCACTGCCCCCGGTCAAGTGTTTTTCTTTTTTTCTTTTGAGATGGAGTCTCACTCTGTTGCCCAGGCTGGAGTGCAGTGGCACGATCGAGGGTCACTGCAACCTCCGCCTCCTGGGCTTAAGCAATTCTCCTGCCTCAGCCTCCTGAGTAGCTTGGAATACGGGCACCCACCACCCCACCTGGCTAATTTTTTGTATTTTTAGTAGAGATGGGGTTTCACCATGTTGGCCAAGCTTGTCTTGAACTCCTGACCTCAAGTGATCCGCCTGCTTTGGCCTCTCAAATTGCTGCGATTACAGGCGTGAGACACCGCGCCCGGCCCCGGCCAAGTTTTTAAGCAGATACATTAGTTACATGTGCTGAAATATCAGATGACTCCCCCAGATTTCACTGACTTCACATTATATTTTGGGCCCACCAGAAGTTGCTGGCTGGGCGTTCAGGGTAGAGGCTGCTTTCCTCTGCGTGGGCATGCAGGAACCCAGAATCTTTCCATCAGGTGCCTCCGTCATCTCTGGGACCTCCTCCCACCTGCATCTATCGGTAGAAGGGGAGAGTGTGAGAAAGGCATTGGAGGCTTTTGTGGGCCAGCTCTGGAAGTGGCTCACCTTAGTCCATTGCCTCCCTTTGGCAAAAGCTGGTCATAGGACTACACCTAACACAAGGGGACTATGAACTAGAGCTTTTATTTATTTATTTGTTTGTTTGTTTGTTTGTTTAGGCCCCATGGGGGCTGTGAACTGGAGCTTCTATTTATTTATTTATTGTTTAGGCACCATGGCCTACACTCCTTTATTAGAGTGAGGGTCCCGAGGACCAGCCCCCATATATGATGGGTCCACTTGAGCCTCCTTAGGAGCCCCATGAGGGAGTGATGGCTTGGGTAGGGAGCCAGGGACCTTGCCCAGCCCGACACTGGAGCAGGAGAGCGGCCTCAGTCCCCACCCCAACCCCAGAAGAGGGCGGGGCGAGAACCGGAGTCAAATCTTGGGCCGGGTCCAAGGGCCTGAGCGCCTGGTTTAGGCCGGAAATGGTCTAGTTCTCAGAGGTGGTCCGATCCCTAACCAGTCCCAGGCCCAGCCCCAGCCCAGCACCACCTGGAAGGTTCAAGTACATGGAGGAGAGGAGTAAGGCGGACTTGGGCGTATGGAGAAAGGGGTGAAGGGAGAAAGAGGACTTGCGCTCAGGAGGGAGCGTGGCCTACTGGTGGGAAAGCAGGCGTGGCCGCCTGTGCGGGAGGTTGCGGATCCACAGTGGGCGAGACCAGGCCCCAGCCCCATCAGGGCGCGGGGTGCGCAGCCAGGTGGTGCTCCAGCAGCGCCCAGTGAGAGGAGACCTTGCGGTAGACGGGGGAAGGGCGCGCGCTCTGGCCGCTGAGTGCGCATGTGCATATTGAGCGAACTCTTCTGCGGGAAGGGCTTGGCGTAGACCGCGCACTGGAAGGCGTGCGCGCAGGTGTGCGTGACCATGTGCTTGAAACGGCAGTAGCGCAGCGAGAAGGATCGCCATCACACGGCGCACTGGTGCGGCTTCTCCCCCGAGTGGATGAACATGTGCTTGGTGTCGTTTTTCCTTGAGCTGAACGTCTTGCAACAGTGGCCGCACGCATAGGCAAGTGGCTCGGCACCAGGAGTGCGAGCAGTGGTGCCTGAGGGGGCCGTGGTGGGAGCAGCAGAGGGAGCCGGGGCCTCCCGCAGCTGAGTGCCGGGGGCTGCCTCGGGCTGGAGTGTGGGGTAGAAGGCGGGTGGGGGCGCAGGGGCTGGCACGGATGGTGCTGAAGGGGGTGGTGCGGGTGGTTCGGGAGCACCCAAGTGAAAGGGGAAGAGTGCGACAGGCGGCCCTGGGGTCTTCACGCCAGGCGGGCGGGGTCCAGCCAGTATGCAGTCGGGCTGGACAGGGGTCTCGGTGGGACAGCCTTCGGGGACAGCGCCATCCTTGTCGTGCCAAGCGGTTACATAGCTGTCTGGAAATACGTCCTCAGCTGCCCCAGATCCCGGAAGAAAATCTCTCCCACACCACTGTAGTCAGAGAGGCCAGTGGGTGCATGGAACTCCTCGCACGCGCTGTCAGCAGCAGCAGTGAGGAAGCCGGCAGCACAGTCTGGGAAGGAAGGAGGTGCTTGGCTCTCTCCCGGGCCGCCACCTTCGCCGTCCTCGCCATCGGTCTCATCGTCAGTTTCCTCGTCATCGTTGTCACCTCGGTCGTCAGGGGCCGCGGACAGTGAGGGGTAGGCACCAAGCCCCTCGGCTTTGGCAGGTGTCGGGGGCGCAGGCAGCTGCAAACTCGCGGGCCGGCGCTGCTTACCGCTGTGCGCGGCACCGGGGTGCCCCGGGGGTGCGCAGCCAGCAGGTGGCGCAGGCGGTGACGCAGCTGCTCAGGTGCGAGTGGCGGGGGCACAGGGGTGGGCAGGGGCGCGGGTGCAGAGGTGCTCGCGGGTGCAGAGGAGCGCGTGCGATAATCTGCGTGCATTCGTCGATAACTGTCTATGCGAAGCACCGACGCAGCCATGAGTACCTGCGGGGCTTCACTCTGTGCCACAACGAGCGAACCGCTGTACAGGAGCTCGACTAGCTGTCGCACCGTCTGCACAGGCACCACCGAAGGCACACGGATCTCAGAGGGGCCGAGCAGCAGCTTGTCTTGGAAGGAGGGCGAGCCGATTGCCAGCCCGCAGCGGTGCGCACGCAGCGAAGCTTCATGAATGCACACAGTCACGTCGCAGAAGTGCCCACCCAGCTTCTGCCCATTGAGGGTCTCAAGCAGAGAGCGTGAGAAGTTCTGCAGATGTATGTGGCGCACAGCCTCTACAGCCGCCGACTCCGACTCCTCTTCAGGCACCAGGCCTGGCCGTGGCCGCCTTCTCACCGACTCCAAGGCAGCACTTCCGGGCGCTTCTCTTTATTTTTATACAGTTTTATTGAGATATAATTTACATGCTATCCAGCCCATCTATTTCAAGTGTACCATGCAAGGGGTTTGTATATATTCACAGAGTTGTGTATCCATCACCATCGTTTTAGAACATTCATCACTCCAGAAGAAACTACGTACCCATCAGCAGCCACTGCCCATTTCCCTGATCTGCCCCGCCCTAGGAAATCCGTAATCACTTTCAGTCTATGGATTTGCCTATTCTAGACCATTCATATAAATGAAGTCACACAACACTGGGTCTTATGTGACTGGCTTCTATCAAAGTTTGCAAGGTTCATTTATGTTCATGGTATGTATCAGTAGCTTGTTACTTTTTATGTTTGACTTCTATTCTGTTACTTACCTACACCGTATTTTATCTATCTCTTCTGCAGTTTATGGGATTTAGGTCGTTTCCACGTTTTGGCTGTTCTAAATAATGCTGCTCTGAGCGTTCACATACAAGCTTTTCACATGATTTCATTTCTCCAGATCTAGGAGTGCAATTGCTATATTATATGGCAACCCCGTGTTTCACTTTTTGACAAAGTGCCAGACTGCTTTTCAAAGGACAGCATCATTTTATATTCCTGCCAGCAATGTCGAGGGGTCCAGTTTCCACACATTCTCACAAACACTTATTGTTATCTGTCTCTCTAGTTATTGCCTTCCTGATGGATGTGGAGTGCTTTCTCATTGGTTTTGATTTGCATTGTTTAAATGAGTTATAAGATTGAGCATGTTTTCATGTTTATTGGCTGCTTGTATATCTTCTTTGGAGAAATGTCTATTCAGATTGTCTCCCCATTTTAAAATCGTGTTATTTTCTTTTTTACTATTGACTTGTGAATGTTCAAACATGTATATATATATATATATATATATTTTTTTTTTTTTTTTTTTTTGAGACGGAGTCTTACTCTGTTGCCAGGCTGGAGTGCAGTGGCACGATCTTGGCTCACTGCAATCTCTGCGTCACGGGTTTAAGTGATTCTCCTGCCTCAGCCTCCTGAGTAGCTGGGACTACAGGCATGCACCACCACACCCGGCTAATTTTTGTATTTTTAGTAGAGACGGGGTTTCACCATGTTGGCCAGGATGGTCTCAATCTCCTGACCTCGTAATCCACCCACGTTGTTCTCCCAAAGTGCTGGGATTACAAGGTGTGAGCCACCGCGCCCGGCCCAAACATATTCTTATACAATTCTCTTCTTAGATATAGGGTTTGCAAACATTTTATCTCACATTGTAATTATTTTTTCATTTTCTTGAAAGTCTACTTTGATACAGGAATATTTGTGAATTTTATAAAGTACAGCTTATCTATATTTTCTATTATACTTGTGGTTTTGGTATGATATCCATAAAATCATTGCCTAACCCAAGGTCACAAAGCCTCAGTCCCATATTTTCTCCTACGTGTACTAAACTTTTGGCTTTTATATTTAGGTCTTTGATCCATTTAGGGTTAACTTTTATAAATGGTGTGAGGGAGGGGACTAACTTCAGTCTGTACATGTGAACATCAATCTGTCCCAGGACATTTTTGAAAAGACTATTCACTCCCCATTGAATTGCCTTGTCTCCCTTGTCAAAGTCACAACAATTACTGTCCTCATTTTTGTATCTGGTCACATGTTCCTAGTTAGTAACTATAACTACCCTCTTCTACTACGCATTCTGTATTCCCTTAGCTTTCAGCAAGCAACTCAGTTGGTCTTGATTCTTTATATGGGGCAATGACCCAAACTTTCCTTCCTGAAGGAATTGGGCCATTGGCAGCTGTGCCCGAATTGGGTTGTTGTAGTTTTCCATTAAATTAATCACAGGGCATGGTAGTAGGTAGCACTGAAGACACCCTAGGAGATCCCATGTATTCCAGAAGTATTATTTCTTAGTTCTGTGGAGTAGAAGCAATTAACCCTTGGTAGTCAGGATCAACCACCTCTGCCAGCACGGTAACTCCCTTCTTTGCCTGTCTATTCAGAGGCATGAGGAGCTCAGAGTGGACAGGGACTATCTTAACTTCCAGTTCAGTAGAATCATTTCTTTGTATCGTGGGGGATGCATTCCTCCTTTTGGGACCAAGACTTCTAGACCAGCAGAGCATAAGATTGAGGGACAGGAAATGAAAATTTTGCTGGTGTGTCACTAGGGGTAATAGTGATGATGAGAACCAATTGGTGTGGGAGACCATGAGGTGGATAAGGCACTCTGTAAGTCCAGACAGTAGTGTGATTTTTATGAAGTACAATTTATCAGTGGTGATAGGAACATTGAGGGTAGGAGGGGAAATTCTCATACATAGTGTCTGTTTCAGTGAGAACAAGACACTGCCTCTTCTATGATGGAGGTGGTTCAGAGTCACAGCCAGGTTACCTTGGGAGTGGAAGTCCATGTTGCAGAGCCCAGGCATCACCTCCACCCCTGCCACCATGGCCACTGTATTCATGAGCCCATTGAGCAATGACAGGGGTGGCTGGGGAAAGAGGCTGAGTGGTGTCCACAGAACAGGTCATCCTATCTGCTTGATTATTGAAATCCTTCTCTGCCAAGGCCACCCTTTGGAGAGCATTTACATAGCACTCAATGCACTCTTGCTTTTGGTTTACTCTTTTACTAGGTGAAACCAGTCCTAGTGGCTCATAACTGGGTTTTCCTATCATACTTGTCCTCAGTCCGTAGGTGAAACAACAAATGTAGGGATGCTGAAAGTTGCTGAGTATGTGTCTATTCCAACCACAGGGTGGGTTCAGGGACACATTGGATCCACTGTGAAACAGACATGAGCTCACACTCCATCCACCAGCTAACCTCCATAAGTCCCTACTCTGGTGGACCACAGTGATGTTTTTGGTCTCTGGGAATTCCTGTCAAATCAGAGCCAGTGTCCAGAATTCCCCAAATATCTGAGAATTTTCTTTTCTCTAAGTCACAGTCATCCTGGTAGAAGGCTGTAGGTCCCTTTGGGGAAGACTGGGAAAAAGATTAACTATGTAAGTTTTTGGCAATGTAGCAGCGTACTTCCCCAAGATCACCCAGCCTCCCCTTCACTTAGGGGTTGTGGGCCTGTGAACTGGCTCAAGTCTGGGAATTGATTGAGGGTTTAGATCTGTGTTTCATTAATTTGAGTTAGTCTTTTATTCAGTTGACCTAGAATTCTTCATTTTTTAAAAAACAACTAAGACTTTGGTACAGCCCATTAGCTCTCCCTGTGGATACCATGGACTACACAATGCCATGGGTTTCTGTGAGTCAAACCATTCTGACTGCTGCTTTGACACTGCTTTCCACTGTAGTGACCACACCCACCTCATCTTTGGTGATTAAGGACAGCCCATGTTCCCTGCCACCCCAGGATTCAATTATCCTCATTTTATTTAAAGATCCCAGTCCAGTGGCTGCAGTTTCTGCTGTAACATTTTGCCTACTGAGAGCACGAGCTCAAAGCTCTTCCAGGATACTGGGCTCCTCTCACAATATTCTTTCTCATGATCGTTGTGAGAAGTATGTTCTGTAGACCCTCCAGTGTGAGTGAGCAGGTCTGACATAATAAATCCAGTCTCCCTGAGTTTTTGCATACCTTCCTATACACATAAACCAAGGAAGTTGTGACATCTCAACTTTATGTACTTTAGGTAAACTCTGATTCTGTTTCAGCCAACCAGCCAAGTAACAAAACAAATAAGCAAACAGCCAACCAATCAACCAACAAGCAAGCAAGCAACAAACCAACCAAACAAGCAAGCAAGCAAGCAAGCAAGCAACCAACCAACCAAGTAACCGATCAAACCAACCCTTGGAGCCCTTTCTAAAACTTTGACCTACAACCCTGAATCCAGAATCTCTGTTTAGTGGGCCAACATTAATAAATTTAGCCTACTCCAACTTTGTGTTACTTCCACCATGGTGCCACACACTTAATATCCATTCCCACATATATTCTCCAGATTTCTTTCTGTATAAATTGTGTGTGTGTGTGTGTGTGTGTGTGTGTGTGTAGAAAGAGAGCATCAACTGAAAAATCACACAATTTTATAAATTTAGAAAAGAGAGCTTTATTTCTTATAAAGGTTTGCAGCCTGCAAGGTGGCCATTATGACAGGCTGGGAAGTGTGGCCTACAGCCAAGGCTAGAGGCAGGCCCTTCCAGGGAGGGAAGGAGAGGACAGGAATTTGAGCTGAATGAGTTGACTACATATACATACTCAATAGGATATCAGAGGAGCTATATCATTTTATGAGAATACTCATAAAAGAGGTCCTAACACATGCATATTGAATAAACATGCATGTTCATTCTGGGGTGGAGACTTGACATTTAAATGTGTTATAATTAGGCCCTACACATCAAAAAGTGAAGCAGGGAATGAAGGTACTCAGCCTCTGTAAAGGCACAGCCTCTAAAACTGGCCAGAACCAGTCCATGGAGGATGGTCTCTTATCAGGAGAAAGTTACTGAAATCAGTCCCTTGTCCAGTGAAAGCTGTCGTTAAGGTCGGTGGGGCAGGAGATCAGTTACTCAGTGTCTGTGAACTGGGTGAGTTGTAATTGTTTTAATCTTGCTTCTCTCATAGCCAGTGCTTGCTTGGCTGCTAGAGAAAAATAAAAACTATGTGGTAGTTAGAATCTAGTTTATTCTTTAAGAGTAGGGTACAAGACTTAACCCTTGCCTGGCATGGCCCTAGGTCCTGTTTATAATTTGGGGTCTTATTGCCACAAAGAGTCTGTTCTGTCAGTCTCATGATCTCTATTTTAACGTTAATGCTGTTCAGTTGTTGGGTCTAAACCATAAGAGGGAGAGAGGTACAGGGAGTTATGTCTGACCTCCTGTCCTGTCATGGCCAAGAACTGAATTTTAAGATTTATTTGAGGTTCCGTTGGCCAACAGGGGGTCTGTTAAGTCGGGTGGGGGGCTTAGGGTTTCATTTTTAGTTCTCAAGGGAGATAAAATAATTTAATCAATTGGCCCCTGTGACTATTGGACTAACATGGCTATGATCTGTCAGACAGACTTCAGGCTGGCACCCAGGCAAAATTCTATACTGTAGTAAATGCATCATGCACATTTGTAACAACATGTACATAACAATGTCACAAAATACTTTCACGGTGACACCTAGATTAGTGTTTTATTGAATAGCTGATGATATAAACTGGCTCATTTGATGCCAAGACTGACCATCACCACCATACCAAGGTCATCACTGATCAGAGGCCTAACCCAAGGAGGGGGTCATGTGCAGACCCAGCTGTGGGGAGGAAAGATGCTGCAGAGGAGACGGATGCCCACAGAGGCCCCTGAGTGGATACAATGCTCACTAAGTGGTAAGTATAGACTCAACGTAGGCTGTCAGGTCTCCCCCTGTGCAAATGGGACATCCACTTGAGAGTCAAGGGTCTGTTTGGGTGGCAGGGATAGCCACTTCTGAAGGTAGAAAGAAAAATAAGCCACCAAATTGGTATCTTTCTGTGAAATGGACATCGTGCTTAGAGTCTCCATTTTCCCCACAACCTGGAGGAATAAGTATTGTCATCTGCATTTTATAGCTGAGGAATCTGACTCAACAAAATTAAATTACTCACCTAAGCAATTAGCAATTAACCAAGTCTTTCTGATTCAGAAACCCAGCTGTTGCCTGTTCATATCCAGCCCCTGTATTGGGATCAAGATCTGCCCTATTCTCAGTGCAGCAAGATCCAGGCAGATCACACTGGACTCCCAGCACTGAATCTGGCTCAAGGGGACATGAAATTTGACTGGGTCATGGGGCTCAGGAGCATCACTCTCAAAAATAGCAGTACAGGAAGAGGCGATGGCCCTAAACAGCATTTGCAGGCAGATCCCATGTTAATCATAAGGGCCAGGACTCTCTCACTGTCTGTCTCTCTCTCTGTCTCTCCTCTAGGGCTGACCCCACATTGGACACCGCTGCATCCATGTCCATCACACAACACAGCTGCCGTTTCTTCTGCCTGCTTATGGGAAAGTCCCCTCTTCTCCTCCGTTTTCTTCTCTTCCTGCCCTATCACACCGTGCACTTCTCCCTTTCCTTAAAGAACCACCATCAACTTTAGGAGGAGGGAAAGGGGTGGCTCTGGCAGGAAAAGCCAGAATCCCCTCTAGCCAGCAGAGAGAGAGAGGAATGGCTGCATGTTTTCTCCCCCAGTCCAAGGCACTGGGTCTTGGCTGGGTTGAAGGTTCCAAGCTGCTCTCCTGCTGTGTCGGTGAGTTCTGGTCAACCTGCAACCTCCTGATATGGCCATTGCAGTTCATCGAGTCTTCAGGGACTCCCCATGGCCTGGAGTACTTTGCCTTGCTTACACGGGAGAGGAGAATGGATTTATAGAGAACATCATCTAAATCCAACTTGACCATTGTGTGGCCACACTTGCTAGATTGCTATAGTCTAAATCTAGCATTGTAGAAAGACGGGGGAGCTTGGAGCTGCACAAACCCAGGTCTGGAACTGGCTCCTTACCTTGGAAGGTGAATGATCCTGCCAGGACTCTTAGCCTCCCTGGGTCTCAATTTCTTTATCTGTTTCATGGGAATGAGGATCTCTGCTGGGTGGTTGGGTGATGTGGGGGCTGTGTGAAAACAGCTTGTCAATACAAGCCAAAATAGAAATATTTCTCCACAGAGTATGAAGGTCAAATGAGAGAATACATTTAAATTAAATGGAAAATTAAAATGGTAAAAAATGCAAAGCTGTATTGAAAGTTCCGAGCTTCTCTATAAGGAGCTTTTTGACTATGGAAGAATCCTGTACTCGTTCCCCCTAAATATAAAAAAAAAGTTGAAGGAGGCAGAAGGGAGAGTGATGCACGATGGGCAAGGACTTCACCTGCTGTTGCTGGCTTTGAGGATGGAGGAAGGAGGCCACAAACCTAGAAGCTGGAGCCCCTAGAAGCTAGAAAAGGCAGGGACCCGATTCTTTCCTTGAGCCTCCAGAAGGGACACAGCCCCGCCAGCACCTTGACTTTAGCCTGGTGAGATCCTCTTAGGACTTTTGGCAATCAGAACTATAAGACAGAAATGGAAGCCACTGAGTCTGTAGCTGTTTGTTGCAGCAGCAATAGAAAACTAATGCAGGGCCCAAGAAATCACTGGTGATGAGATCGGGAAAGTGGGCTCAGGAGGTCTGGATCTGTGATGAGATGGGGAAAGTGGGCTCAAGAGGTCTGGATCTGTGGTGAGATGGGGGAAGTGGGCTCAGGAGGTCTGGATCTGTGATGAGATGGGGAAAGTGGGCTCAGGAGGTCTGGATCTGTGATGAGATGGGGAAAGTGGGCTCAGGAGGTCTGGATCTGTGATGAGATGGGGGAAGTGGGCTCAGGAGGTCTGGATCTGTGATGAGATGGGGGAAGTGGGCTCAGGAGGTCTGGATCTGTGATGAGATGGGGGAAGTGGGCTCAGGAGGTCTGGATCTGTGATGAGATGGGGAAAGTGGGCTCAGGAGGTCTGGATCTGTGATGAGATCGGGAAAGTGGGCTCAAGAGGTCTGGATCTGTGGTGAGATGGGGGAAGTGGGCTCAGGAGGTCTGGATCTGTGATGAGATGGGGAAAGTGGGCTCAGGAGGTCTGGATCTGTGATGAGATGGGGGAAGTGGGCTCAGGAGGTCTGGATCTGGGGTGGGGATCTGGAGTGGAAGGGGAATTCATTTGTTCATTGTCTATCCTTTTGTATTGATTGAATTTTTTATATATATATGTGAATTTTCACAATAAAATTTTTTTCCAAAATAAAATAAACAAAAGGGGCTTTTTGCAACCCAATTCCTATCTATGTCTGAGTCCACTTGTATTGCATGGGTCTTTCTGCTAACGTCCTTATATTTGGGTGACAATCTGAATGTCAGCGACCAATCAGAGCAGAGGCAGACTTTGGAGTGGGCAGGGCATCCTGAGGGCCCTGATTCCTGCCATGAGACGTAACCCTTTAGGTGCCAGACCATGGGGAGGTCCAGGGGTTGCAGGGGAGGGCTGTGCATCTGCAATGGCTCTCAGGGGGGCTCCCGGTGGTGGCAATCGGTGAATCTGCACAGTGGTGCTTCAATATTATCACAACCCTGCTGTCTCTCATGCTCTCAAAAAGCGTTTCTCTTACCTGTGACAGACTTCCTATACCTAACAGCTTGCAAAAATGTTTCAGGTTAATGAGAATAATCTCTTGGAGCCATACCTCCCTGCTTGGGGTCTCAGTTTCCCCAGCTGTCTCCAGACAAGTTAGGCTAGAAGGCCCCTGAGCCTCAGCCCCTCTATCCCCCTCCTGTCACCCAGACCTGATCTGGGTCTTGCACCCTGGGTGCAGCATGACAGGGGTGGGCAGGGGCTGGCTCTGGGCCAGAGGACCCTTTCTGATGGACTTCAGCTGTTGGCCTTCCAGGGGAGACTGATCAACCTCACAAGAGTCATAAGGTGAGTAGCGGTGGGCAAATCCATCCCCCTCATCTTAGATTTATGGGGATACAGAGAGAAAGAGGAGACACTCCAGGAAGACGTGCAGGTGGGAGTACCAGGTTGAAACCAAGGACACCTTCCTGGAGGAGCTGCTGTTTGAGCCAGCTCTGAGAACAGGTGGGGACAGGACTGGAGAGGAGGAGGGGGTGCCCTATGAGCAAAGACTGGCCACCACCCCATCTAACACCCCCACAGGGCCCCTGTGGCATCCCTGTCCAGTCCCTGTCACCACCCACTTTTTCCCTCTGGACCCAGGAATTCAAAGTAAGCAAGGAGGTCCGCTGCTCCAGTTGGCTGCAAATAATTACAACCTTGAGCCCAAGCAGCACTTTGGGTCCTGGTTTGGGACGATGAAGCAGCTCGGTGAGACTGAGAGGTAAGGCCAGGGCAGGAATTGGGACACTAGGATTGAACTCTCCCTGGGGGCCAGCCTCAGAAAGCCTGTGGCCATGGCCTCTTGGCCAACATCAGATCCTGTGGTCTGGCAATGCCTGGGGTACCCAGACCTCACTCTGCACAGGCCCTGGGAGGGGGCCCTGGTGAGATTCCTGGCAGCCTCACAGCCACTCTTCTGTCCATAGCTACAACCTGTCATGCCAGCTGGAGGCTCCATCCCAGTTGGCTGGGAGCACAAAGGCCAGGAAGGTAGACATCACCCACCACAGGGGCCAGTCGGGGCCTGAACCAGGGCGGGCAGAGGTTGGCTGCCTTGGGCTATGGGTGGGCTCAGGGAGTCAGAGAGCAAGGGACTAGCCTCCCATCCTACTTCTGACCAGCCCTGTGACTGGGGAGAGTCACCTTACTTCTCTGGGCCTCAGTTTCCCCCTCTGTGGAGTGACACTAAATGCTCTCTCTGGAGACTGGGATCAATGGGGCACTGGTGATTGACCAGGCACTCAGCACATGCCTGGAGCACACAGTGCAGGGCTGTGGTGGGGAGGTGGCCTGGGTCCCTGGGGAGGCACCCATGTGTGCCTGCCCTTCCGACCAGCCACCAGGCCCTCAGGGCAGAGCCCACTACCAGCAGCAGCTCACACCCCGAGACCAGCTCAGAGGCGGCCCCTACCTCAGCAGCAGGGACATCACGGACACTTTGAGCTGGTACTAGGGCAGCTTCTCCGGCTCCCACCTGGAGAGGGGTCCCAGCTGAGTCCCACTCACGTGAAGTCTCATGCCCCTGAAAGTGCCATTCACCACTGGCCAGGCTCATGAGGCCACATGAGGGGGGGGGTGTCACTGGGGAGGAGATATGGGGGGAACAGAGGGGTGGTTGAATTTTTGTATAATAGGCAGTGCAAGTGTTTACCGTTTGGGAGGGGAAAGGTTTGTTATTATTAGCAGTGCTACACTTGAATATTATACTAAAATCCAGTTTCTCTATAACCTGGGAGTTGCTCTTTTGTTCTTTCTTTTCCTGTCTTAATTAAAATGAGATGCAGGTTCTCACGGTCCACAGTCGATTAAGAAATCTTGCAGGGCCATCAGTTATGTCTTGGAGAGCAGGGTTTCAGTACCATCAGCCTGGCAAGGAGCTGGGCCTGCCCCTCAGAGCTCCCGGGACTGCGAGATTTGGCACATTCACAGGGCACTGTCACAGCCTCTGAAACGCTGTCTTTAAAGACATCTGCAGGCTGGACGCGGTGGCTCACTCCTGTAATCCCAGCACTTTGGGAGGCAGAAGCAGGTGGCTCACTTGAGGTCAGGAGTTTGAGACCAACATGGCCAACATGGCAAAACCCCATCTCTACTAAAAATACAAAAATCAGCCAGGTGTGGTGGCAGGTGCCTGTAATTCCAGCTACTCGGGAGGCTGAGGTAGGAGAATTGCTTGAACCCAGGAGGCGGAGGTTGCAGTGAGCAGAGATCGCACTACTGCACTCCAGTCTGGGCAACAAGAGCAAAACTTCATCTCAAAATAAAAAAAATAAAAAACATAAAAAAGACATTTGCAAGGACCATGTCCTCACCCAGAATGGTGCCTGCCTTTCTACAGTTTTTCAGGAAGAGGAAACATTTTCTGCTTCTCTCGCTGAGGTTTTTTTTAACCACCCATTAGGAACCTATAGATTTCAGGATCAAACACTGGGATTCCCTCAGCACTAAAGGAGGAAAATTGCAAACAGAGCTGAAAGTGCAATGTGGAAAGGTCAGGCTGAGGAAGGTTCTTAGCCAGTAGACCAATGGCAGGAAGGACACTGCCTCCTCAGTCTCCCACTAGGGAACTTGTGGTTCTTGTCCCCTGACCTCAGAATTCCTTGTCATGTTTGTTTTGTCTCCAAGGGAAGGGTTTGCATTACAGAATTTAAGGCTAGAGTGGGCCTCGTGCAGTTAACATTAACCCTCTCTCTCCTTTGCTGGCTGAGGTGAAGTCTGGGACCATATAGTTCTGACGTCCACTCTCTCGGGGGATCACCAGTTCACCCACCTCACCTGGCAAGCTGGGCCCTAGTTTGGTGACAGGCATCTTCCACCCACCTGGGAGGCAGGGTTCAACACTCTGCCTCTGACCTTGTTTCCTTCCTCTGCCACCTGCTTAGGCAGCCAGAAGGGGTTGTCTAGCCAGCCTGGGCTTTGGTGCTCCTCAGGCAGGTGGAGGAAGTTTCAGGCACCTGGCTCCTCAGGTGTCTGCCATCCAGGTGCTCTTCAGGCCTGCCCAGCAGGGCTCTCTTGATCCAGCTAGAACTGGCCAGAACTGACTCACTCAGGAATGTGTAGACTTTGGCATCAGGGGCTGCTTTAATTTGCACAATTTCCAAATACCTCTTTTTTCTTCTTTTTCTGATGAGTCATCTCCCTAGACTTGCATTTTAAAGAGACAGATAGTTATCAGGTTCCAGAGAAGACATGGTAGAATGTTTATATCTCAAAGGCACAGAGTTGAGACTTCAGGTTTAGATACTATCATTTGCCTAAACCAAAAAGGAGCGTGTAGGTAAAGTTCTAGTCAAGACAGGATGGCCAGGAAAAACACCTTAAACCAAGGGACGGCTTGCTTTGCTGATTTAAGCCAATGGCTTCTTTATCATAAGACTTCCCAGTAATTTAGTCCTTCCTCTCTTCCAGTGCACAGAGACATACCCCTCCTTACAAATAAAAATTTTCTTTATAGATGTAAATTTATTTTACAAAAATGTTTCAAAATAACCAGATGAAAATCATCATTATGCCAGAAAGACTTGTTTTTTTTTTTTTTTTTTTTCTCATTAATAGAAACGAAACAGTAAGTATTTGTTGTATTGACGTACTTAGGCTCAGACCTATGTTTAACAAGAAAGCCTAATAATAGCACTGTGGTTAGACTCTAGCCATCATTTAATTATTTAGGAAATAAAGGATCAAATACCTTTCATTCATCTGATATGATTCTTTAAAACACATTCCACTAATAAGTCCCATTTGGAACAGCTGAAAATCTTTTAGTAAAAGCTTTTTAAAGATGAGCTCGTGGCTTAGTGTAAATTTCACAAGCTTAATTAGGTCAAATGGAAGGAACTCAGATGAGTAGTTGCCCAATCAGAGCCCATTATTTGTAAGTCATCAGCCCCCTTCATGACCTAAAAACTCTACTCTGACCTAGTTATTGCAAACCTATATACAACAAAGTGAAAGGATTAATTTTCATTCATCAACCTCTCAATCCTAGATTTTCAAAGAAAAAACCTATCTAAGGAATACTTACAAAAATCAGACAGGAAAATTAGAGCCTGCATACTTAAGAGTCAAATTTGTTCCACTACAGCCAGGTCGCATACAATTACATCATTTGGTTCTTCGTACACGCTAGAACTGACCAGGACAGAGTTTAGCGTAGAAAAACTGTAAGAAATAGGTTCCTACACATAGGAATTGCAAAGTTCAAAAGGGTATGAAGAAAACTAATATAAATGAGAGACTCCCCTCCGTTTTAAAGAAATACACGCTCTCTAAAAATATACGCAATTTTTACAAATACATTTATAAGTTGTTTTTATCTTAAAAATTGGGGATATTTCACATTTATAACTAATTATTGAGACTTAAGTTTTCTTGGCCATTTCTAGGCTAATAAACTAAGAATCATTTAAACTAAGCCAAAGTAGAATAGATATAAAAGTCCTGAACACTTCAACTTCCTACTCTTCAAGAAGTATACCCGGCAAAGCTCATTTGAGAGAGGAAATGCTTTCCTCCACCCTCTGTTTTACAGCGCTGAGGCTTCTTATCACAGTTCTATGACTTGTAGCTTAAATCCATGTTACATGGTCACTGACATTGTTGGTGCTTCTCTTTTAACACTGTAGGAATTAATTCGGTGGCATATTTAATTAATTTTATCACTAGCCTGGCTGCTGGCCACCCTTCTCAACAAGGAAATTAAGTCAGAAAGGCTTATTTTCACTAAGTAAGACTTCGGGAACATGGCAAAGTTCATGACAATAAGAAAGAAGTGGCAGCAAGGGTTGGAAAAGAGTGGTTTCAGTCAACTGAGAGGTTCCCATGGGAGAAGCAGGATCAAAGAGAGAGAGAGAGAAAACAGGGAGGGCTGATTAGATTAGTCGATAGTTGTCCCAAGAGTGATGCCTTTGAGGGCTTCCCTTAGTGGGGAAACAGTCCAGGCCAAAGGGATGACCCGTGAGATGGCTGCTGTAAAAGTGGACAATTCTTTTTCCAGTGGCCTGGCTATTTGCAAAAAAGGCAGACATCTTAGGGCACAGGGGTGTTTAGTTTGCATGCACAAGTACAAGTACTCTCAATCCCTGCAGTTGTTGTAACTGGGAAGACACGCACCTATTTACCTTTGTAAGGGTTTCCCCACTGTCACCACTGTAACTCTAGGTTATCTTGAGGGAGGCCAAACTTATCTATCTACTGAACCCAGTCCAGTTTCCATCTGATCATCAGACTGAGTGGCCTCCTACCTCGATCCAATGCAGTTCACAATCAAATCCAACTTGATGCTGGACTCAGTCAAGTTTTTGCCAATGACTCGTCAGCTACCCAAACCTCAAAAGGCCGTATATTATCTCACAGCAGAAACTGGCCATTGGCACCCATCCCAAGATAATTTGCCCTCTCACAGCACAAAACCCTGGATTTGAAACCCAAAAGGATCAAGGTTCAATGCAAAAAGAACAGAGTCTGGCCTAAGAGGAATGTACAACCTCAGAAGGAGGGCAAAGGGGCCAGCAGTGTCTTTCCTGCTTTCCTCAAGGGGTCTTGGGAGGTGGATCCCATTCAGCTTGCCAGAACTCTCAAAAGACAAAATTACAACAAATTTAGTTTAAAGATCTTATTTAGCTTTTATTTATTATTTCAGAATCAACTTTGAAACCCAGTCTGGATAAAAAAATTGGCTTAAACAAATGCATAGCTCAAAACACAAATTCTTGGAGCTTCAAAATTTGAGAGAGAACTTGCCCAGGACCCCTGCTGCTGTGAGAGATCTGTGTGCACAATGGGCCTGGTGGGTCGCTGTGCTTGGCCACTCCATGCTTCTGGGGTTTGATGGAAGTTCTACTTCAGATTGCATTTCCTACACGAATCTGTTAAAAAAAAAAACAAAACCTTTACATACATTAAATTTAGCAGAGTTTATTTGAGCAAAGAAACAATTTAGGAATCAGGCATCAGTTTGCACCAAAAATGGCTCAGAACACTCCATGCCACCGTATGTGCAGGTTATATTTACAGCTAGAGAAAAAGAAGTGCACGGAAACAGCCTGATTGGCTGCTGTTGGCATTTACCTTATATAGTCATGTTTTGGCAGCTTTCAGCCTCTGATTGGCTGAAGGCTCAGCTGTTTTCATTGGCTGAGACATAGTTACATGTTATAAGACTACAGTCTTGGGTTAAGTTAGTTATTTTTACACATTAAGTTAGGTTTCAACTAGCTATGTATAGAGAACTCATTAGGCCAAACTTAAAATAAGTATGGAGGCAGCTTTAGGACAAAGATAATTCAATTTAACAATACCCTTATGTATATTTTACGCTTTTTATGTATTTCTATATATATTAATAAATATAAGTAGTTGTATGTACATATATAAAAACATACCTATGTGTGTGCATACACATGTATGTGAGTATATATTTTTGCTTCTACCTTGTATGAGCAAAGTATGCCAGAGTGGCAGAGTGCTACATATATATGTGTAAATTTCTATATTAAATATATTTATGTATGTTACCTATATATTTATATGCTCATAAATATATGTTTCCTTGAATAGTCACCTATGTTCTATATTTCTAAATTTATAAATATGCATATTTATGTGTGTGTATATGTACATATATTTATATTTAATTTTTATGTGTTGCTTCTGCCTTATTTGTTAAGGTAGCCCAAAATGGCAGAGAGATTACATATGTATGCTATAAATGTTTATACTATATATATTATGTTTATGTATATATTTATATATGTTACGTAGTTCTTTTTTTCAAGAATTTGAAAAAGTTTCTAAATTGAGGAAAAATTTACATAAGATTAAGCACTTTAAAGTGTATCATTCAGTGACATTTAGGACATTCTTAACACTCTCTAGTTCCAGAATTTTTTTTCTTTTTTGAGAGGGGTCTCATTCTGTCCCTTATGCTGGAGTGTGGTGATGAGATTTTGACTCACTGCAATCTCCACCTCCCAGGCTCAAACAATCTTCCCACCTCAGCCTTCTGAATAGCTGGGACCACAGGCACGTGTGCCACCACGCCCAGCTAATTCTTCGTATTTTTTTTAGTAAACATGGGGTTTCACCATGTTGCCCAGGCTGGTCTTGAACTCCTTAGCTCAGGTGATCCACCTGCCTTGGCCTCCCAAAGTGCTGGGAGTTTTTATAGTTCGAAGTCTTACATTTAAGTCTTTAATCCCTCTTGAGTTAATTTTTGTATATGGTGATAAGTAGGGGTCTAGTTTCATTCTGGCATCTAGATAGCCAGTTATCCTGGAATCATTTATTGAATAGGAAGCCCTTTTCCTATTGCTTATTTTTGTCACCTTTGCCAAAGATCAGTTAGTTGTAGACGTGTGGCTTCATTTCTGGGTTCTTTATCCTGTTCTAATGGTCTATGTGTCTGTTTTTGTACCAATACCATGCTGTTTTGGTTACTGTAGCCTTGTAGTATAGTTTGAAGTGAGGTAGTGTGATGCCTCCCGCTTTGTTCTTTTTGCTTAGGATTGCTTTGGTGATTTGTGCTCCTTTTTAGTTCCTTATAAATTTTAGAATAGGTTTTTTTTCTAATTCTGTGAAAAATGACATTGGTAGTTTGATAGGAATAACATTGAATCTAGAGATTGCTTTTGATAGTATGTGGCAATTTTAACAATATTGATTCTTCCTATCCTTGAGCATGGAGTGTTTTTCGATTTGTTTGGGTCAGCTCTGATTTCTTTCAGCAGTGCTTTGTAATTCTTGTTTTCTTGTTGTAGAGATCTTTCACCTCCCTGGTTCCCTTTATTCCTTGGTATTTGTGTGTGTGTGTGTGTGTGTGTGTGTGTGTGTGTGTGTGTGTGTCTATTGTGAATTAAATGGCATTCTTGATTTGGCACTCAGCTTGGATATTGTTGGTGTATAGAAATACTGCTGATTTGTGTACCTTGATTTTGTATCCTGAAACTTTGCTGAAGTTGTTTATTAGATCTAGGAGCTTTTAGGCAGAGACTATGGGGTTTTCTAGGTATAAAATCATGTTATCTGCAAACAGAGATAGTTTGACTTCCTGTCTTCCTATTTGGATGCCTTTACTTCTTTCTCTTGCCTGACTGTCCTGGCTAGGATTTCTAGTACTGTGTTAAATAGGAGTGATGGGAGTGGGTATCCTTGTCTTGTTCCACTTCTCAAGGGGAATGATCCCAGCTTCTGCCTGTTCAGTGTGATGTTGGCCGTGGGTTTGTCATAAATGGCTCTCATTATTTTGAGGTATGTTCCCTCAATACCTAGTTTATTAAGGGTTTTTAACATAAAGGGATGTTGAATTTTATCAAAAGTCTTTTTTGCATCTATTGAGATGATTATGTGGTTTTTGTTTTCAGTTCTGTTTATGTGATAAGTCACATTTATTGATTTGCATATGTTGAACCAACCTTGCATCCCAGGCATAAACCCTGCTTGATTATGGCGGATTAGCTTTTTGATGTGCTGGTAGATTCAGTTTGCTAGTATTTTGTTGAGGATTTTTGCATCTGTGTTCATCAAGGATATTGGCCTGTAGTTTTTTCTTTGCTGTGTCTCTGCCAGGCTTTGGTATCAGAATGATGCTTGCCTCATAGAATGAGTTAGTGAGGAGTCTCTGGTCCTCAATTGTTTGGAATAGTTTCAAGCAGGGATGGTAGCAGCTCTTCTTTATACGTCTGGTAGAATTTGGCTGTGAATTCATCTGATCCTGGGCTTTTTCTTGCTCAAAATCATAAAATTAGATGGAAATTATTTTATTACTGATTCAATTTCAAAACTCATTATTAGTCTGTTCAGGGTTTCAGTTTCTTCCTGGTTCAATTTTGCGGAGTTGTGTTTTCAGGAATTTTTCCACATTTTGTAGGTTTTCTAGGTGCCTAGAGGTGTTCATAATGGTCTCAGAGTTTTTGTATTTCTGTAGGGTCATTGATAATGTCTCCTTTGTCAATTTTGATTGTGTTTATTTGGATTTTCTCTTTCTTCTGCTGTTAGTCTAGTTAGCGTTCTAGCTATCTTATTTAGTCTTTAAAAAAAACTTCTGGTTTTATTGATCTTTTGTATGTTTTTTCATGCATCACTTTATTTCAGTTCGGCTCTGATTTCAGTTATTTCTTGTCTTCTTCTAGTTTTAGGGTTGGTTTGATCTTGTTTTTCTAGTTCTTCTAGGTGTGATGCTATGTTGTTAATTGGAGATCTTTCTAACTTTTTGACATGAGCATTTAATGCTATAAACTTTCCTCTTAACAGTGCTTTAGCTGTGTCACACAGATTCTGGTATGTCTTATCTTTTTTTTCTTTGGTTTTGAAGCTTTATTTCTGCCTTAATTTCATAATTTACCTAGCAGTCATTCAAGAGCAGGTTGTTCAATTTCCATGTAATTTTATGGTTTTGAGCAATCTTCTTAGTATTTGCTTCTATTTTTATTGTGCTGTGGTTTGAGAGTGTAATTGGTATGATTTCAATTTTTAAAAATTTGTTGAGAATTGTTTTTTGTCTGATTGTGTGGTCAGTTTTAGAGTATGCACCACGTGGTGATGAGAATAATATATATTCTGTTGTTTTGGGGTGGGGAATTCTGTAGATGTCTGTTAGTTCCATTTGGTCAAGTGTTGAGTTCAGGTCATATATTTTTTAGTTTTCTGCCTTGATGATCTGTCTAATACTGTCAGTGGAGGGTTGAAGTCTCCCACTATGATTGTGTGGAAATTTAAGTCTCCTCACAGGTCTCTAAGAACTTGTTTTTATGAATCTGGGTGCTCCCTGGGTGCACACATAATTCTTGTGTTGGATGCATATATATTTAGAAGAGTTAAGTCTTCTTGTTGAATTGAACACTTTACCATTATGTAATGCCCTTCTTTGTATTTTTTGATTGTTGTTGACTTAAAGTCTGTTTTGTCTGAAATTAGAATAGCAGCCCCTGCTATTTTTTTGTTTGTTTGTTTTGTTTTTGTTTTCTGTTTACTTGGTAGATTTTCCTCCATCCCGTTACTTTGAGCCTATCTGTGTCATTGCATGTGTGAGATGGGTCTCTTGAAGATGGCATACAGTTGGGTCTTGTTTGTTTGTTTGTTTGTTTTTAATTTTTTGAGACCGTTCTGTCTCTTTCACCCATGCTGGAATGCAGTGGCACAATTATGGCTTACTGAAGCCTCAATCTCCTGAGTTCAGGTGATCTTTACACTTCAACTTCTGGAGTAGCTGGGACTACAAGTGCAGGCCACCGTGCCTAACTAATTTTATATTTTTTATAGAGATGAGTTTTTCCCATGTTGCCCAGGCTGGTCTCGAACACCTGGGCTTAAGCGATCTGCCCACCTTGGTCTCCCAAAGTGCTGGGATTACAGACATGAGCCATTGCACCCAAGTGGGTCTCGCTTCTTTATTCAACTTGCCACTCTGTGCATTTCAATTGGGGCATTTAGCCCACTTACATTCAAAGTTAATAATTCTATGTATGGAATTGATCCTGTCCTTATATATATATATTTTTAGCTGGTTATTATGCAGACTAGACTTGATTTTGTAGTTGCTTTGTAGCATTAATGGTCTATGTATTTAAGTGTGTTTTTGTGATGACTGGTAATGGTCTTTTGTTTTCATATTTATTTTATTTTATTTTGAGACAGGATCTCACTCTGCTGCCCAGGCAGAGTGCAATGGTATGATCTGGGCTCACTGCAACCTCTGCTTCCTGGGCTCAAGCCATCCTCCTGCCTTAGTCTCCTGAGTGGTTGGGACCACAGGCGCATACCACCATTCCTAGCTGATTTTTATATTTTTTGTAGAGACAGGGTTTCACCATGTTGCCCAGTCTGGTTTTGAACTCCTGGGCTCAAGTGATCTGCCTGCCTCAGCCTCCTGAAGTGCTAGGATTACAGGCGTGAGCCACTGCGCCTGGCTTGTTTCTATATTTAACACTCCCTTAGAGACCTCTTTTAAGGCAGGTCTGGTGGTGATAAATTCCCTTAACATTTGCTTGTCTGAAAAGTATCTTCTCCTTTGCTTATGAAGTTTGTTTGACTGTATATGAAATTTTTGGGCTCCCCGGCATTGCGCCATCAAAAACAAAGTCGTTCTCCAACTTCTTGTCCTGCATCACTGCCATCGCAGCTCTCAGCACTAAAAAGGTGGCATCAGACTCCTCCAAAGAACAAGTGGCCAATTCGAGGGAATCCTCCTCGTTATCAAAAGAAGTAAACGACAGTCCGAGAGCCGCCGACAAGTCTCCTGAATCCCAGAATCTCATCGACGGGACCAAAAAAACATCCCTAAAGCAACTGGATAGTCCCAGAAACATCTCAAGTGAGAACAGCATCAAAGGAACCCCGGCTTCTCCCGCAGGGTCCACACCACCAATCCCCAAAGTCCGCATAAAAACCACTAAGACGTCTTCTGGGGAAATCAAGAGAACAGTGACCAGGGTATTGCCAGAAGTGGATCTTGACTCTGGGAAGAAACCTTCCGAGCAGACGGTGTCTGTGATGGCCTCTGTGACATCCCTTCTGTCGTCTCCCGCATCAGCTGCCACCCTTTCCTCTCCCGCCAGGGTGCCTCTCCAGTCTGCAGTGGTGACCAATGCAGTTTCCTCTGCAGAGCCCACCCCTAAACAGGTCACAATCAAGCCTGTGGCTACTGCTTTCCTCCCAGTGTCTGCTGTGAAGACAGCAGGATCCCAAGTCATTAATTTGAAGCTCGCTAACAACACCACGGTGAAAGCCACGGTCGTACCTGCTGCCTCTGTCCAGAGTGCCAGCAGCACCATCATTAAAGCTGCCAATGCCATCCAGCAGCAAACTGTCATGATGCCAGCATCCAGCCTGGCCAATGCCAAACTTGTGCCAAAGACTGCATCTTGCCAACCTTAACCTTCTGCCTCAGGTTGCCCAGGCCACCTCTGAACTCTGCCAAGTGTCAATCAAAACTCAGCAACAGATAAAGAAGGCAATAATTAATGCAGCAGCCTCACAAGCCCCCAGAAAGGTGTCTCGAGTCCGGGTGGTGTCGTCCTTGCAGAGTTCTGTGGTGGAAACTTTCAACAAGGTGCTGAGCAGTGTCAATCCAGTCCATTTACATCCCAAACCTCAGTCCTCCTGCCAATGCAGGGATCACATTACTGATGCCTTGGTACAAGTGCTTGGAGTGTAGGGACTCCTTTGAACTTGAAAAGAGTCTGACCCAGCACTATGACAGATGGAGCATGTGCATCGAAGTAACATGCAACCTTTGTACAAAGAACCTCGTTTTTTTACAACAAATGCAGCCTCCTTTCCCATGCCCGTGGGCATAAGGAGAAAGGGGTGGTAATGCAATGTTCCTACTCAATTTTAAAGCCAGTCCCAGCAGGTCAAACGATAGTTTCTCCATCAACCAATACTTCTTCTTCATCAGAGGAAAAATCCACTCTTCAGAGCCCTGTGGGAGCTGGCATACACACTGTCACAAAAATTCAGTCTGGCATAACTGGGACAGTCATATCGGCTCCTTCAAGAACTCCCAGCACTACAGCCATACCCCTAGATGAAGACCCCTCCAAGCTGTGTAGACATAATCTAAAATGTTTGGAGTGTAATGAAATCTTCCAGGACAAGACATCGCTGGCTACACATTTCCAGCAGGCTGCAGATATGAGTGGACAAAAGACTTGTACTATCTGCCAGATGCTGCTTCCTAACCAGTGCAGAGAATCCATCAGCACAAATCTCCTTACACCTGCCCTGAGTGCAGGGCCATCTGCAGGTTGGTGCACTTCCAGACCCACGTCACCAAGAACTGTCTGCACTACACAAGGAGAGTTGGTTTTTGATGTGTACGTTGCAATGTTGTGTACTCTGATGTGGCTGCTCTGAAGTCTCACATTCAAGGTTCTCACTGTGAAGTCTTCTACAAGTGTCCTATTTGTCCAATGACGTTTAAGTCTGCCCCAAGCACACATTCCCACACCTACACACAGCATCCTAGCATCAAGATAGGAGAATCAAAAATAATATATAAGTGTTCCATGTGCAACACTGTGTTCACCCTGCAAACCTTGCTGTATCGCCACTTTGACCAACACATTGAAAACCAGAAGGTGTCTGTTCTCAGGTGTCCAGACTGTTCTCTTTTATATGCACAGAAGCAACTTATGGTGGACCATATCAAGTCTATGCATGGGACATTGCAAAGCATTGAAGGGCCAACTTGGGTGTAAACTTGCCTTTGAGCATTAAGCCTGCAACTTATAATTCAGCATATCAGAACAAAGAGGACAGCAAATCCATGAATGGGAAAGAGAAATTGGAAAAGAAATCTCCATCTCCTTTGAAAAAAATCAGTGGAAACCAAGAAAGTGGCCAGTCCTGGGTGGACATGTTGGGAGTGTGACCGCCTGTTCATGCAGAGAGATGTGTACATATCCCACGTCAGGAAGGAGCATGGGAAACAAATGAAGAAACAACCCTGCTGCCAGCGTGACAAGCCTTTCAGCTCATCCCACAGCCTGTGCTGGCACAACCGGATCAAGCACAAAGTCATCAGGAAAGTGTACACCTGTTCACACTGCTCAGACTCTAGAGGTACCTTTACCAAACAGTTGATGTTGGAGAAGCATGTCCAGCTGACGCATGGCATCAAGGACCCTGACCTGAAAGAAATGACAGACGCCATCAATGAGGAGGAAACAGAAATAAAAGAAGACCCCAAGGTCCCCAGTCCCAAGTGGAAGTTGAAAGAACCGGTTCTGGAGTTCAGGCCTCCCAGAGGAGCAATCACTCAACCAAAGCTGAAAATCAATGTTTTTAAGGTTCACAAGTGTGCCGTGTGTGGCTTCACCACCGAAAACCTGCTGCAGTTCCACGAACACATCCCTCAGCACAAATCGGATGGTTCTTTCTACCAGTGCCGGGAGTGTGGCCTCTGCTACATGTCACGTCTCTCTGTCCAGGCACCTCTTTGTTGTACACAAGTTAAAGGAACCTCAGCCAGTGTCCAAGCAAAACGGGGCTGGGGAAGATAACCAACAGGAGAACAAACCCAGTCACGAGGATGAATCTCCCAATGGCGCCATGTCAGACAGAAAGTGCAAAGTGTGTGCAAAAACTTTTGAAACTGAAGCTGCCTTAAACACTCACATGCAGACACATGGTATGGCCTTCATCAAATCCAAAAGGATGAGCTCAGACGAGAAATAGCCACAGACGCTCCATGAGGAAAATCCCTGTCCACATTGGCATAAGACACTTTTGTTACACAAAGTTTGCAGTATAATAGAGTTAACAATACTGTCTAGGCTGTTGCAATATATTCTCTTTCAACGTGCCTTCCTTCTTCATCTTGTCATATATATCCTCATTAAGTATTAAAACAGATTTTGAGTTTAAAAGAGTTTGTATATATTTAAATGAATAACTTTTTATACTCTTTGTTACATGTTTGTATCAGTATTCAGTGGAAAACGTTTTGAGTTGTTTTGGGTTAGAATTTTTCTTTTTGTGCTGTTTCTTTAAAACAGAGTTCTTAGTAACAGGGGCAGTTCCTGAATTCAAATAAATCATTTTGTATGTTTCGAATTTGAATGGGTTAACTAATTACAGGCTAAAATAATGCCTTTTTTAGTGTTTTTAATTGTTAGAATTCACTACATAAATTGGAAGTAATCGTGGGTCTCAAAAACACTAGGAACTTTTAAATGTCTTAGCACCTCCTCCATGTGCCTGCCCTGAGGGAGCGAGTACACGTTTGAGACAACTGCACTCCAGTGTGGGCATGTCTTTGTCTTCAGGCCACGCCGAAGGGTGTCTAAAGCAGCCTTGCAGGTCGCTCCTTTCCCAGCCGTGGATAAAAACTGAAGCCAGGAATCTAATAAGGAATGCTGATTTCCTCAATTCCATTTTGAGGAATGGGGAAGGCTATTCTAAAGAAGAAAAAAAATGGGACAGGTTTTCTGGGTAGATCTGCAAGTCTGGCTTTAAGAGCACAAGGAGGAAAAGTAACAAAAGGGCTGGACTACTGTAAAAGTTACAAATACGTAGTTAGACCAATAGATCTATATAGTCAGGTTTTTGTCATGTAATTTATTAACTATTACAGAAACACAACTAAGAATATCAAGTATTTCTCTGGCTCTTGATAGAAAAAAAAAATCAGCTGACTTAATCCTTTGCTGTCAAAAGAGTTGGCGTTTCCTGTTCTGGGTGCTACTGCCAAACGTTCTGGTGCTTAGAGGTGGGATGCACGACGTCAACCACCGACTTATCAATGCAGCCGGCTGTGTGTCACAATTGGCCGTTACCTTAAGCACTGAGCCACACGGGATTAGTTCAGCCATTTCAAGAGGTACATTTAACGTCGGCAGTTCTGCTTTACTAAAATGCAGTAGAGGTACTCTTCTGTCCCTTCCGTTTATAGTTCTCTGAGAGAGTTATATTTTTTGGTTTTGTTTTGTGTTTTCTTTTGAATTTTATATCTTGTATTTATCCCTGAACATGTTTTGTACTTTTTTTTTTAAGAAAAGGAATTATTTTGTGTATATATAGACACTTGCATGATATACTGTAGTCAATGTTCGGTTCCTCGAAAGGTCTTGCTGCTGTCAGGTGTTATACACTCCATCCATCATAACTGTATGAAACACATTTCATATGTAAATAAACGTGGGACATTTGAAAAAAATATTTTGTTCTATGTAGTTGAAAATCATTGGCTAAGTTCATTATAACCTCCTTTCTGCATCTTACCCTCATCCACACCATTACAGCCTTTCATTAATTGTAAATTCTTTTGTCTGTATTTTCCATATCTACTTAGTACTACTTTTTGGAATGAATCTTTTATGCCCTGCTCTGGTCAATAATCTTGGGTGAAATGAGAACACAAAGCCAGAGAGACCAGGTTTCTGTAGTTCTCTAACATCGGATGCTAATACAAATTCTGCTGTGCAGTGCCCAGGCATTGCCACCCCTCTGGAGAGAATTCTATGGCTACATCCCTGAATGTCAACAGTTCCATTTCTAGGCTTGCAGCAGGTTCTGGTGTCTTAGCTATGGATCTCCCAATACCTGCTGGTCCATAGAGACTGGGCTTCTAGGAACAGAAGACACAGAGCAGTGAACAGGAGCCAGTTTCATTCTGCCTATGGATAGGCAGTTATCCCAGCACTATTTATTGAATACGGAGTCCTTTCCCTATTGCTTATTTTTGTCAGCTTCACGGATGTTCACTTGGTTGTAGGTGTGTGACTTTATTTCTAGGTTCTCTATTCTGTCCCACTGGTCTATGTATCTGTTTTTGTACCAGTACTGTAGTGTTTTGGTTATGTAGCCTTCTAATATAGTTTAAAGTTGGATAGTGTGATGTCTCTGGCTTTTTTCTTTTTTCTTCTTTTTTTTTTTTTTTTTGGCTTAGGATTGCTTTGGTGATTTCTGCTCTTTTTTTCATTCCATATGGATTTTAAAGTAGTGTTTTTCCTAATTCTGTGAAAAACAACATTGGTAATTTAATAGGAATAGTGTTAAATCTAGAGATTGCTTTGGGCAGTACGGCCGTTTTAATGACACTCATTCTTCCCATCCATGAACATGGAATGTTTTTCCATTTGTTTGTGTCATCTGTGATTTTATTCAGCAGAAATTTTTGTTATTCTTGTGGAGTTCTTTCACCTCCTTGGTTAGATATATTCCTAGGTATTTTTTTATGTGGCCATAATAAATGGGATAGCATTCTTGATTTGGCTCTCAGCTTGGATGTTATTGGTGTATACAACTGCTGCTGACTTTTGTACATTGATTATATATTCTGAAATTTTACTGAAGTTATTTATCAGTTGTTTGAATTTTTGGTAGTCTTTTAAGGTTTTATAGGTATTGAGTAATATCATCTATGAAGAGAGATAATTTGACTTATTCTTTTCCTGTTTGAATTTCCTGTTTTTCTTTCTCTTGCATAACTGCTCTGCTACGACTACCAGTACTATGTTGAGTCAGAATAGTGAGAATGGGCAACATTGTCTTGTTCTGATGCTTAAGGGGAATGAATCCAGCTTTTGCCAGTTCAGCATGAGCTTGGCTGCGGGTTTGTCATAGGTAACTCATTATTTTGAGGTATACTCCTTTGATGTCTAATTTGTTGAGGGTTTTTATCATGAAGAGATGTTGGGTTTCATTTAAAACTTTTTCTGCATCTGTTGATGATCATGAAGTTTTTACTTGTGTTCATGTTTTTTGTAAATTTTGTTTATTTGGTGAATCACATTTATTTATTTGCATATGTTGAACCAACCTTGCCTCCCATGAATAAAGCCTATTCAATCATGGTGAATTAACTTTTTGACGTGTCGCTGGATTCAGTTTGCTAGTATTTTGTTGAGGATTTTTGTGTCTGTTCATCAGGAATATTGGCCTGTAGTTTCCTTTTTTTGTTGTGCCTGTGTCAGATTTTGGTATCAGGATGATGCTGGTTTTATAGAATGAGTTAGGGAGGAGTTCCTTCTCCTCAATTTTTTGGGGAATGTTTCAGTGGGATTGGCACCAGCTCTTCTTTGCATGTCTGGCAGAATTTGGCTGTGAACTAATTGGTCTAGGACATTTCTTGGTTAGTAGGTTTTTTATTACTGGTTTATATTTTTCGAACTTGCTGTTGATCTGTTCAGGATCTCAATTTCTTCCTAATTCTCCCTTGGGAGGTTTTGTGTTTCTAGGAATTTATTCATTTCCTCTAGATTTCTAGTTTGTGTGCACAGAGGTGTTCATAATAGTCTCTGAGGCTTTTTTGTATTTCCGTGGGTATCAGTTCTGATTGTATTTATTTGAATCTTCTTTCTTTGTTAGTCTACCTAGCATTCTATCAATCTCACGTATTCTTTGAAAGAACCAAATTTTAATTTCATTGATCTTTTATATGGCTTTTTGGGTCTCAATTTTATTTCTGCTGTGATTTTTGTTATTTATTTTATTCTGGTAGCTTTGGATTAGTTTGTTCTTGTTTTTTTAGGTCCTTTAGGTGTGATGTTAGATTGATAATTTGGTATCATTCTAGCTTTTTGAGGTAGGCAAACCACTTAAGCACTATAAACTTTCTTCTTAATACTGCTTTTTCTACATTCCAGAGATTTTGGTAAATTATGTCTCTGTTTTCATTTATTTTAAATAATTATTTGATTTCTGCTTTAATTTTGTTAACTCAAAAGTTATTAAGAAACAAGTTCTTTAGTTTCCATTTTATTGTGTGATTTTGAAGTATCTTCTTGATATTGCCTTCTATTTTTATTCTCCATGGTCCAAAAATATGCTTGGTGTTGTTTCTTCATTAAAAAAAGTTATTGAGACTTGCTTTATGGCCAAATATGTGATTGATCTTAGAGTATATGCCACGTGCAAATGAAAAGAATGTATCTTCTGTGGTTGTTGGGTGGAACATTTTGTCAATTTTTATTAGGTCCAATTGGTGAAGTGTTGAATTTAAGTCAGAATTTCCTTGTTAGTTTTCTGCCTCACTCATCTATTTTTCTAATTAGTATGATTCAGTTTTTTTTCTGACATTGCAGTTTTCTGCACCTATCACAACACTTCAAGAAGACTATTACAAGAATACTACAAATTTTACACAAAATATCATCAAAGTAGTGACACGTTGGAGAAAAATCATGATAAATATTCAACAAAACTAGAACATACATTTGTATATTCTTTCATTAATTGTATTAGTTTTTTCCTCTTTTTGTGCCCGTACTTATTAGAATCTTTTTCATAAAAAAGAAGTTTTCTTTCTTTATTTTTTTGAGACAGGATCTTGTTCTGCAACCCAGGCTGGTGTGCAGTAGTGTGATTATGGCTCATTGCAGCCTTGAATTCCTAGGCTGAAGCAAATCCTCCCACCTCAGCCTCCCAAGTATCTGGAACCACAAGTTTGTGCCACTAGACCCAACTAATTTTATTTTATTTTTGTAGAGTCAGGGTCTTGGTATATTGCCCAGGCTGGTCTTAAACTCCTGGGTTCAAGTGATCATCCCACCTTGGCCCCCCAAAGTGCTGGGATTATAGGTGTTAGCCACCACACACCGCAGCAATTTTTGACTAGAGCTGATTGCAAATGTTTGTAGAGAAGAATTGAGAATGGTAACACTGGATGACCAAAATTTGGTGTAGCTATGGTTAAGATTTGATGAAAGTTCCCAATAGACAAGGAAATTTTGTTATTTCTATTATTTGCAGCATTTTAAGATAACAACCAGAATCATTATGACAGTGTCATGTTAGAGACATCAGGCTTTCATAAATTTTATATCATCTTTAGAATATTCACATTAATAACATACCCCTACAAATATAACTTAAGATTTAATATAGTAATCAAAGTTATGACTGATAACAAATTAGCTTTTTGTAAATTTATATAAGTTTTGGAACATTTATGTCAATAATGTACCCATAATTGTAACAGAAAGATCTAGTATCAATTATCATTTGATAATACTTTACAAAGAATCTGCCAAATAAGTCTAATTATTTAATACAAAAAGACTTAATTTAGGATTTTCATCCTGGGGGAACATGACAAAGATGTCAAAAGTTTCAAAAAACTAGATCAAAATAAAACCATAGGTCACTGGAAAATAAAAGTTATTCACACAAGTAGAGTGGTAATCAAAATACTTCAAAAGAAATACAGAAATTTTTATGAATGTAAAATCCTTACCCCTTTTAAATTTCAGTTTTCCTAAGTAATATGAAACCTAATAAGAATAGTGCAGAAATTGTTTTAATAAAACATAAAATCTCTTCTTTTTAGACCAGCTACTGTAAAGGTAAACAAACAAATAAACAAAAATCCCCACAAAACCTCCTATAGTGTTGATTTAGTTTGGATGTGTGTCCCCTCCAAATCTCATGTTGAAATGTTACCTCTAGTGTTGGAGATGGCCTAGTAGGAGGTGTTTGGGCCATAGAGGCAGATACTTTATGAATGACTCATTGCCATCCCCATGGCAATGTGTGAGTTCTTGCTCTGGTAGTTCATGCGAGAGCTGGTTGTTTAAAGGAGCTTGACACCTCCTCCTCTCTCTTGCTCCCTCTCTTGCCATGTGACATGCCTGCTCCTCATTCACCTTCCACCATAAATGTAATTGTAATCTTCCTGAGGCCCTCACCAGAATCAGACGCTGGCACTGTTCTTCTTGTACAGTCTGCAGAACTGTGAGCCAAAATAAATGTCTTTATCATTTACCCAGTCTCAGGTATTTCTTTATAGCACTGCAAAATGGACTAACACAAATATGACTAATTCTCCTTATGGGAAGCCCATTTAGATATCCCGGAAGTCAAGCCTGATAAAAAGGGTAGTTGAGCTTAATCAGATGTAAGAACAGCGTGTTCAGGGTTATATGTGTACACGATAGTATAAAGGAATGTAAACAAGAAAACTCATACCTTGAGCACAGAAATACATGGCTCTCAGCAACAGCATGAGAATTCCCCTCTACTGAAGAAAAGCCAAGACTACAGAATCAAATTATTCTAGAGGAAAACACTGCATTCTAGACCTTCAAGATAAACATTTTAGTGTCCAGCCACAACATCAGAGGTAGAGTAGAAGAAAATAATTATGGGAGTTAATAAAAATATTGAAGAAGAGACTTATCCCAGGTAAGCAAACAGATTTACCTTTTAAGGGAATAAAGAACAGAAGGCAATGATATATAAACTGCAAATCACATTTAGTGAGAGAGAGCAGAATTTGAACTTCTGAGACATAAATTTGAGAAATTTCAAAAAGAAACAAAACCTCTTGTAATTTTATTAAGAACAAATAAATACTTTCAGAAAATCTTATTCTAACACAGGGGACCAATTTTTAGTTTTGTATTAGTGTATTTTTAATATCAAAGCTCCATATTTAGAGAGATAAATATTTGTGTTACAGCAAACTTAATCACACACAAACTTCCTTTAATAAACTCTCTTTTTCATTTTAGACCAATATCCTTGATGAATATTGATGCAAAAATCCTCAATAAAATACTGGCAAACCAAATCCAGCAGTACATCAAAAAGCTTATCCACCATGATCAAGTGGGCTTCATCCCTGGGATGCAAGGCTGGTTCAATATATGCAAATCAATAAATGTAATCCAGCATATAAACAGAACCAAAGACAAAAACCACATGATTATCTCAATAGATGCAGAAAAGGCCTTTGACAAAATTCAACAACGCTTCATGCTAAAAACTCTCAAGAAATTAGGTACTGATGGGACGTATCTCAAAATAATAAGAGCTATCTATGACAAACCCACAGCCAATATCATACTGAATGGGCAAAAACTGGAAGCATTCCCTTTGAAAACTGGCACAAGACAGGGATGCCCTCTCTCACCACTCCTATTCAACATAGTGTTGGAAGTTCTGGCCAGGGCAATTAGGCAGGAGAAGGAAATAAAGGGTATTCAATTAGGAAAAGAGGAAGTCAAGTTGTCCCTGTTTGCAGATGACATGATTATATATCTAGAAAACCCCATTGTCTCAGCCCAAAATCTCCTTAAGCTGATAAGCAACTTCAGCAAAGTCTCAGGATACAAAATCAATGTACAAAAATGACAAGCATTCTTATACACCAATAACAGACAAACAGAGAGCCAAATCATCAGTGAACTCCCATTCACAATTGCTTCAAAGAGAATAAAATACCTAGGAATCCAACTTACAAGGGACGTGAAGGACCTCTTCAAGGAGAACTACAAACCACTGCTCAGTGAAATAAAAGAGGATACAAAGAAATGGAAGAACATTCCATGTTCATGGGTAGGAAGAACCAATATTGTGAAAATGGCCATACTGCCCAAGGTAATTTATAGATTCAATGCCACCCCCATCAAGCTACCAATGACTTTCTTCACAGAATTGGAAAAAACTGCTTTAAAGTTCATATGGAACCAAAAAAGAGCCCGCATCACCAAGTCAATCCTAAGCCAAAAGAACAAAGCTGGAGGCATCACGCTACCTGACTTCAAACTATACTACAAGGCTACAGTAACCAAAACAGCATGGTACTGGTACCAAAACAGAGACATAGATCAATGGAACAGAACAGAGCCCTCAGAAATAACGCCGCATATCTACAACTATCTGATCTTTGACAAACCTGAGAAAAACAAGCAATGGGGAAAGGATTCCCTATTTAATAAATGGTGCTGGGAAAACTGGCTAGCCATATGTAGAAAGCTGAAACTGGATCCCTTCCTTACACATTATACAAAAATTAATTCAAGATGGATTAAAGACTTAAACGTTAGACCTAAAACCATAAAAACCCTAGAAGAAAACCTAGGCATTACCATTCAGGACATAGGCATGGGCAAGGACTTCATGTCTAAAACACCAAAAGCAATGGCAACAAAAGCCAAAATTGACAAATGGGATCTAATTAAACTAAAGAGCTTTTGCACAGCAAAAGAAACTACCATGAGAGTGAACAGGCAACCTACAAAATGGGAGAAAATTTTTGCAACCTACTCATCTGACAAAGGGCTAATATCCAGAATCTACAAAGAACTCAAACAAATTTACAAGAAAAAACAAACAACCCCATCAAAAAGTGGGCAAAGGACATGAACAGACACTTCTCAAAAGAAGACATTTATGCAGCCAAAAGACACATGAAAAAATGCTCATCATCGCTGGCCATCAGAGAAATGCAAATGAAAACCACAATGAGATACCATCTCACACCAGTTAGAATGGCAATCATTAAAAAGTCAGGAAACAACAGGTGCTGGAGAGGATGTGGAGAAATAGGAACACTTTTACACTGTTGGTGGGACTGTAAACTAGTTCAACCATTGTGGAAGTCAGTGTGGTGATTCCTCAGGGATCTAGAACTAGAAATACCATTTGACCCAGTCATCCCATTACTGGGTATATACCCAAAGGACTATAAATATGCTGCTATAAAGACACATGCACACGTATGTTTATTGCGGCACTATTCACAATAGCAAAGACTTGGAACCAACCCAAATGTCCAACAATGATAGACTGGATTAAGAAAATGTGGCACATATACACCACGGAATACTATGCAGCCATAAAAAAATGATGAGTTCATGTCCTTTGTAGGGACATAGATGAAACTGCAAATCATCATTCTCAGTAAACTATCGCAAGGACAAAAAACCAAACACCGCATATTCTCACTCATAGGTGGGAATTGAACAATGAGAACACATGGACACAGGAAGGGGAACATCAAACTCTGGGGACTGTTGTGGGGTGGGGGGAGGGGGGAGGGATAGCATTAGGAGATATACCTAATGCTAAATGAGGAGTTAATGGGTGCAGCACACCAGCATGGCACATGTATACATATGTAACTAACCTGCACATTGTGCACATGTACCCTAAAACTTAAAGTATAATAATAATAAAAAAAAGAATAAAGCTGAAAAAACACACCTTTCAGACAAACAAAACATTACTAGATAAAGATTTAAAAACCTAATAGCATTTACAACATAAAACGTCCAATAATAAATCTAACGAGATACACACCATCTCTACCCCCCCAAAAAACCCACAAAAATCTGTTTAGAAAAATAAAAGAAGACATAAATAAATGGGAGGATAAGCCATGTTCAAGAACTAGAAGACTCAACATAGTAATAATGTCATTTCTCTGCCAATGGATCAATTGTTTCTATGAAATCCCAATAGAAATCCTAGCAGGTTCCTTTGTAGATGCTAATAATCTGATTATATGGAAATGCAAGGACCACAAATAGCCATTGTTGTTGAAAAGAACAAAGTTGCAAGACAGACTACTCATTTAAGACTTATGTAGCTACAGTGATTAGGACAGGGTGATATCTATACAAGAATAGAGTACAACACCTGTGGAACAGACATGAGATTCCCAAACAGACCTGCATGTTTATGAAATGTTTGATTAATGACAAACCTGGGTAATAATTCATGTTAGGTTCCATGCCAATTGGATATCTATTTGGGAAAAATTTATTTTGAACCTTAACTCATAACCTGTATATATAACAAATCAACAAAATTTGCAGGAAATAAAAAAGGAGAGTATATCAACTGGAGCGGGACTTACCGTAGACGCAAAGAAGCATAATTGGGACACAGCCTGAGGAGAACATTGTTTGTTCCGGTGCTGAGCCCAGAGGCGATTAGGGTCCCCGTTTTGGGCTGAATTGTGTTTCCTTAGATTCACACACAGAAGCCCTATCCCCCAGTACCTCAGAATGTGACAGTCTCTGGAGGTGGGGCCTCTTGAGAGATAACTGGGTCAAAATGAAGATGTGGGAGGGGGCTCTACTCCAATGTGACTGTTGCCCTTATTAGAAGAGGACATTTGGACACACACAGAGACACCAGATGGAGGCACAGAGAAAAGAACATGTGGGAACACAGGGAGAAGGTGACCAGCTGCAAGCCAAGGAGAGAGGCCTTGGGAGAAACCAACCCTGCTGACACCTCGATCTTGGACTTGTAGCCTCTAGAACTCTGAGGAGGTAAGTTTCTGTTGTTCAAGCCCCGCCATCTGTGGGATTAAGCTATGGCAGACAGAGCAGACAAACACAGACTGGAGAGTTCCATGTCACAGAGAATGGCTGCAATAATATTAGCCTGGAAAAGGTTTTAGTGTTATCTAAGGGTCATTTCACTACCAATATTACGATCACATGTCCAACCCAGTTAAAAATATACCCCTCAATAACGGAAAAGCACACAAATGCCTGTACGTGATTGTTACGAACCCACCAGTGAAATGTAATTTGGACACAACCACCTCTGGGACCCACTTTACTCAGCCCCTGGTCTCCAGGTATATGGGTGGGGGGTCACAAGATTCAGGGGTTGGTCACCTCAGAGGCAGAATACCTCAGCTGGAAGATAAGAAACGATGGCAGATCCCTGGGCACCTCAAATCACACCATCTGAAGGTGTCATGGTGTGGCGGTTGACAGCAGGAACCTGGGAGTCAGCCAGACTGGGTTCAAATCCTGGTTCTGCCATCACTAACCGTCTGATGTGGGCAAGTTATTTAAAGTCTCTGTGCCTCAGTTTACATACTCATAACACAGGGATAATAATAACTGTGTCTGGTTCATAGAGTTGTCATGAGGATCACATAAGCTGACATTAGATAGCATTAGAACATGCCTGGCATGTGGTAAGCACTCCCATTGCTTTAAGAGAGGAAGCTTGCCAACACCATCAGCAGAGATCTGGGGTCAGCCCTCAGTTGGAGCCCCCACTGAGGCTAACTATGTATGACGCATGTAACTTTTGGATTATCTATCGCAAGATTATCTGGTTACTTCCGTTTGTACAGTGGACTGCCTGCAAATGGGTGCCACAACAAAGACCATGAGAAGACCACACCTCAAAATGGGGAGAAGTGGAGACATCAGCAGCACTGTTGGCTCAAAGCCGGGAGCTGCACTTGCAGCTCTGCCCTTGACCCTATGACCAGGGACTGACTTGGGTGAGCAGAACGAGGGTGTTCCCCGGAGGGCGATGCAGCATTGCAGCCTGTTAGACGGCCTCAGAGCGGTGCTGGCCCCATCCATCGAGCCACCTTGAGCAAGTGGCTGAGGCTGGTCTGAGCTGGTTCCCTCACACCCACTCCTTTGCCTGCTGGAGTCCTTGCATACACACTTGCTCCATCCACACACCCAACCCAGTGCGTGGGAGTCACCGAGAGACTCCTGCCCTCACCTGCAGCTTTCCTAGAACAGCTCCACTCAGCCATAGGTGGCTGTTTCCTGAAACCTTACATCTTGGGCCCTCAAAGCTGCAGGCCCCAGACAGGGCATTTGGAGCAGGCAGACCTGACACTCGCCTGGTGGAGAGAAAGCGGCGCTCTGGCAGGTGAGGCAGCCCACCTGTCCAGGCAGGGCACTGAAGGTGTCCGCAGGGCAGAGCCGGCAGTCTTCAGCTGCCCTGGCCCTGCTGCTGCTTCTGAAGGTCCCTGCTGGGCAGGGCCTTGGGCTGCGAGTCCCTGCAGGGCAGTAGTGGCCCACCGGGCAGGAATGGCCCTGGTAGCTCTCTGACCCTGGAGGAACACAGAGGGGAAATTCTGCCCCAGCCGAGGCAGGGACTGAGAGTGGACTGGGGGTGTCCAGGGTAGGGATATGCCTGCTGAGGGAGGGGGGAAACAATGCAGTAAATGGGGGAAGAATCTAGATTGTGGGGGCAGTAGAGGGCTCTGTGCCCTGTAACCCCTCACCCTCCCCGCCAGCCCCTTGGTCTCCCTCTCAGTCAGGTGCGGGGCGCTGGGCAGTGGCTTTCCTTCTCTCCAGAGTGCCTGGGCCACTGGCTCCGACACATCTGTGTGCATGCTGCTCTGCCCTGTGTCTAGAGGACTTTTAAACCTGACACGGAGGCAGCTGACACTCACCTGCTCTGTGTCTCCATCCTCCACATGTTCTTGGGTCTGTGTCTTGGGCTGCTCCAGGCCTCTTGGGCTGTCCCCAGGCTCTGAGGGGCCCTCCCTGCCTGCGCCTCCACCCGCCTCACTGATCTCCACTCTGGGTCACCTCCAGTCCCGGTCCCCCTGCTCCTGCCCAGGCCTCCCAGGGACTCACCCTGGGGGCAGCTGAATCCAGGCGGGCAGGGCTGTAAGGGTAGAGCATCCAGGGCCCGGCTGCGGTAGGTGCCCGCTTCACAGAGGCGGCAGGCAGCATATCTCCTCAGAGACCCTGAGGCTGGTCCCATTCAGGGCTTCGGAGCCCCCAGGGCAGGCACGAGGTTGGGCACTGCCCGGGGGGCAGTAATGGGGAAAGACACAGCTGCAGAGACAGAGCCCGGCTGGTTCATGCTGCCGGAACCTGTGTGTGCGGTGGGTTCTCTCGCTAGCGGGGGCCGACTTTCCCTGGCCTGGGGCCTCAGCTGCTAGCGGACGGGGACTCTGCTACTGTCCCAGTCAGGGGTCCTGGGGTTGCCTTGTGTCTGGTGGGGCCACGGCACCAAGCTGCCTTTCTGGTGGTGGATGAGCCATGCCCAGTTAACCAGGCCGGCACTGCCTGCCCATTCCACCCTGGGCAGAGGGGTGTTGTGGAGTGGATCTGATGTCAGGGTGTTAGTCCCAGACACGGGATGGGGCTTACCAGATGAAATACTCCATGCCCAGTCCTATTCAAATTTCAAATAAACAATGAGAATGATTTTAGTAGAAGTGCACCCCCAATATTGCATGGGCCATACTTACAGTAAAAATGCATTGTCCTTTACCGGCAATTCAAATGTAACTAGGCGTGCTGTATTTTTGTGAGCTCCATCTGGCTGCCCCACCAGGATGAGCCTGCACTCTGATGGGGCATCCCAGGGCAATGTGCTTCCTCACCCCACCTTCCCTGGGGCAGAGGCAGGGGCTGGCCCTAGCTGGGAAGCCCAGGCAGAGGGTCACCAGGGCTTGCTTTTGGGCCCTGCCCTTTGGCTGGATTTCTGAGGCACACATGCTTGTCATGGTGGGGCCTCACATAGGGTGCTGACAGCAGTTCCAGGGCTGGGGTTGGGGCTCAGACCCTTGGGGGGGTAGGGGGAAGGAACTCACCGCTGCCCCAGGCCACTGTAGGTGGAGGAGCTGACAGGGCAGGCATAGCCCCCCGGGGCAGAGTGGGGGCAGCCCCGTCTGAGGCCCACAGTAGGAGCCGGGCCTACAAGGGACCTCAGCCACAGCACCTGAAGAGACAGGGCCAGGGATGCGGGAGAACAGGCCACAATGTGGGCATGGTTTGGAGGACACCCCAAGTCCCTTCTTCACCCATCAATGGCACTTGGAAGCCAGGAGAGGTCCAGAGCCGGAGGAGAACTCAGGAGGGTCCCCAGGCTCCCCAGGTGAGGCCTGGGCAGGGAGGACAGCAGTAGGGTGAGGCCTCTGAGGTGGTGGGGAACAGTGTGGAAACCAGGAAGGAGTGCGGAGCTTGCAGGTGAAGGGAGATCTCGTGTGGTCAGGGAGGGTGACTCGTGCGGGTGGTGGTGTCATGAACCGAGATCAATGGCAGGAAGTTCCCGTGTCTTTGTGCAGCCAGCCGCCGCGGTGGGGAAGGAGGATGCATTTCATGAGGTGGAGGTGGGAGCTCTGATGAGGACGCACAGGGCAGTGGCACTGAGGCCACAGCTCACCTGAGGGCAGCCAACAGGAGGGTGCTTTTGGTTGTGCCTTGAGGTGTGGCAGGTACTGGACACTTTGTAGGGGGCATGCTATTTCTAGTTAAACCTCTGGCCGGCCTCCTCCTTGACCCAGATGGGGAGGAAGAGGTGACTTGAAGGCACCTTGGTCTGGGGACATCCAGGTGGTGTGGATGCCACCAGAGACTGGGTGTGCCTTGTGGGGGCTGGTCAGGTGTGGCTGTGCCACATCTGTGGCCTGAGCTCAATCAGGGCTTTCTGCAGAGCTCAGGCATGAGCCTCAGGGATGAGGGAAGGGATGGGAAGGGGCTGGGGTCATCCTGCAGCCTCACCTGCTGGGCACTCAGATCCAGCTGGGCAGGGGATGGCAAACACATTTGCATGACCCTGAAGCTCAGGGTCTGGGCAGTGGTAGCCAGGAGGGCAGAGCTCACAGTCTTCCTGTGCTGATGCCCCTGGCTCTGACCTAAAGGTGCCAGGTGGGCAGAAAAAGGCACCCTGGTCACCTAGACACCAGTGGCCCGGAGGACATGGGTGGTCTTCAAAGGAAGAGAGACCTGGGGGCAAAAGCATCAGGCTAAGAAGGGTTGCCTGAGGGGCTCCTGACAGCCTCTTCCCTCTCCTCCCCAAGGCCCCCACATCCAGCCTGCAGACAGGCTCTTACCTGGCCATGGGCAGTGGTACCCAGCAGGGCAGGGGAGGCACTCCGCCTGACTATGGCCTCCATCTGTTGCCAGGTAGGTATGCTCAGGGCAGGCCTGGGGAGCTCCCGAGTGGGTCTCACTTCCTCCAGGGCAGTAGTGGCCAGAGGGGCAGGCCTGGGTGGCCGGGGTGCCTGCAGAGCAAGGGCTGCCCTCACTTTTCTCCCCAGATGTGGGGCTGGAAGGTTCCAATCTCACAGGTCCTTGGCTGGGGTGATCCCTCAGCCAAGGTGATCCCTCAGCCATCCCCACCAAACAACTCAAGCCACAGCAAATGCCCAAAATGTACTTTAACCACAACCACAACCCTCTGCAAGCCTTCTTGCCTCAGGCCTGACTCTAGCGGGGCACCTCTCCTCTGGCTTCCTCCCACCTGCTCAGGGGCACAGGTGCAAGCCGGAGGAATCAGATCTGTCTGCAGTCCTGGGACAGGAGGGCGAGTTGGGCTGAGAGCGGAGCCCAAGGATACAGTCACGGCAGAAGGATCCCAGGGGGCAGGGAGCCCCTGTCACCCTGTCCTTTGGAGAAGGGGATGATGCACCTTCTGCACAGAAGTAGCCAGGCTGGCAGGGCCCGCTGGGGGTGGAGAGGCCTGGAGGTGGAGGGGAACTGGGTTAAATGCTGAGTAGACTCACTATAAAAGACGTTGGCCTTTGGAGCCAACTGGGATCCCTGTGGGCATCAGTCCTCGGAGGACTCGGGGTGTGACTAGAGTACTCAGCTAGAACTGAGAGTTATACTAGTGGTCATGCCTTTGCTGGGCCTGCATTGAGCCTGTGTTGAGCCTCTGCTGAGTCTGTGCTGAGTCTTTGCTGAGCCCTGTGCTGAGCCTGTGCCGAGTCTGTGCTGAGTATATGCTGAGCCTGGTCTGAGTCCTTGTCCTGAGCTTGCATTGAGCGTGTGCTGATCCTGTGCTGGTTGTGTCCTGAGCCTGGGCTGAGCCTCTGCTGAGTCTGTGCTAAGCCCTGTGCTGGGCCTGTGCTGAGCGTAGGCTGAGTTGTGCTGAGCCCTGAGGCTGAGTTGTGCTGAGCCCTGAGGCTGAGGCTGTGCTGAGCCCTGAGGCTGAGTTGTGCTGAGCCCTGAGGCTGAGGCTGTGCTGAGCATAGGCTGAGTTGTGCTGAGCGTAGGCTGAGTTGTGCTGAGCCCTGAGGCTGAGTTGTGCTGAGCCCTGAGGCTGAGTTGTGCTGAGCGTAGGCTGAGTTGTGCTGAGCCCTGAGGCTGAGTTGTGCTGAGCGTAGGCTGAGTTGTGCTGAGCCCTGAGGCTGAGGCTGAGCTGAGTCTGTGCTAAGCCCTGTGCTGAGACCTGAGACTGAGTTTGGGCTGAGTCTGTGCTGCACCTTTGTGGAGCCTGTACTGATCCCGGGCTGAGCCTGTGCTGAGCCTGAGCTAAGTGTGCCATCTGCTCCTGCCCAACCCTGTGACATGGGTACTACTCTCATTCACAAAGAGCCTCAGGTCATCATCAGTAAGGTGCAGAGCTGACATTAGAGTACAAGTTTAGCCAACACAGCCTAAGGTCTTGACCTCAGGGGCTGTAGAGCTGAGAGCCTCCCAAGGCAGAAGGAGCCTGGTGCATGCCTGGGTGCTCGGTGCCCAGCAGGGTTGTCCACAGCAGGTGCTTGGGAAGTGCAGGCAATCAGACATGGGGAGTACAGAGAGGGATCAGGGAGGTGCCACTGAGCCCCTCCCTGGGCATAGAGACCTGCTGGCCTGGCCACTCCTCCCTACCTTGCTGTTCTGTGGTGGCTGGCCTGCGTTCACCCAGAGTGACAGCAACAGTGACAGTTTATGAAGCACAGTCCTGCCAGGAAGCATGCCAGGCACAGCCCCCTGAGGTAGGCAGGCAGTGCTTCTCATTGGACAGGGAAAGATGGCGGTTACATGTTCACCCTCACATTGGTTCTCCCACCAGCCACAGCCTAGGCCACAGCACGATAGGTCCTTACCAGAGGTGCCACAGAAAGAGCCTGGTGGGCAGGGCATGGGCTCTGGGCTGCCCTCTGGACAGTAGGAGCCAGCAGGGCACTTTTCCCCTGTGGCTGTGGCTGGGCACAGGCAATTGGTGCTGGTGTAGTTGTCCAGGTTGAAGGGGCGGGCGGTCCATGCCACAGACACACAGAACCATCCTGGGGTAGAAACCAGTGGGGAGGGGTGGGTGGTGGGCCAAGGAGTCCAAGGCCAGGCTTACCAGGCTGCAGGCCCACCCATCCCTCCCAGTAGCTGCTCCAGGAGATAGTCTGGATGACCCCAGGTCCAGGGGCAGAAATGGGAAGTGCAGAGATGGACAGGGGGCTTCTTAGGGCAAGGCAGGAGACTCACCTGCCGCACAAGGCCCAGAGGCCCGGGTCAGGTTCTCCTACCCGCAGCAGTGGCCTGGGGGACAGGGCAGGCAGCTGTCCAGGCTCTGGGTCAGTGGGTCTGGGTCGTAGTAGCTCCGAGGGCAGGGGAACTGGGTGGCGTACTTCGTGCCTGAGAAGCAAAGTTCAGAGGAGGGGAGCCCAGCTTGCTGGTTCCTGAAGGCGCCCTCTGCTCCAGGGCCTGGGGCAGGGGAGGCTCAATGTGGCCAGCTGCTCCCTGTACCCCTCCTCCTGCAGGGCTGGTCCTTGGCAGACTCCCCACCTCAACCCCACAACTCACTCACTCCTGGCCTTCCAGGCCGGAGAGTTCAGCCCCTGGGCTGGGTGGCCCTAGACCCAGGCTCCACAAAGCCACAGCATGTGCACTACTCCCCTTCCTGGTGCTCAACTTCACTGAAAGGCACGGGACCCAAACTTTCTACGTTTTGCTAAAGTAATTTCACATATTTGTTTTTTAGCCAACACGGATATGCTATGGAATACAATGTAAAACCTTCGGGCATTTTAAAACACAGCTGGAGACTTGGATGGAACTCATACTTGTCACCAGCTGCTTAGAGCTCATCCTTGGAGTGCCCTCATATCCCTGGCCTTCAGGACGGGTGGTGGGAAAGCCCGGAAGCAGAGGACACACCTATGCATGTGTCTGTTGCCACAGAGTTTGCATTGCTGTGAGCCCCCAAGTCCCCAGCTGAGCCTAGAGCGGCTGTACAACTCTGCCCAGCCTCGCCCCGGGAAGTTGTGGCCTAGGCGCTCACCTCGGGGCAGTAGAAGCCAGCGGGACAGGGGTGCCTGCTGTAGTTGGTGACGTTCTCGGGGCAGTAGTAGCCAGTGGGGCAAGGGAAGCAGGAGGCCTGGCCAGTCAGGTAGCTGTAGGAGCCGGCAGGGCAGGGCTGTGGGAGGCTGGTTCCCCTGGGGCAGAAGTGGCCTCGGGGACAGGGGCCCCCCTGCCCTGAGTGGCCTGAGGGGAGGAAGGAAGCTAAGTGAGGAGTGCACACCCCAGTCCCAGCAGAGAGTGCCAGAGCTGGGGGAGGCTTGTGCCCCGGCACCAGAACCAAATGTGGACTCCAGTTTAGGTCAGAGGTTTGTTTTTGAGAGGAGCCGTGCTTGTGACTGGCATTTGTACCACACCTTACAGATCAAAAAGCATGTGTTTTACACAAATGTCACATTATTCGGGCCTCAGAAAAATCCCTGTTTGGTAGGTGGACAAGAGCAATGATTGGTTTTTACTGAGGATGAAGTCCTAAGACGTTAGCGGGCGAGCCAGGATCTCCCTGGACTCTGCCTTGGCTCAGAGCTGGTTTTCCAGACATCCCTCCCAGTGCTCTTTCTAGGACACACCATGATTGTGCACTTTTCAGTAAAACAGGCTGACAGACCAGGGCTTTCCCACTGAGTTGTACTAAGCCAGGCCAGCTGCTTCTGTTTTGGTCTTTTGTCCAGGTTCAGCAGCCTGAACGGGGGCTTGGCTCTGGCTCTCCAGTCCTCATCCATGATGCCCCAGAACTCAACCTTCCATCTGAGAGCTGAACTCGCTCCTCCAATGTTCTCTGAATAATGGAAGTGTCAGAGCAGAGGGATTCAAGGGTCCTGGCCAAGGATCAGCTGCCCTATCTGCCTTCACATGTTCCTGAGGACCCAGAGACTCCAGGCTGCCCCCTGACCACTGGAGATGGCTGCAAAGGGGGCGTCCTCTGGAAGATGGTCAGCAGCCTCTAGAGGAAGCAGACATCCTGGACGCTGACCTCCAGGGCCTAATGCTCTGCCCCCTCTCCTGACCTGCACCTCGAGGGGGATGTGTAGAGGGTCTGCTCTGGGAGTCTTGGCTGTGGCCCCCACCTACCCAAGAAAGCCAATGCCCACGATCAGCTCAGCTTCTGGGTGGCCCATGGGGCACCATTCGGTGTCCACTGACTGCAACCCCCTCCCCCCAACACCCGTCCTCTCTGTCCACCTCCCGGCAAACCTGTGGTGGATTCAGCAGGTCTGAGTGAGACAGAGGTGGGCTGGGAGGCCGCAGGTGTGACCGTAAATGGGCAGGGCAGCCAGACCACAGCACGCCTCAGCCATCTGACTCCAGCCCCTCTTACATACGTCCCCTCCATCCTCAAACCACCCACAGCCCATCGGTGCCAAACCATGAGAGCCCCCACCTCAGGGCGTTGGGTGGTACAGGGCTCACCCGCTCCCAGGGGGCTCCACACCTGTCGGGGTTGGGGAGGAGGCTCCTGCCAGACAGAAGTAGCCGGGGGAGCAGGGGCCAGAGGGCGCAGCCAGGCCAGAGGCACCACAGAAATGGCCAGGGGGACAGGACAGGCCCTCAGAGACCATGGAGAGAAACATTCTGGGGAGACAGAAAGAAACCCAGGAGATGAGCCAGGGAGGGGAGCAGGCGGGAGGAAGGGGCTGTGGGACCAGGCCTCTCTGAAAGTGTGGACCCAGGCGCACCCTGGCAGGGACCACCTTTCCGCGATTTCCTTTTCATCTCTCCTCTCTCAGGCTCCCTGTGACTCCTGCCTACACTGGCTCCAGGTAGCATTTCCGGCAGGTGCCTGAGGGAAAGTGTGGCAGGGCTCTTCTCTCTGTCTCTCTTTCCCCTCTGAGATATGCACCTGGTTATAATTCTTCTCTGTCTTAATCCCAATTCAAGCTCAGGCCGTCCAGGGCCACAGACCTCTGTGATCTGGCAGCTACAATCAGAACATCTAACAGTGCCCCACACTACCCCCCGCCCTCCCCTGAGCCATCAGCTCCACGACTGGCCCTTGCTTTGGGCTGTCTTCTCTTGGGAGCTGGGAGGGTCCTAAAGATGAGGAGATGGGTCTGGTCTCAAAAGAGATATCGGCAGACACAAATTCTTAATGGCTTTGCTTTCTTGAGTATGACGTGTTCTCAAGCCCCTCAAAGCCCGCATGGCCTGCCCTCGATCTGGCCCCTCCAACCGACACTCCCCAAGGCTTTCTGCCCTCGCAGCCCAGGTGGAAGTCCGGCTCTCCAAGCCTCACACTCTCCCATGGCTGGGGGATGTTGTTGGTCAGCTGTTAAGTGGAAAGGAGGACCGAGAGGAGGTCTGGGCTCAGCCCCTGGGACCAGGGCAGTGGCACTCATACTCACTAACCTGAGAAGGTGCCCATAGGGCAGGGCAGGGCCACCCCTGTGCCCACTGGACAGAAGTGACCTAGAGGGCAGGGCCCTCCCGCAGTCACATGGATGCCTTTATTGGGATGAGTGACCTCAGCTCTTGCCCAGAGAATCAGAAGTGGCTGAGATTGCAGAGCAGCCCTCCCTGGCCCCCAGTCAGGCTCTCGACCACCCCCAGCTCACACACCCCTGCAGTGGGACATTTCCCAGAATAAGGGAGCAGAGCTCGCGAGCTGGAGTGACAGTGCCCTCCACTGCCAGGGTGGCTCTCAAGCCCAGGGACGGCAGTGGGCCCTGAGATGCGGCCCCTTCTGAATTAATTCTTGGCTATCTGTGCCAGACCCTGCTTAGGAGCCCAAAGCTGGGGAGAAAGCATGGGGGTTCCAGGACTTGCCCATCCTGTGGAAAGGTGGGTGTGGTGCCTTCAGCCCCACTCTTGGTGTGGAGGGCACTGCAAGGCACTGAAGAGTTGGGGCTCCAGACCCCACTCAGGGAGCCTCCAGATGAGTGTTCTAGAAACCTGCTTCCACTCCAGCTAAGCTTGTTTTCATTTACATATTCATTATGTCATCACTTATGGTTTGCTCAAACCCTTTCTGAATGAGATGGACCTAATTTAATAAAAATTACACTGACAAGTACTCTAAGGAGAAGGGGCCCTTATATTTCTATGGGAAGAGAAAAGAAACAGTAATGTGTGACTGTCCCTAAAGCCAACGGCTTTGTGTGAAGACATGTCTTATATGGGAGGGTGGGGACACCCGTGGAAGACGACACCTCACCCTCCCCACACAGGTGGCCAAAGGTGCAAAAAGAAGGTGGAGGAGCTCAGGTGAAAGCACTGGTGGCCTCACAGCATGCATGAAAGTTATCTCCACAACCACCAGCCCTCAGGTGACTCGGTAGGGGGAGAGGTCACCTCACCTCATGAGCTGTCTCAGGGAGAGGGAGGGTGGGGCTGGGGTTCAGGCCAGGGGTGGTTTTATTAGCCTCTCCACCCTGAGGTGTCCCTGGACCCTGTCCTGGAGCCACTGCCTGTGAAGCCAAAGTGCCACTTGGCTTGCTGGGTGGATGTTAATCCCACAACATAGTCCTCAGAGCCCTGCCTGTGGGCTGGGGGCCACCAAGGTCATGCTGGGACTATGCCAGGGTTGAAGGCTGGGCCTGCCACTCAAGGGCCTCGGGGAACACAGGTCCAGGCTGCCTCTTGTGGCTGCAAGGACATGTGGGAAGTCCTGCTCCTAAAGCTCCTCCAGCCCAGCACCCTCCAATTGACCTTTTTATGATCCTCCTTCTTTAGCTCAGCCCTTAACTTCTCCAGGAAAGCTGTCCTGATGCTGCTCTCATCTTTTGGGCAGCGTGGAAGCCTTGGCCAGGCACCAGCAGAGATGGGACATTTCCTGCATGTCAGAGACCCTGCAGAGACTGGATCCTACCTTTCTCTGTTATGCCCTCCGTCCCTGCCGCTCGCCTGCCCTGCGGGAGGGGCCATCGTGGCGGTGGGGTCCACGTCCAGCCCTGCCTCTCCTCAGGCTTATTCTGCTCTGCAGCCTCCTCCAGGACAGGTGTTTCTTTACTGCCCTTCCTGTGCTCAGTCTTATTTAATGCTCATCTCAGCTCTCATCTGAGGGGAGAACTCAGGATTCCCGAGTTAAGGGATTTCCCACAGTCAGGAAGTGGGTTCTGACTCCGCCCAAAGGCCCTGCCCTCTACCACCTCGCATCACAGACCTCTGGGCCCTGGGACAGCAAAAGAGGTTTTCCAGGAGCTGAGTCCCTTGGGCCCCACCGCACAGCCTTGCCCCCCCTCCTCACCTGCAGGACATGGCGGGCAGCTGTGGGCCTGGCTTCGGTCCTCCCAGGGACTGGACACGCCTGGAGGACAGGGCCTAGGGAGGTGGCTAGTGCCCTGGGGGCAGTAATGACCTGGGGAGCAGGTCCTCCCCTGGTGGGTCTCTCAGCCTGGAAAAAGGTGACCTCAGTCATCCCAAGGCCTCGCCCGTCCAGTGTGTAGGTGTCCTGCTGTGCTTTCTGAGCAGGCCGAGTACCTGTGCCGTAGCTGTGCTCCCCGTCTTGCCGAGGTGTGGCCGCCAGGGAGCCCTCGAAGTGTCCCCACAGCCCACCAAGGGGTGTCGGGGTCTGCGCCCCTCCTGGGCAGTGGAAACCTGGAGGAGGGAAGCACCAGGCCGGCCTGCTCTCTGGAGAGGCCTGGCTCCCGCCTTCCCATGCACGAGGCTCCGGCTGTACCCGTGACTGCTGTGGTGGGATCGGGCTCTGGAGGTGCCCCAGTAAGCTCATAACGTAGGACCCTCTCAAATCCACATCTTCAAATCTGTGTCTCCCACATGGCCGAGTGAAGGTGGCAGTGTGGGCAGCAGCATAGTGGAGGACGGTGCCCGCCTCTCGTCTGTCTGGACCCAAACTTCGCCCCTCACTAAACCCATGGATAGCCTGCTGTGCATGGGGACCCCAAGCGCAGAGGCTCTTGAGGAACCTTCAGCCCATTTCTCAGAGGCTGGTCCAAGTGTTGTCCCAGGGACAGATGGGCAGTGCTCTCTGGAGAGGTGGCAGGCCTCCCTGGGCCAAGCAGAAAGAACCCTCCCCTCACCCTCCAGGACACTTCCCCCATCCCCTTCGCCTCCCGCAACACCCGGGCCTCAAGCTGGGAGGATGTGAGCAGCTTGGGAGCAGCTGGATGCTGCCGTCTGAGACCCCGCCCCACCATGTTCAGTATCCGCCTCTGCCCAGTCTCCAGCCTGCCTCCTCCTCATTCACACAAGCCTGGCCACACCGCCCAGGCACACCTGCCCTGGGCTCTCTCCAGCGTGCCTCTCCCCCAGGCACTGAGGCTCCCAGGGTGGCAGGTCCCAGCCGTGCTCTGCTTCATGCTCAGAGGGATGTAGGAGTCCTTACCTGGTGCATACGGGCCCCCAGGGGCAGCCTGGCCTGTGGTGGCACAGAAGAGCCCAGGTGGGCGAGGCAGGCACCAGCTTATGTCCTGTGCCCCTCTCTCTGCATTCCAGGTGCCAGCCGGGCAGAGCCACTGCCTGGGGTCCTTGGTGCCAGCAGGGCAGAAATGACCCGGGGGACAGAGGTCACCAAAGGGGAGTCCCTTCTAGAGGAAGAGGGGTCTGTTGAGGTTTACAAGCTGAGAGCAAGTGGGTTCTCTCCACTGGCTTCCCTCCTCTTCCTCCCTGAGCCCCTCTCTAGGGAAGCCTGCCCAGCTCAGCCCAGCCACACCTGTTCTGCACCGCCAGGAACCCTCTGGGAAACACTCAGGAATTTAACTTCAGAAAAAGAAAGTAAATTTTGATTGTTAAGTTGTTAAATAACCTAACCAATTCCAACTCTCTGCTAATATCACCAACACACAGCTTTAATTGTGATGAGGTGCAACTATCATCTATCAATTAATCAATCTATATTTATCATTTCTCAAATAATCAATCAATTATCTATCATCTATCAATCATCTATGCATCAAACGATGTACTTACAACAATTATTAATGCTTACCTAGTATCCCTCTAGGTTGATAAGCTATATCTCTGTCTAGATTTTTTTTTATTATTGGGCCTTTATGGTGTTTTGTTGTTGCTTTGAACGTTTTTTCACAAATGACTTTTTTCCCGTTTCAGATTCTTTCCCACATTGGAATTACTGGATCAATTCCAATAATTCCAAGCTGCCCTAGGCTCTCGTTAGGTATTGCAAGACTGCAGCAGCCCCTGGGCCCAGGCTGCAGCGGAGAGCATGAGAGCATGGACTCTCCCACACGGACGTCTTATGAGGCCTTCAGCACTTGCTTTACTATCAGTAGTTAGTAGATGCGTCGGGTACTGAAGTGGCATTGCTTCATGTGCCCTTAATGTCAGCCCACTGAGCCTTTTCCTGGCTGAAGACATATTTGTATTTGGTGCCTTTTGCAGTGGGTACTGGATGCTAGCCTCTTGGGCCCTTCCTCACTGGTTACATGTTTTCACGGGCCATGTATAATGGCTGCAGTTCTACCCGCTCTGCAGTGATTTCATTCTATCTTCTCAGGGCTACTCTGCCCCTCACGGGGCAGGCAGGTGCTGGGCCTTTGCCCTGTGGTGTCCCTGACCCCCGCCCTGGGAAGGCCCGATAGGGCCTGCACTCACCAGGGACGAGGTGTTGGAGCCAGGCCCGCAGTGATGCCCAGGGTGGCACAGGCCCTGGGGCTCGGCCAGGCCAGCTTTGCCACAGAATGCCCCCAGGTGGCATGGCTGGCAGTATTCCACACGGGCGGCCCCAGGGGCCTTTCGGAAAGTGCCCTGGGCAGATAGAGGGATGTCACCAGGGTCAAGGTTCTGGAAGCCACAGTGGGGCCAGGGAGGAAGCAGAGCAGGGCCCTCCACCCTCTCTCCTTGGGCACACAGAACCAGGGAGAAGACAATCTGTCCTCACCAAGGACAGAGCCCTCAGGACCCATCCACTAGTGTGTGGGATTGAGGTTTCCATAGATTGAAGTCTGGCTGCAAAACAGAGGGGAGGCTGCCCCCACGGGGAGTACCACCTGCACCTAACTCCCCAGCTCCCTCCCCCCTCCCTCCTCCTCCCCACCTCCTGCTCCCTGGGCCTGGGTTACTCCATCCCTCGTGACCTTCTGGTCTGGCACCGTAGGGAAACTAGCCGTGGGAATGTGAGCAGCCCAGCCCTTATCTGAGTGGTGGGGGAGGCAGGGGCTGGGTATGGCCATGTCATGCTGAAGGGACGTTGTCCCTCTCAACCACCAGTATGGGGCCAATGGCTCCAGAGCCTTCCCATGCCGAACCAGAAACACCAGCTGGGGATCCCAGGGGAGAGGCTCACCATGGGGCAGGGGATGGATAGCAGGCCCTGGGCTGGGCAGTAGTGCCCAGGGCGACACGTAATGGCCCAGGGCCAAGCAGCTTTGTCTGGTTGCAGAGTTTTCCTCCTGAGCACTCCTGGCACCAGAGATGACCTGGACCCTGGAAAGGGGTGTGGACAATAAGGTCGAGGTTCCATCCACACCTGGAATGCATAGGTGGGCCTGGTGCACGACAGGTACTGAGGAAAGGTATGTGGGGCTGCTGCTGGCCAGGCCTGGCTCAGTGCGTACCTCCCCTATGAGGAAGGCGGATGCCACAGAACCAGGGAGCTCTCCAAGCACATGGCTGCAGGATTGGCAATGCCCGGAGGAGGAGGGCCCAGGCTGGAGGCTCCTTCTGTCTTCTCAGGGCTACTGATCCTCCGGGAGGCCTCTGCATGAGTCAGGAGAGGCCAATGTGGCCCTGCAGGGCTGCACTCATGAGTGGTCTGGGCAGGGCCGTCACGATGGCTGCACAGTGGGCCATACTGTGGGTTCTGGGTCACCCACCCTGCCACCTCCCCATGCCTGCCAGCGCTCTCGAGGTGTCCACATAGAGGCCTGGGCTCACTGGGAAGACTCAGGGCAGAAGGTTGGGGGCTGCCATGCCAGGTGAGTATTGGTGCTGGAGCCCTGCTGGGTTTGCCTCCCAGCTGTGCCATCTGCAGACCCCTCCTCATCTTGAAGGGGAAAGCTATGCTGGGGGTGTGGGTATCCCTGAGCTGACACAGTGAGTGCTGTGTAGATGGTAGAGCTCCAGGTAACTGCAAGGGGGGATGATGGTGCTTCCTGAGAAGGAGGGAAAGATTGTGTCTGAAACACAATTTGCTGTAGATGGTAGAGCTCCAGGTAACTGTAAGGGGCGATGACAGTGCTTCCTGAGAAGGAGGGGAAGATTTTGTGTCCGAAACACAATTTGGGCTCTTTGGGCTGCAGTGACTGGCCACAGTTGCCCTGTGTGGAAAGCTGCGAGATACTGAATAAACTGCACATTCTTTGACTGCACAACTCCCCAGGGCCACCTGTGGCTTCCCTAAGCTTGACATCATTTCTTGGAATAATCACCAAGCTTCACTGAAGAAGCCTGCAAAGATGGCATTAGCAGAGCAGTGAGGGACTCGTGCAATGGCACCCCCTTCCTGACACTTGAGTGCACATGGCAGGCAGTGGGGAGGAGGGTGCCGATAGCTCCTCTGGGTCTGGAAGGCCAATGTCATGCAATGTCCCAGGCTCCTGCTCATTGCTTACCTGGGTGGTGGGGGAAGAGGAGGTAAAATGGAAGTGTGCTGCCTTCATCACCCATAGCTCCCTGTAGAGGGAACTAAATGCAGACACCTACCCCAGTGGGCTCAGGGCAATGACTCTGTTCCCCCATCTCCCTCCCTCTGCTTCTTCCCCTTCCCCTTCCCCAATAGGCGCCAGGCTGGCCCATGGAGCAAGGGCCCAGGCCTGCCCCCTCTGCCCTAGAAGAAGCACCTGGAGGCCTGCCCAGCTCCCAAGCCCACATTGGAGCAAAGGATTCTCCCTGCAGTTGCGTGTTTCCCTTGCCTGAGCGGAGCTCTGGGGAGTCACCATCGGGGCAGGCTGGGGCAGGCACCTCCCAATTTTAGGATCCCCCACTCTTCAGAGCCCTCTGAGGATGGAGTCTGTTCTGGGAACACTTACAGAGAAGCTGCCAGTGCTGCATGGTCGTGGCGTGGTGGTGCCTCTCTCAGGGCAGTGGTGACTGGCAGGGCGAGGCACACAGGCCACAGCCAGCTTGGCTGCTGGACCTTGGCAGTACGTTCCTCTAGAGGGGGTGGAGAGAGCTAAAGGTGGATGCCCACGGCCTTCCTGGGGAAGAGTCCCCACCCATGAAGTCGCCATTTCTCCAAGGCCAGATCCCTCCACTGTCCCCCAGCTTCCCCTCAGAGTGTAAGGGCAGAACTCCCAGCCCGCCTGAGCCTTAGGAGGCCCTGTAGGGGAGGCTGAGGGTGTGGCCTCAGCTGGAGAAGGCAGGGCAGGAGATTTAAAAACCAGGCTAATTGTGCTTCTTTCTAAAGTTGTCTGTGAGATGCACCGGGGCCCCTCTTAGGATCCTGCTACCCCTGACCCTCCCAGCATGGAAATAAAGACAAATCTTGAGTTCCTTCAAGGGAAAGTCCAGCACCTCACTAGCCCTGAGGAGTAAATGAGCAGCCCGATAAGCAAGAAGGTAACTGCAGCTTTGAACAGTGGCCAAGGAAGTCAGAGCCACGAGAGGCTTGGTTTTCTCTGGAAGCTAAAGATGCCATCTTAGCATATGTCCCTGATTGCTTTTCAGAAACCAGGACCCCCAGCAAATGGACCCACTGGCAGGCAGACCTCAGATAAGGGGGGAGTGAGGACTGAACTCTGACTGCCTCAGTGCTTTGTTCTAAATTTCTGCCTGGGGGCTCCTGGCACGCCCGCAGGCCAGACCTTAACATCCCTTTCTGCTGACCCTAAGAGTTTAGACACAGCTTCAATTCCTTAACCAAACGGGGAATCTTTGACTCCACCTATGACGCGGAAGTGCCTGCTTCAAGACAGACTGCCCTTTTAGGCCAATGTGTAACCTTCATGTCTTGATTTACAATTTTGCCTGTATAAGGGTAAATTTCTCTCCTGAAATTTACCCCTGCCTCTATAAACCCTTGCTTGTAAGCTGCCAGGGAGGTTGGCTCATTTTTTTTTTTTTTTTTTTTTGAGACGGAGTTTCACTTTTGTTGCCCAGGCTTAGATTTTCCACATTCTCTCAAGTTTTATAAATATCTATTTATGCTTTGTGATTTTGTGATTTTGGCTTTTTAAAATTGAAATCTGCATTTGATCTGAAATTTGTTTTGATCAATGTCATTTCCACTTTTTACATGAAGAATGTGTATTGCTTGTTTTTAGTAAGACAAACCCTAAGTTTTCTTTTTGACCAGAGGAATAAAAGGCACATTTTAATAAAACAGTAAAATCCACAGATAATCCCACAGCTTGGGCCAAATGATCTCTGCTGAGATCTCTGCAGCAATTAGCTTTAGGAGGGGTTTGGCCTTTAGAGTGGGCAGCTCTGAAACAGCTTCTTTTTTCAGGATGGTGGGCTGGTACGCGGCTGCTTCAGCAGGGATACCTTCACATCCCTCCTTGGACTCTGCTCATCTTTTAAATAAATTTTTTATAATTTTAGAGATGAGTTCTTGCTCTGTAGCCCAGGCTGGGGTACCATGGCATGATCATAGCTCACTGCATCCTGGAACTTTTGGGCTCAAGCGATCTTCCCGTCTCAGCTTCCTGAGTAGCTGGGACTACAGGCTACCATGCCTGGCTAATTCTTATATTTTTTTAGAGACGGGGTTTCACCATGTTGCCCAGGCTGGTCTCAAACTCCTGGCCCCAAGTAATCTTCCTGCCTCAGCACACACTCCTCGCTCATGGTCAATCCAGGCCAGTTACTCCAGTCAGTACAGATACAAGCCATCATGCCCGGCACTCTGCCCATCTTTTGAGGCTGAATCGAGTCACCACAAGCTGATGGCTTCTCCACTGACTGTAACCCAGAGTGATTCTCTCTTGTTCAACTTCCTGGCTGTAGGGGTGCCCCTGACCTGGGGCACCTATAGCCCTGGGTCCAGCTCATCCTGTTCCTGTGTGTCCTGTTTCAACAAGGTGGCCAGGTCCTGAGGGCAGGCTGGGCCCTCCTCTCCCTTGGTACCAGTGTCCAGTGCTGGGCTCCAGCAGGCACACAATGAACGTGGCGATTTGGCCTCAATAACAACCACACATGCGGCCTCCTTACCGTTGGCAGAGCTCCGGCTCAGGGACCCCACTGGGGCGGAAGGCCCCGGGGGGTAGGGCAGACAGTCCTCGAGCTGGCCGTTGCCTGCCTGGGAGCTGCAGGTGCCTGCTGGGCAGGGGAACTGTGTCCTCCACTTCGCCCCTGTTTCAGAGAGAAGAGGGGTTCAGAGGAAGAAAGAGGGGTCGGACCTGTGTCATCACTGGCACACCAGCTCCTCACCTGCTGCCTGGAGACAGTTCCCAGGGGAGGCCACTGGGGATGGGGCAGGGGGAGGGGGTGTCACTCTCCAGGACACAGTCTTTAGGAAGCTGTGCTTTGGGCTGAGACACCTGGGAACCCCCATTTAGGAGGCTCTGAGGCTTATCAATCCCTTCCAGCCCCCAGCCTGCTGGTGGCTTCTGTCCCCACAGCCTCCCCGAGTTTCCTGCTCCTCCCAGCCCTCCTCTCAGGAAGGTGGTCCTGAAATGGAAGCTTCCCCTCTCCCGTTGCACACCAGGCTTCTCCTGCTGCATCTGCTCCAGAGGAGGTGCACAGGCCAGCCCATGGCACCCTCTCCTGGCACTTGCCTGCAACCTTGCCAGGGCAGAGTCTGGCCCCACTCACCTCATGGGCAGTAATGCCCGGCCCTGCATGTCCCTGAGGGCACCTGAGCTCCACTGACACAGAACCAGCCCCTGGGGCAGGGCATACACTCCTCGCTCATGGTCAATCCAGTCTGGTTACTCCAGATGCCGGGAGGACACTGGAACTGGGTTGGCTTTTTGGTGCCGGGAGGGCAATAATGGCCAGCTGAGCAGGGGATGGGGGGCCAGTCTGGGCCCCCGGTTCCTGCAAACACAGTACTGAACTAGACCTGAAGGGCTGCTGCCCCTCTCCAGCCACAACCCCTGGCAGGCGTCAGAGACACGGGCTGGGGCCTTGCCTCGGGGCAGGGGGTATCTGGATTAACAACCTCCAAGGCCACCGTACCCGAGGCAGCAGGGTCGGGACTCAGGCTGCTTTTAATTGCCCAATCCTTTGGGCTCCCCATGGAGGGGTGGGCAATGCTCTTTGTGAGGAACAAAGGGGCTATGGGTCAGGGTCTATTGTCCTGGTCTCCCTGTCCCGGGGTGGAACTGGTTTTTCACCCAAAGGCAGGGTCCTGAGGTGGTGAGGCCACTGTCCCCCTCCTCACTTACCCCCAGGACAGGCTAGTCCCTCGGGGCAGACCTCACACTGCGATGGGTGGGAGAGGTCATTGCGGTTGCTAAAGGTCCCAGGAGGGCAGGCATGGGAGGGAGCGTGGGGACTGGAGGAGCCTGAAGGGCACACGTACCTACAGCAGCAGGGGAGTTGGCACCTGGTGCCCACCACGCAGAGCCCGGCATCTTGGAGAGTCATGGCCAGATCCCGCCGTGCCCCTGGCCTGCTCTGTGAGTCTGCATGGTAACCTGGCCTCTCTGAGCTACTTTCTCCATGGACAAAGCCAGGAAGACAGCTCCCTAGACGCCTCCTGAGCATGGATGGACCTGAGACAGTGCTGGGCCTCGGTGCTCGGGGGCAAGTCCTGGAGCCCTGGGCTGGCTGAGACAGAGCTTTGATCTGAAGGCGCAGCCCTCTCCGAACCCTGAGAGGGTCAGAGGCTGGGAGAAGTCTGGCCTTGACCTGGGACTGATTCTCTAAGGGTGTTAGGGGGATGGCTCTGGCCCCCATCGGGACACTCATCATTGAGAAATGGCGGGCACTTACCCCGGTGAGCACGCTGCGTCGGGGTGTGTCAGCCCAGCCTGGGTACAGGCCCTGCCTGCTGGGCAAGGGGTGCAGTCTGTGGCTTCATCCTGGCCTAAGCGGGGGCCAAATGTACCCGGCTGGCATGGGATGGGGCGGGTGGCTCTGTTGGGGCAGAAGTGTCCCACAGGGCACCGAAGACACAGGCTGAGAACTGGGGAGACAGCAGTTTTCTCTCTCAAGGGAAGCAGTGACAAGAAAAGCAACCAAAGCTCTACAGGCCTTGGCCACACCTGACCCTCCCATGGGCCTGGGAGTGCAGGAGCTGCCACCATCCCTGGTTACCAGGAAAGGGGTATCACTGCCTCTAGTGTAAAGATGAGGCTCAGAGAGGTGAAGCACCTTGCTGATATCACACAGCCTGTGCATAGCAGATCTGGGCCATCCCTGGCCTGGCATTTTCTAGGCCCAGTCTTTTGTCCGCTCCCAAGAAAGGCCTCCTATGTACCTACTGACACTCTCACTTTTTACTTTAAAACTTCTCATTTCTTTTTCTCCTGTCCTCAGCACTGGTGATTCCCAGTCCCGTCAACCCTCTGTCTTTACTGGCAGCTCTGGGTTGAACAATCCAGGCTGCCTTGGAACTTTCTATACAGGTCCTGATTTCCCCAGCTGAACCCAGAGAACATGGAGTTCCCAGAGCTGGAGCCTGATGAGGCCTGGCTGCACCCCGGGTGTGGCTTTCCTGGGGCTCACACGTTGACTGGTACCTGGACTCGCTGCCCGGGCTGCTGTCAGTCCCTTAACATCAGCTTCTGTTAGCGTTTGATAAGCACCAATCAGCAAGGTCAGAGTCAAGGCCACTCTTCCTGTCTTGCAAGCAGAAGGCAGAATCCAGAACTGACCTGCTGAGCAGAAGCTGGTGTCCTGGTGGGGCACCTCTCTCCTGTCCTTGAAGTTTCCGGCATGGCGTGGCACAAAGGCAGCACCATATGGGTGGAAGTAGCCTGTGAGGGGGGCCTCATGGGGTGGGTCCCACCAGGGCTTGGGGTCCTCATCCCCTGGGGAGTCTGCTGGCTGTGGAGGGTGAGCTGGAAGCCTGGCACCTGGAGTGGCTTCTGGGGGGTCTGCACCATGCAGGGTGAGGCTGGGTCCCACCCCGGGCCCATGTGCCATCACTGCCAGGGAGCAGGGTAGAGCAGCACAGGCTCTACTCTCTGCTTCTGCACAGTGCTGCTTCCTCTGTGGGGAGCGCTCCCAGCCTGGAAGAAGCCTCCTGGGCTCCTCCCTGAGCAGACAGACTCTCAGGGGTGCCTCATCTGAGCCTCAAGGGCCCTGTCTCCACCTGATTCAATACTTCCCAGGTCGCAGCTTTAGGGAAGCTCTGGCGTCTGCCTCTCCCCTGGATGGGGAGCACCTGGACCCTCAGCGCTGCCCCAGGGCCTGGCACATGAGACAGAAGTGGGGGTGCACAGAGGGCCGGAAGGATGCTGGGACCCCTGTCAGCTCTGCTTCTCTTCCCCTTCTGCCCCTTCAGCCCCTCCTTGTCACTGCAGTGTAACCTGTGGTCCCCTGCAAGACCACCAGACACTTAGCTGAGGCCCCCACTTCTTATTGACAGGCAAAGCAGCACCAGGGCCTGTTCTTTCCCATGGAGCAGCTCTGTAGCCCATGCCCCCTCCTCTCCAGGGGCCCCCTCCCAGCCCTGGCACCTGGCCTGTCCCCAACACACACCAGAGTGGGTGGGCAAAGGGAAAGCCGAGGGCCTCAAGGTGGGGGCGGTAATGCCTTGCAGAAGTGGAGGTGAGTTGATGAGAGAACCTTGATCACATGGTGTCTGAGCCGCTTCCCTCCTGCCCTCCTGTGCTGGGCTCCCCTCCGTGCCTTCGCCGCTGCTGCCCTGTGGCCAGAGCACTGGGAATGAATGACACATTTCATTTCCACCCTGAACAAAACTGAGGAGGTAAATCTTTTGCCTTTGTGGGGGTGTTGGGGGGGAACCTACACAGTCTTAAAGTTAACAATAATGAAAATAACGAATGTTTTGAGATGCCCTTCCCCTCCCCCACCCTTCCTAATCCTCAGGATCTGGAAGGATTTTCTCCATGGCTCACATCCTCAGAGCTAGTGATTTCCAGCCACATCGTTCCTCTGTCTTGGCTAAAACTCTAAGTTGAATAATCCAGGCTGCCTTTAAACTTGTACGGGTCCTGATTTTCCTAGCTGAGCCCAGAGAACATGGAATTCCTAGGGCTGGGGCCTGCCAGACCCTGGCTGCACCCCTGAGTGTGACTTTCCTGGCATTCAGCAGCACTGCTGATGGTCAGCAGGGGTGCCTGGAAGCCCAGCTCCTGGGCTCCTCTCTTCCAGCCACCCCTCTGAGCCTGGGGAGCCCTGGTTATTAGAACCCGGCAGTCTCAGGTGTCCGCATTTTCTCCATAACATCGCCTCCCACAGGCTTCAGTGTCCCCCATGGTCCTTGTCACTGCACACCCAGCTCTGCACAGCAATGCTGTCGTCTGTGCACCTCTGGGTGGGCTGGGATGCCCAAAATCCTCCCTGAGAAGGTGCTTACTTCACATCCACGGTGGCTGGTGAGGCGACCACTCATCTTTCCTGCCTGTCATCTGTGGGTTGGGAATGAAGACTGACCCAACCTGGCCTCTCCCCAGCTTGCTGCTGTCTGGGTTACCTGCACCCACTTCTAAGAACACAGGCAACGGTGGGGCCGTGGAACACTCAGGAGCTGGAGAGGTGGGAAGAACAGGGGCTGCATGTGTTGGGGGCTGCAGGGTCGGCCAAGGGGCTCCTTACCTATGAGAAATGACAAAGCTCTTGTCTCCGAGGTGAGGTGCTCCATGCCTGTTATTTTCTTTAGACGCAGAGGTCCAGCCCCAACTGGGAGCTCTGCATTTAAATTGGTAGCTACTAACCAGTCTGGCTCTAACTGCAGTAGCTACCATTTACTGAGTGTTGACTTTGAGCTTTCTATGTAGGACTTCACCTAATAGAAGCATTCAGGCACTGTTATGATCAATTCCACTTTAGAGATAAGGAAAGGGAGGCCTGAGGAGAGTTAAATACCTTCCAAACTCACACAGTTTGCCATAAGGAAAGTCTTGATAAATTTCAAGAGATTGAAATATTAGAGAGTATGTTTTCTGATCATAATAGAGTTCAGTTAGAAATCAAAGACACCCAGAAAAGCCCCAAACACTTAGAAATTAAACAACACACACCAAAACAATCCATTAGACAAAAAATCACAGGGAAATTAGAAGCATTTTAACTCAAAGGGTAATAATAGAAACACACCATCATAAAGTGTGTGGGATATAACTAAAGCAGTGCATAGATTCAGATTTACAGGATTCAATGTCTAATCAGAAAACAAAGAAGATGTAAAATCAGCTATCTACTTTCACCTTGGGAAGCTGAAAAGAGGAGAGCAAATGTAAATCAGGATTAATAAAACAGAAAAATCAATAAGGACAATCAATAAAACCAAAAGCTAGTTCTTTGAAAAGATAAATAACATTGATAAAGCCCTAACTAGACTAATAAAGAGAAAAAGAGAAAAAAATGTACCAATATCAGGTATGAAAAAGAGCTCTCACTGCAGATGACACACTGAAAGGGCAGTAAACATGTGGCCTGAACCACTCTCTGACAATCAACCTTATACCTAACAGAAAATGAACAGATTCCTTGAAAGACACAAATTCCCAAACTGTTGCAAGAAGAAATAGAAAATCTGAATAGCCTTAAACGTGTCAAAGACATTTAATTCGTAAAGATCTTTCCACCAAGAAATCTCTAAGCCCTATGGCTTTACTAAGCTCTATACAATACTCAAGAGAGAACTCATACCAGACAGACATGAACTCCTCCAGAAAAAGAGAAGAGCAGGGACTACTTTGCAAGTAATTTCCTGGGAAAATTAGTTGAGCCAGTGTTGCTTTGATACCAAAGAGACTAGAAAAAACTACAGAACAATGTCTCTCATACACATAAGATTAAAAGAAACTTACAAAAATGTTAGCAAATCAAATTCAATGATATGTAAAAATGATAACATCATAACCACATGAAGTCCAGGAATGCAAGATTGGTTTAACATCCAAAAAACAATGATACTCACCATCTTATCAGAGCAAAGGAGAGAAAATCCATATGCTTACCCCTATAGGTTCAGGAAAACACAGGACAAAATTAAATATCTATCCCTGATAAAACTCAGCAAGAAATAGAAGAGAATGTCCTCAACCTGATTAAAGGCACCCGTAAACTACAGCTAACAGCAACGTTGTGATTAGAGACTGAATGCTTTTTCCCTAAGATCAGGAAGAAGCCAAGGATGTTCATTTCTATTCAAAACAGTAGTGGAGTCCCTAGACAGTATAATAAGGCAAGGAAAAGTAACAAAATGTGAATGGATTGAAAAAGTAGAAGTTGGTCAGGCGTGGTGGCTCACGCCTGTAATCCCAAGACTTTGGGAGGCTGAGGTGGGCAAATCACCTGAGGTCAGGAGTTCGGGACCAGCCTGACTACATGGAGAAGCCCCATCTCTACTAAAAATACAAAATTAGCCAAACATGGTGGCAAATGCCTGTAATCCCAGCTACTCAGGAAGCTGAGGCAGGAGAATCGCTTGAACTTGGGAAGCAGAGGTTGCGGTGCGGTGAGCTGGGATTGCACCATTGCACTCTAGCCTGGGCGACAAGAGTGAAACTCCGTCTCAAAAAAAAAAAAAAAAAAAAAAAGGGAAAAGTAGAATTTAAATCATCTTTATTCACAGATAACATGATTACCGGCAGAGAAGACCCTTAAAAATCTACACAAAAACTACCATAACAAATAAATGAAGTAAGCAAGGTTGAGGGATACAAGGTCAATACACACAAATCACTACCAGCAATGAACAACTGGAAATGGAAATAAAAAATACAGTTCCACTTACAACATCATCCAGAAACATGAACTACTTGGGGATAAATTTAACAGGACCTGTACACTGAGAACTGCAACAGTCTGCCAAGATTACACCCTAGCCAGGAGCAGAACAGGACTCCAGCCATCCTCCAATGCCCCGTTCCCCAACACTCTGCATACTTCTTTCTTCTGCATCATCTCATTTCATTTGTGCCACTTCCTGTGTTGATAGTTCTTTGTGTGTTTGGGCCCAGGGCTAGCTGGGCTCTACCCCTCAGAGGCCACCTGGGCTCCTGGGGTATGGACAGGCTAGTCCAAACACAGGAGACCCAAGGACCCTCCCAGCTCACTCCAGGGTCTGGTGCCTCCCGAATGTCATTGGGGAAGCCCAGTCACACCTACCTGAGGGGCAGGGCTGGCAGCTGGGGCTTCTGCCTGTGAAGTAGTGCAGAGAGCACAAAATGCAGCTGGAGCACTGTGGGCCTGGCTCCTGTTCAGGTGGGCACTGCTGAGGGACAACAGGGCCCGGGGTGAGAAGGCAGCGGGATGGTGACTGATACCCAAACCTGCACATAGCTGAGTCAGGGCCTCAGCTTAGGTGTTCACTCTGCCGAGACTCTTTGTGGATCCCCCAAGCTCTCTGTCCCTCCAACTTCCTCTGAAAAAGAAAATTCCCTGCACATGGAAGTGAGCAGGAATTAGTCCACGTGGTCTGTGGAGCTTTGGGGCTAAGGAAAGGCTCTCACCTTCTCCTCCAACTCTCTGTGGCTCTGCAGTCCCAACAGTTGCAGCTGTTCTAGGACACCGCAGGGGCATAGCCAGCTCCCAGGGGGCCTGCCTCGTCCTCCTCTGCACCTGTACTGCACACACGGGGCACCTGGCAACACATGGCATGTGTGGGAATGGCTGGGTCACGAGGCGGCTGCCACGAGTGTGCATATCACTGTGCACCCCACATCTCCATGGCTTCTCTCCTGAGTGTTGTGTGGGCATGGTCGCTCTGAGCCTCTTCACACTTCCCTGTGCATCTTCCCATTCCATCCCCACAGCAGCCCTGGAGGTGGGTTAAGCTCATTTCCAGGTTAGGCAAGTCCCGCGGTACAAGGTCAGAATGGGCAGGAGGTGTTGACTGCTCCCCAAGGACAGCATGGACACCTCATGCATACCTCATAAATGAGGCATGGAGAATGAGGCTTAGTTCTGATCCCCAGAGATTTAGCCTCTTCTGGGGACTTCCCCATAACCTCCTTGCTTCTCTCCCCAGCAAAGAATGGTTGAGACAGAGCTGCCCTCCCACTGGGGTCACCTGGCAGTCCTCGCTGTCTGTGAGTTCTGGGAGCCGACTGCAGGTGCTGTTGGGGCCCAGCCACAAAGCCATCACTCCATTCCAGCAGCTGCAGAGACCAGAGAAAACAAAGTGGCTGAGGAGAAGCCTTGTGTGCCGAGGAGGTGCCCAGCCAGGGCAGCAAAGATGGCATGGAGGCCCGTCACATAAACCGGCATGTACAGTTGCCTGCCCCACTGCCTGGCTGAATGTTTGCCTGTCCCAACTGGATGGGCTGAGATGGAGAAAGAAGGGTGTCCCCAACTGGATGACTCAGAGCTGGTGTCAATGCCGAAAGGCCTGAGGACAGGGTCTTTCCACACAGACCTTGGGGTGTCAGTGCAGGCTCCAGACCAGTGTGATCAATCTGGACTCACCATGGGGGCCCAGGTGGAGGGGTCGGAGCAGTGGGGTCATGGGCAGAGGGATGAACTCCTTCATCTGGTCCAAGGGTGGAGGCCACAGCAGCAGGAACTGCTGATGGTGAGTGGGGAGAGAATGTCCTTTGGAAGCGGCACCTCTGACCGCCAGCCCCACTTCCCAGGTGAGGAGTCGCCCAGGTCACAGGACAGGTGAGAGGCAGAGCCAGGCCACAGCTCACTTCTGGCATAGCACCCACCCTCCATCAAGGTCAAAAGTCTCAGGGGCTATATCCTGGGGTGGGCCCTGGTGGCTCTGGGCACCAGACTCCTGGCACGCATCTCCAGGCAGTGTTCATCCCCCTGGGAGCCCTTTGCACTCAGGTCCATTGTGGAACGAACCTGCCTAGGCAGTGTTGCCCTTCCCTCCCTCCCCTCCTATCTTCCTGGAACACCGGGATGTCTGCTCCTTACTAAAAGCCCAGGGGGCACTGCAGGTTGCTCCCAGCCATGGAGTGCTGGCCTGCCAGGCAGACAACAAGGCACAGGCAGTGGCTGTCAGCTCCACCTTGGGGGAAGGGGATAGCCGTTCCTGCAAAGAGTGAAGAGCCTGTATGAGAGCCCTGCTTCCCGTTCATCTCTGCAGAAGGCCCCTCTGAGCTGGCCATCTCCATTGGTGTGACTTCAGCCCAACACTGCAATTCGTGACAGCTGTAACAGCAAGCCTGCGCTGAGGACACGGGACGTGGTGGCTGGTGCCGAGGTCGGCTGCTCAGGACACAGCTGGCATGAATTGCAGGGAGAGAAAAGCAGAGAGGTCATGTAACACAGGCCACAGGCTGGCTGTGAGGCCCAGGAGCCTGGTAACCTAAGCTGGGAGGAAGCCACAGGGGCTCAGTTATCATCATCACCTCCTAGAGTTTCCAGGAGCTCAGGGCGCCTTGCAATCAACATCATAGAATAGTGGAGCTGACATTTCATCTCCTGGCACAGAAACACTCTCATTTACACCTGGGGAGGCTGAGACCCAAAGCAGTTGAGTGACCTCACAAAGCTACCCTGAAGCCCTGGAGGGAGGGCTGGCCTGGGTGCGGGTGCAGTGCATCCAAGCCCCTGTCTGTGCCCTTGGCAAGTCAGGAAGCTTGGTGTGGGCTCCTGCCTCATCCTCAGCCACTCACGCAAACCAAACCTGTGCTGGGCACGAAGGCAGCTTGTGGCCTCCTTCGGGACTGAAGACCAAGCGAGGGCTGACTGAGCTTTATCTTGAAACTGCTCAGCAAATCCTTCTGGAGGCCTTGAGAGGCTCCAGGTTCCAGTGGGGAAGCCGCAGGCTTTGGGGACAGACAGACAGATCTGGCTGAAATCCCAGCTCTACCACCCACTTGCAGTGTGACCTTGGGCAAGTTAGCAACTTCTCTCAGACTGATTTATCACTTGCAAAATTGGGACACGATACCTACCTCTGAATTATAGGCAATAAGTGGAAAATACTATATATACACACACACACACACACACACACACACACACACACACACACACACATAAATCATATGCATTCCTTTGACAAAGCAAAATCCTAGTACTTGTGTCATGTGAAGCCCAGCCTTGCTCCCTCCCAAGGAAAGGAGACAGACAATTCACAGAGAAAAGCTAACATCCATTAGGGCATCAGGAACCTCTTGAGGCTGCATGGGATTCAGGGGCTCCAGAAAAGGTTCAGAGTGGGTGGAGGGAGGGCGCCATCCCTGAGAGCCCCGGAAGGGAGGAAAGCTGTGTGGGAAATGCCTCCCTTGGGTCAGGGATGAGAGCTGAAGCCTGAAGACGAGGAACAGAGGGTGGGTCAGAGAAACCCAGAAAGGGGAGGCTGGTGAGCATGTGCCCCCTCCCGCCCCATCCTCAGGCACCTCCCCAGCAGCAGTGAAGGCTATGTCTTGGTTTCCTACCTGGACCTGATCCTTACTGGAGGCATGCCCTCAGCCAAGCAATTTACCTCTCTCAGCCTTGCGTCCTCACTGCATAGAGCTGATGAGGCTGACAGAGAAGGCAGGTGTAGGCTCTAGGCCCTGTGCAGGGTGTTACTGTGTTGTCTCGCTGTTGACTCACCTGCAGTGGCGGCAACCAGGAGAGGGACCAGGCCCACCCAGAGCCCAGGCTGTGACATGCTACAGTGGTGGCCAGGAAGGGCCGGGCCAGTGGATGGGCCAGATCCTGGGCCTGTCTGGGCTGGAGCAGGTGACCTGTGCTGCTGTAATCTGACCCAGGATTCTCCCAGGGCCCCAGGGAAATGTGACCTCCCTGAGAGCATCAGAAGAGAGAGGGGAGACGTGTTCTGTGTTCTGCTCTCCTGCCCTGTCCTTCCAGAAGAGCCAGACTGCCAGGCTCCAGTCCCCTGGGAACTTGCCGGCTATGGGGTCTGGGAAATAACTTACTGTTTTGCTGTCTCAATTTCCTTGCCTGGCAAGCAGCGGTGCTGGGACAGCCCACCTGCTAGACTGTGGGAGGGCTAAAGGAGGAGTCCTCTGAGTGGGGCCCGCCTGCACAGGCACACTCAGCATCATTACTCATTCACCTTTCAATGCCCTGGGCATTTATTGGGCACCTGCTGTTTGCCTGCAGAATAGAGGGGCTGTGAGGGGGAGGCAGAGATGCCAAAGTCTGACTCATGTCCCTAAGGGCTTGACTTAAAGGTCCCGGACTAGCCCCCAGGAAGCAATGATGAACACCTGTATCCCGGCCAAGTTACCTGTCAGAACCTCAAAGCCAGGGGCGGTTTCAGGCCCGTTTCTGAAACTCAGACCTGACCTGATACTCAGACCTCTCCCAGATTCCAAGGGAGGGCAGCTAGGGCTGCAGGCGAGCAATTATGTGGCCCCACTGTGGGCCAGGCCCTGTTCTTGGCCTCTTCCCACGTGCAACCCTGCCTAGCGGTGTCCTCTTTGTGAATGCAGGGAGAACAGTGACCTGCATGAGGTGCCCCTGCGAGCCAGTGGTGGAAGCTGGTCTGTGTGGGGTTGAGTTGAGCCCATGCTGACTCAACACACTTCCAGTGGTGGGGTGAAGACTATGGTTCAATGCTCACTGTGGCCCGCTCCCCAGGGACCTTCCGGACTCGAATGTAGAGGCCCCTGCATTTGCCCAGAGATGGCCGCTCTGAGACACAGGGACACTGGTGGCTGGACCTCAGCTGTGGGACTCTCCCTCATCCCATGGCCAACCATAACACTGCCCCTCTGCTCCTCACCCACTAAGGACCATCTCAGAGTTCTGCTTAAGGGTCTACCACGTTGTTTTAATTCTCCACTTGCACTCAGTCCCACCATTATTCATCTTATTTGTTTGTTTACAGATTGTCCGTCTTTCTCCACTGGACTCCAAGCCCAGGAGGGAAGGGACCGGGTTGGTCTGTCCTCTGTGGCCCCAGTGCCTAGCATGGTGCCTGGCATATGGTAGGAACCTAGTGAGTTCTCAGGGAAGGGGTGAGAGATGCCCCAGCACAACAACTCTGTTAGCCGCAGAAGTTTATTTTTCAGGTTGATATAGACTCCTCGTAAACAAAGCAGATCTGAGTGGAGCAGCTCTGTTTGGCTTGAAGGCATGTGGGGGCCCAGGGACCCCTGCTGTGCTGAACTTCCTCCATAAGCAGCCCCTGCAAGTCCCATTCACAGCCCCCAGGGTTCAAAGAACACAGTTTGAGGAACCACTGGTCTGGGACAAGCTCCTCATTTTCCAGTGGATAAATAGAGGCAGAGAGGTAAGGTCATGTGCTCCAGGTCACGCAGTGAGAGACATGCTGAGAAGAGTACAGGGTCCCCTATTCTTGCTGTCACCCACGTGGGTGTTTAATCAGCTGTCAGGCCCAGGACCCTCTTTGGACTGGCCATCCCAACACCTGCCCCGGTCTCCCGGCTCTCAGATGGAGGCCGGAAGTGAGCCCCAGACCTAGCCTCCCCGCTGGAATGCACTCCAAAAGGCATCCTGGTAAAGAACGAAGGGGCAGGAGAAATACCGTCTCTGTGCTGTGCATCCCACAAAGGCCTGGCCTCTGCCTTGCCAATCAGCATGGCCCCATCTGCTGCACTGCATCAAGTAAGTTTACCATCCCAAAAAGAACCCAGGTGTATCTATTTTTATCTACTTGGTAAAAAAATTCCTGGGAATTCATGTAATTGTTCTTAATAATAGATAAGAATTGCCAATTAAAACTCAATTTGTAGTGTGGAAAGGGAGGCTGGGAGCCAAGTCTGCCTGGCTAAGGCAGGTCTGTGGAGCAGGGGGCTCACCAACACAAGGCCTCAAGAGAAGAAGACCCGGCCAAGTTACCTGTCAGAACCTCAAAGCCAAGGGCAGTTTCAGGCCCATTTATAAAACTCAGACCTGACCTGATACTCAGACCTCTCCCAGATTCCAAGGGAGGGCAGCTAGGGCTGCAGGCGGCTGTCTGGCTGCATTTCCTACTTCCCTTTTAATCACTCCTAGGTGCGGCTTCCGTGTTAGCACTGATAAAATCTGGTTCCCACTCCACACATAAAGCAAAAACTGGTGAGCTTATGGCAGATGTCCAGTGGATGGATGGCTTTTTGTTAAGGCAACTGCTCCAACAAATTAAGGATGTCTGAATCTAATGGGCTTGGGAAGCAGGAACTGTTTTTTGTTTTTGTTTTTGTTTTTTTAGCTTTTGATGTGTGAGCCCTGACTTCAGAAGGGGACAGTGAGAATCAGGGAAGGACCCTGGCCATTTCAAGTCATACGGTCATTGTGGTGGTGATGATGTTGGATGATGGTGATGATATTGGTGATGGTGATTGGTGATGATGACATGATGGTGATGATGAAGATAATGGTGATGGTGGTGGTGGTGGTGATGATGGTGTTGATGATCATGTTGCTGATATGATGGTGATGGTGATGAAGGTGATAACAGCAATGATGATAATGGTGATGGTCATGACGATGTTGTAGGACTTTTTCCTTAGTTCAGCTAAGAGCCAGGCTGTTGTCACAAGGTCATGAGAGATTAGGCTTGCAGACACTTTGAAGAGTGAGAAAAAAGGAGCTTATTGGACAAAAAGGGGAAAAATGGGAAACAGAGACCCTCCACGAAGCTGGAGTCCCTGCTGGTGCGCTTCCTGCCTTGCAGATCGAATCCCAGTTTCCACCCAGGAAGAGGAGGGGCCAGGCTCCTCCCCGCTGCAAACAGTGCGAACTTCTGTAACTCCACCCCAGTGTGCAGGCAGGTTGGAGTTTCTCTGCGGACCCCTTCCCACCTGGCTGTCTCAATGACAATCATTTCTTGGGGGCTTGCTTTCTTCCAGACATCATATGAACATTACTTCCTCTGCTCCATCAATCATTCTGTGAAGTGTCTGTTATTATGAACTCCATGTTATGGATGAAGAGATTGCATCATTTCCCTAAATCACTTTTCTATTGTGAGGCCAAGATGTAACCAAATTCAGGCCTGTCTGTCTTTAAAGCCTGTGATTTTAAACACACGGACGAGATTATTATCCTTGGATATACATTTGAATCCCCTTGGAAACTTCTTAAAAATCCAGATATCCAACCCCACGAATCCCCACTAGTTAAGCACGTCAGCGCTGTGCCCCATCACCTTATCCATACCTTCAAGGTCCCTGTTCCTTCTGAACTGGTTCCAGCTTTGGTTTCAGGAATTTGCAGTATCCTGGGGCAGTTGCTGCTGTGCCAAACAGAATGCGAAACTTCTCTTCCCACAGAGAAGAGGTTATCTCAAAAAATAAAAAACAAAACAAAACAAAACATAGCTTTGCAAAATCAGCAGAAATAAATCTGAAATTAGTATACCCATTAAACCCATCTTTCTTCTGTGTCCTTACCGTCACTAACTGCCGCCAGGAAATGAGTTGATTTGAAGATAAACCCACCCTCCAGCTTGATTTCTGCACAGAGCCACAATTCTGGTCAGAAGAGGTGACATTTCACCGATTCAGTATTGTCTCACCCTTTCTGAGGTCTTGCATAGGTTACACACTAGGGTGAATTAGCAGCCCTCATCATGAACGTCTGGAAGCCCTCTTCTTTGGAAAACAATAGTTGTGGTTCTCATCTGCACACTGACAAACCAGATAAACTGTTGTGGTTTATATGAAGCGTGATCTGTATCTGCATTCTAAGTGTTGAAAATTACTCTAAAGAGGGCAAATTTGTGGTCTGGGATGCTTTCAGATTCTGCTATTTTGAATATTCTTTCAAAATTTAAAAACCATTATCCGATTCAGCAAAAAAGTTGCTCATGTTATGGATGGATGAGTAAAGTTGTGACATATGTATGCATTGTTTTTCTTTAAAGGAAAATATCAACTATCATTTATATTGGAACTATTCTTATTTGTCAATTGTACCCATAGGTTGGCTACAGAAACAATAATTTGTCAAGAATTAACAAAAGCGTTCTTTGAGAATCAAATGGCAATATGGAATTTACAACTAAGAGTATTGTCTACTTTATTATTATTTGTAAGTAGTGTGGCATACATTCCTCATATCAAAAATGTTTTACAATGAATGTATGCATATATATGTATATACAATTGTTTTTGGAGAGCTGGTTGTTACACATACACCAGCACATCACTGTGTGAATCTCAAATGAGTTTCAACAGGCCCCTTAATCTTTGAGATCAATAATGGAGGATCAACTGAGCTATCTCAAGGTGCTCTGTGAACAAAAGTGTGGAGGAAGGAAAATGACACTGGTTTGGTAAAGGCACCTAAAATGGAGCAGGAAGGCCATTTCAGCTGAGCCACAGGCACGCCTTAAGGGAAGAATGCATGACGGCCAGAACTCCAGCTGCCTGCCTTCTGCTGAGCTAGGAGGTCCCTGACTACAGACCGCCTTTTTCACTGACAAGCAATACCCTGACTTCCGAGACTGCTCTAGAGATGATCACACCAACTGGAATGGCTGAAAAACAACTTTTGTAATTGAGCCCTCTCCTGATTTGTCATATATTTTTTTGTTTCCAAAGCCTCAGCCTCTCTTTTGTTCTCTGGAACACTTCCCAAGTTAACTTGGAAGTATTTCCCAGGCGATAGCATTTAAATTTGGCTCAAATGAATTATTCATTGTATAAGCCCTGCCTCAGTTTTTTTCCAGGCTACAGTGTGATGCTGGACTGGCACACGTAAGGTGCTGCCGTCAAGACGGTGCCTCATGATGAGGTTTCTCTTCAAATAATCTGATCAATCTTTTATTCTTTAATTCATAGTACCCCTCCCCCAACCTTTTTTCCTTTTTGCCTTTGTTAGATGCCCAGGCACGCCACAGTACCAGGCGTTATCAGTACCAGCTCACATTCCTTTCCTTATTTGGAAAGAGGACTAACTTTCTAGTTCATTACAGACACCCCTTCCCCTTCCTCTCCACTTTCTTTTATGTGCCCATCTTATCTAAAAAAAATTCAAATGTTTAGCCAACTGGGATTAGTTTAGATTGTATGACCGGACCCTGGCCAGTGGGGAAAGGGTACAGGGGCAGGACTTGCATCAGGAATAAAGGCTCTCGTGCCCTTTGTTCAGGTGTGCTGCCATGGCAACTGGCCAAGGAGGCACCCCTCTGCACGGAGGTAAAATTGCTTTGCTAAGAATCCTTTGTTCGAGTGTTCAATTTCTTTAGGATTTTGAGCGTTATTCCTAACAATAGGGTGTGAACCATGTACTCAGGAGAGCAAAAAAATCTGACATATTTTGCTTTATGAAATCACTCTAATTTTGCCATTCAACTCCATCCTGCTGCACTGGTTTAAAAAAAAAAAAAAAAAAAAAAAACCTAACCTCAGACATTTGTGTGTTTCAAGTCATTTTTATGGCCAAGTCCCCATAGTTGGATCAACCTAAAAGGCAAAACACACATAAGAAGACCGTTTATTTGGGCCAAGCTTGAGGACTGCTATACTGGAGTATAGATTCAAGTTGCCCCGAATATGCATTTCAATGAGCAGCAGTTACTAGTGGGTTTTTAAAGGAAAAAAGAGGGACAGGAAGTGGCTGATAAAAGCTGTTTGTTAGGAATTCTCACTGGATTATAGAAATAACACGGATTAGTGATTTGCTATATATTGTGAAGCTATAGCACGTGGTTGCAGTGTCTGGCATGGTATTATTAGGCTAATTTACAACTACTCGTGGTGTGGGGAAAAAGAAAGAGAGATCAGACTGTTACTGTGTCTGTGTAGAAAGAAGTAGACATAAGAGACTCCATTTCGTTCTGTACTAAGAAAAATTCTTCTGCCTTGAGATGCTGTTAATCTGTAACCCTAGCGCCAACCCTGTGCTCGCAGAGGCATGTGCTGTGTTGACTCAAGGTTTAATGGATTTAGGGCTATGCAGGATGTGCTTTGTTAAACAAGTGCTTGAAGGCAGTATGCTTGTTAAAAGTCATCACCACTCACTAATCTCAAGTACCCAGGGACACAGTACACTGAGGAAGGCCGCAGGGACCTCTGCCTAGGAAAGCCAGGTATTGTCCAAGGTTTCTCCCCATGTGATAGCCTGAGATATGGCCTCGTGGGAAGGGAAAGACCTGACCGTCCCCCAGCCCGACACCCGTAAAGGGTCTGTGCTGAGGAGGATTAGTAAAAGAGGAAGGCCTCTTTGCAGTTGAGATAAGAGGAAGGCATCTGTCTCCTGCTCGTCCCTGGGCAATGGAATGTCTCAGTGTAAAACCCGATTGTAAGTTCCATTTACTGAGATAGGAGAAAACCACCTTACGGCTGGAGGTGAGACATGCTGGTGGCAATACTGCTCTTTAATGCACCGAGATGTTTATGTATGTGCACATCAAGGCACAGCACCTTTCTTAACCTTGTTTCTGACACAGAGACCTTTGTTCACATGTTTTCCTGCTGACCATCTCCCCACTATTACCCTATTGTCCTGCCGCATCCCCCTCTCCAAGATGGTAGAGATAATGATCAATAAATACTGAGGGAACTCAGAGACCAGTGCTGGTGCGGGTCCTCCGTATGCTGTGCGCCGGTCCCCTGGGCCCGCTTTTCTTTCTCTATACTTTGTCTCTGTCTCTTATTTCTTTTCTCAGTCTCTTGTTCCACCTGATGAGAAACACCCGCAGGTCCACGTGGAGGAGCTGGTCCCCTTTATCGTGGCAACAGCAAGAAGTTTCAAGGGGTGAACACGTAGCTCAAGGGGAACGCCAGAGGTGATTGCTCTCTCATTTTAATGTCCCTTTTGGCCTGATAATTTTAAAAAACTCACATTCTTCAGATAAAAGTTCTTCTCTCAGTTCTTTTGTTGCACCAAAGCCTCGGGGAGGCCCTTCTTCTCTCTGCAGATACATCAGCCATCTTAAGCACGTGGCCTCTTCTGGTCTGGAGGCTCTAAGGGTGGGTGTCCAGTCTGGACCTGGGATCTTTGTCAGGCTGGGAATGCTGGTGTTACAGGCTGGTCTTTGATTTTAGAGCTCCCAAGATGGCGGCAGGCCGCTCCCAAGATGGCGGCAAGCCTTTTGTTCTCTGACCTGGGGTTCTTGGCCTCACGGATTCCAAGGAATGGAACCTTGGGCCATGCGGTGAGTGTTGTAGCTCTATTAGAAGCCATGGGTCAGGGCAGAGAACCATGGAACCCAGCGAGTAGTATTCAGCTTGATTAGAACGAATCCGGGCACTTAGCTGTGCAGGAACAACAGTGAGCCTCTAGCCCAATCGGGAGCAGCAGTGGGCGCCTCACTGGATCAGAAGCGCAGCAAACACCCTGCCAGATCGACAGGGGTGGAAGTCAACAGTGGGTCTGCAATGGCGACGATCAGCATCGGGAGCGGCAGTGGGCGCCTCACTGGACCAGAAGCGCAGCGAACACCCTGCCAGATCGACAGGGGTGGAAGTCAATGGTGGGTCTGCAATGGGGACGATCCGCAGTGGCCGACGGTGAGCGAAAGCTCAGCTCAAGCAGGAACAAACACAGACCAGAAGAGTGTGCAGTTGCAAGATTTAATAGAGTGAAGACAGAGCTCCCATAGAAGGGGAGAGGACCCAAAGGGGGTTGCCGCCACCGGCCTGAATGCCTGGGTTTATATCCTGATCATTGTCCCTCCCGCTGTGCTCTCAGGCAATAAATGATTTGATTATTTCTTTACCTCCTGCTTTTAGCCTAAGTGGTATTTTAGTGAGCTCTCTTTACTACCTGATTGGTTGGGTGTGAACTGAGTTACAAGCCCCATGTTTAAAGGTGGGTGTAGTCACCTTCCCCAGCTAGGCTTAGGAATTCTTAGTTGGCCTAGGAAATCCAGCTAGTCCTGTCTCTCACTGGTGCTGAGGGGTTGGGCTTCTTTTCAACCCCTGGGGCACACCCAGAAAGACTGGAGGGAGCCATCATGACCACAGTGCTCCTTGCCTCTCTCCCTAGCCTCAGTCCTGGGGCATTTCCCCCTTCTCTCTTGCTCTCTCAAATCTCTGGCTCTCCCTATCCCTCCTGGACATCTGTATTTCTGTGATAGGCCTGAGCTTCCACAATGGGCAGAAATTGCCTCTGGCTTTCTCTTTGCCTTACATTTAGAGGGGGACAATTAGCATGGACATACATGCATCAGGGATATTGTGACTCCCGTTGATATTATCTCAGATCCTTAAAGCCAATTTGGTAAAGCAGCTAGGCAAATTTTAGGGGTAGCTAGCTGTTGCTAGCACTGAATTCCTAATTCTGCTGCTATTGCCAAACCACTGTATGCTTTCTCCCCACATGCCAGTCAAGAGCCCATCCTCTGGTCCTTAGAGGCATTAACTTCCTTTGAAGCCTTGAAGTTAGCATTGTCTACACCCCTGCCCGCCCCACCCCAGGCTTACCTAATTTTGATAAACCTTTTCACCTATATTGTCATGAAGATAATGGGATTACTGCAAGTTTTCTAGGCCAGCCTTTTGCCTCTCAGATATGCCCTGTAGCATATTTCTCATGCCAAGTGGATCCTGTGGCAGCAGCCATGCTCCCATGCCCACGTGCAGTGTCAGCAGCTGCCCCCTAATTGCTAAAGCCACCACGTTTACATTAGGCTCCCCCATTTGCCTCTGTGTTCCCCACACTCTCTCTGCTCTTACAAGTTCCTAAGGCACAGCACCTCTCTACACGAAGACACACTACATATGAATAGTCCTATTAATCAATCCCTCTATTATCTTACATCTTCGTAGCACCTTAAATCCCTTAAATCCTGCTATGCTCCTACCCTCCCTGATGACGGACATCTTCATCCCATTCCACAGGATTGCCTAGCAGCTATAGAAATGGCTTCAAAGCCACAAGAGGGTCTCTCAGACACTCCTTTAGACAACATGTTAGCAGTGGCAGAGATCCGAGTTATCCCGAGTTAGCCGTGGCATATCTGTATGGGTCCATAGCAACTTCAGTCCTTGCCTCCTCAGAAGAAAGAATTTGACTGAGGGGCATAAAGCAGAAAAAGAGACCAAGGCAAGTTTCACAGCAGGAATGGAAGTTTACTAAACAGGCTTTAGAACAGGAAAGAAAGGAAAGAACCCTTGGAAGAGATCCTAGTGGGCGCCTGAAAGTCAAAGAGAGAAAAGGAGAGCAAAAAATGCATTTAACATTGATCTTTGGACTCTATAGGCTTGTGTCTCTCCCATGATTCTTCCCGTAGGGCGAGCTTCCTGCATGCTCAGTGCTCTCTGTACCCTTTGGAATTGAACAGCTCGTTGTGTTTAGGAGGTTATACACATGCCCATCTGAGGCTTTCTTCCTTTTCTCGTGGAGTGTACCCAGAAGATACTTTGCCATTTTTGTCTCTTAATGTGCATGCCCAGGAAGTTTCTTCTCACTGGGGCCTACACTCAATTAATATTTTGATTTCAGCAGGTGTAGACTATGAAGAAATGGCCTCTCCCTGGCTGCCAAATTATCACTGTTAGAGAGGAAGTGTGATAATCATTGAACAATCACCTGACATTTCTAGTGGGTGGGGGGAGAGCCCTCTCCTGCCCCACTCGTTGCCTTATCTAACTACCTGTAACAAACCCAGATTTCTATTTTATGATGGCTCTCATAAATGAAATTTTAAGGGGAACAGCATAAATGGCTATGCCATAGTTTCCCTGCATGCAGCCCTAGAGACATACCCTTTGCCTTGAATCTGGCCAATCTGCTGAATTTAAAGCTTTTACTAGAGCTTGCACACTGACAAAAAATAAAAACTGCCATTATTTATACTGACTCCAGATACACTTTCAGAGTCTGTCATGCTGCCAGCAAAATCTAGGAAGCCTGTAGATTCTTAACCTCCACTGGCACTCCTATTGCCAATGAATGTGTAATTGCTGCCTGTAATAAACATGCTATTCATCTTCCTATTAAATTGCTATTGCTCATTTTCTGGCCCACACTAAGGAGACTAATACTATATCTTCAGGGAATGATAGGGAACACAAGGCTGCCAAGTACACAGCCCAAAATGAACCCCTGTATTCATTTTCCACACAATTTATTAAGTTGCCTTTATCCCTGACTAATATTATTAATAAGCATATGCTCCAAAGATAGACCTTCCATGGCCCATTTCTTTTAACCTGTTGGTTTGCAGAGGGGCGTCAGTTAAGGAACTAAACAATAATTGTTTTTTCTCTAAGATTTACAAAATTTCTGACCAAATTATTTCCCAATGCATTACTTGCAAATCTCACCAAAGCTCTGGAGGAAAGCACCCTTCTTCAGGAAGGCCCACACTTTCCCTTGCAGCAGTCCAAGTGGATTCCATAGGTTGACCTCCAGCTTTAGGCTATTCTCAGTTTGGCTATTGTCTATGTTTAGTGAATGGACTGAATGCTGTCCCACTTCCTGTTCTGATGCCACAGTGTGGTGCAAACATTCATAACAGATTCTTCATTGCTTTGGCTTCCTTTTATGGATTGTCAGATCAAGGAAATCTTTTTTTTTTTTTTTTTTTTTTTAATGAGATGGAGCCTCGCTGTGTCTCCCAGGCTGGAGTGTAGCAGTGCCATCTCGGCTCACTGCAATCTCTGCCTCCTAGGTTCAAGTGATTCTCCTGCCTCAGCCTCCCAAGTAGAAGGGGTTAAAGGTGCCTGCCACCACACCTGGCTAATTTTTGTATTTTTAGTAGAGATGGGGTTTCGCCCTGTTGGCCAGGCTGGTCTTGAACTCCTGGCCTCAGGTGATCTGCCTGTCTTGGCCTCCCAAAGTGCTGGGATTACAGGTGTGAGCCACCACGCCCAGCCAGGAACTCATTTTACAGCATAAACGACTTGCCTGCAACCACTCTAGGGTACTCCAAATTTCATAACCCATACCATTCCCGATCCCCAGGGCAAGTGGAGCATAAAAATTTAAACATTAAATGGAATTTGAGAAAAGTCTGTCTAGACACCAGAATTAAAGGGCCAGAAGCATTACCTCTGGCCCTTATAGAAATTTAGAATACTCGGAATAAAAGACATGGATTACCCCTTTTGAAATAGTGTTTGGGTGGCATCTCTAAATCTTCCATTCCTGGGTTGAATGAGCACTATGGGGACCTGTGAACAATTTGATGCTATGACTAGCTATATACGGGCACTAATATATTTGGAGCTTATCATCAACAGATAAAAAGGGTGTGATCTCCACCAACTGACAAGACTTGCCATGCTTTTTGACCAGGAGATGATGTGTACACAAAGGTTTTTAAAAGAAGGCAAGCACTGTCACCTCACTGGAAGGTCCATGTGAAGTACTGCTGACTACTTACACTACCATCAAAGTAAAATAAAACAACTCCTCGTTCATGCAAGTCACACCAAGCCAGATCCTGCTAAGCACTCTCAAGAGAATTGGAAAATCACCCCTACAGGTGACCTTTAGATGGTATTTCTTCAAAGTAGACACTTTTCCCAAGATCACAGATCAAGAAAGTTTACTTCCACCTATGTTGTCCCTGTTTTAGGACTCTGTATTACTCTACCTTTAAAAACTTTTTTTTTTTTTCTTAAAAAACCTCTTCTTTTTTTGGTTGACAATTTTTTTTCCTGTCTGTTGATGGCCTGTTAAAAAGCTGACTAGGGACTTTCTCAGTCTATTCTATTCTCTCTCTAACCCTCCACTATAAATGCTTTTTTTCAAATTGTATCTTGCTCTAATTAACACTTACCAACAGGTTGGACACAGACCTGGCACCGTTTTACATTAGCCTTTCAAACCCTCACTATGATAATTAATCAATCTGATCACTGGTTAAGCAACATCTAGGTTATTCAAAAGAACGTGAACGTGTTTCTGCCATTATAATTGTCTGGTAGATAAAGTCCAGAAAATAGACGTATGACAAGAGAAAACAGTGTCATGCTATTGTCCTTTAGGTAAATCAATTAGACACAGAGAAATCTTTATGAGAGCTCCAGGACTGTCTCTGCTCTGATAAAGTCATTAAAATATTTTTTCCTTCTACATTAAAGCAGAAATTATGCTGGACTTTTTCTTAGGTAACACACCAATGAGGTATTGCAATCAAACCCTGTGCTTTGATTCCATCATTGACATTCACAAATGTCACAAATCTCACAAAGGTCAAAAACAGTCCTGATCTGACTCTCATGATATAAACATTTGCCAAATCACCAGATCTTACAAAGGGCTCCCAAGTCAGAAGAAGCTTCCTTCCTTCCTTTATGAGGCCAGCAGATGCCAAAGATCACATGTGGATAGATTAGAATTCTGGACTAACTTGGCCAGGTTACAAAATTAAGTCCTATAACTGCCAAAACAAAACTAAAGGCCTTCTCTATCAGATTTAGCAACCCGTTCTGTTCCTATGGACTGAGAGAGACGCGTGGAGGATAAAGATGCACAGATGCCGCTATGACGGAAGACAAGGCACAGCAACAAACCCCAACTTGGGAATCACAAGTTCCACTCTGACCTTGTTTATAAACAATTCTGGTCCTTTTATCTTTGGTGATAAGGTGTATAAAAGAGCCCCACCTAGATGACTGGAGCAATGTGGATGCAGATACCTAACACCTCTGTCATCTGGTACTCTAAATGCTAGAGCAGTCACTGCACTCCAGCCTGGGCAACACAGTGAGATCCCCATTTCTTTAAAAAAAAAAAAGGTAAGAAAAAGAAAAGATGTAGAACATCTCCTTCCCCACAGGGATCCCTCACACTGCCCTTTTTGGCCAAACCCACTTCTCTCCTGTTCCTCCTCTCCTTAACCCGTGGCCCACTAATCTGTTTTTTATTTCTAAAATTTTGTCACTTCAAGAGTACTATTTAAATTGAATCACACCATATATAACATTTTAGGACTAGATTTTTTTTTTTTTTTGAGATGGAGTCTCATTCTGTCACCCAGGCTGGAGTGCAATGGTGCAATCTCAGCTCGCTGCAACCTCCACCTCCTCCTGGGTTCAAGAGATTCTCCTGCCTCAGCCTCCTAAGTAGCTGGGATTACAGGCACATGCCACCGTGCCCGGCTAATTTTTTATTTATTTATTTATTTATTTTATTTTATTTTTTTAGTATTTATTGATCATTCTTGGGTGTTTCTCGGAGAGGGGGATTTGGCAGGGTCATAGGACAATAGTGGAGGGAAGGTCAGCAGATAAACATGTGAACAAGGGTCTCTGGTTTTCCTAGGCAGAGGACCCTGCGGCCTTCCGCAGTGTTTGTGTCCCTGGGTACTTGAGATTAGGGAGTGGTGATGACTCTTAAGGAGCTTGCTGCCTTCAAGCATCTGTTTAACAAAGCACATCTTGCACCGCCCTTAATCCATTTAACCCTGAGTGGACACAGCACATGTTTCAGAGAGCACGGGGTTGGGGGTAAGGTTACAGATTAACAGCATCCCAAGGCAGAAGAATTTTTCTTAGCTCAGAACAAAATGGAGTCTCCTATGTCTACTTCTTTCTACACAGACACTGTAACAATCTGATCTCTCTTTCTTTTCCCATTTCCCCCTTTTTCTATTTGACAAAACCGCCAACGTCATCATGGCCCGTTCTCAATGAGCTGTTGGGCACACCTCCCAGACGGGGTGGCGGCCGGGCAGAGGGGCTCCTCACTTCTCAGACGGGGCGGCCGGTTAGAGACGCTCCTCGCTTCCTAGACGGGATGGCGGCCGGGAAGAGGCTCTCCTCACATCCCAGACGATGGGCGGCCCGGCAGAGGCGCTCCCCACATCTCAGACGACGGGTGGCCGGGCAGAGACGCTCCTCACTTCCCAGATGGGATGGCGGCCAGGAAGAGGCACTCCTCACTTCCCAGACTGGGCGGCCGGGCAGAGGGGCTCCTCACATCCCAGACGATGGGCGGCCAGGCAGAGACGCTCCTCACTTCCCAGACGGGGTGGCGGCCGGGCAGAGGCTGCAGTCTCGGCACTTTGGGAGGCCAAGGCAGGCGGCTGGGAGGTGGAGGTTGTAGGGAGCCGAGATCACGCCACTGCACTCCAGCCTGGGCACCATTGAGCACTGAGTGAGGGAGACTCCGTCTGCAATCCCGGCACCTCGGGAGGCCGAGGCTGGCGGATCACTCGCGGTCAGGAGCTGGAGACCAGTCCGGCCAACACGGCGAAACCCCGTCTCCACCAAAAAATACAAAAACCAGTCAGGCGTGGCGGCGCGCGCCTGCAATCCCAGGCACTCGGCAGGCTGAGGCAGGAGAATCAGGCAGGGAGGTTGCAGTGAGCCGAGATGGCGGCAGCACAGTCCAGCCTCGGCTCGGCATCAGAGGGAGACCGTGCAAAGAGGGAGACGGGAGAGGGGGAGGGGGAGGGGGAAGGCTTTTTTTTTTTTTTTTTTTTTTGGTGTCTTTAGTAGAGACGGGGTTTCACAGTGTTAGCCAGGATGGTCTCTGTCTCCTGACCTCGTGATCCACCTGCCTCGGCCTCCTAAAGTGCTGGGATTACAGGCGTGAGCCACCGTGCCCAGCCTAGGATTAGATTTTTAAACTCTGCATACTCTGTGAAAATTTGTCCAAGGTGTATATATCAGGAGTTCATTCCTCTGTTATTGAGTACTATTCTATGGGATGGATGTGCCACAGTGTGTTTAACCAGACACCTGTCAAAGGACGTTTGGGTTGTTTCTAGACTGGGGCTATTACAAATAAAGCTGCTATGAACATTTGTGTACAGGTTTTTGTGTGAATGTAAGTTTTTGTTTCTCTGAAATAAATAAGTGCCCAGGAGCACGATTGCTAGTTATCAGCTTTTTTTATTTTAGTCATTCTAATAGGTGTGTGGGATATCTCTTTGTGTTAATTTTCATTTCCCTGCTGGCAAACAAAGTTCAATATTTTTGAATGTGGCTCTTGGCTATTTGTGTGTGTATATATATACATATATATACATTCACCATTCAGAACCTTCATCTACTTTTTAATGGAATTTTTGTCTTTTTATTATTGAGTTGTAAGAGTTCTTTCTGTATTCTAGATACAAATCCCTCATCAGATACGTGCTTTTCTCCATTTTATGGGTTATCATTTCACTTTTCTTGATGATCTCATTGAAGCAAAAAAGTTTTTAATTTTGATGAAGTATATTTTTTCTTCTCTGCCATCTGTGTTTTAAGGCAAGGTCCAATTTATTTTTTTCTTCTGTTGCTGATACTTTTGGCATTACACCTAAGAAACCTCCGCCTAATCCAAGATCATGGACATTTACTCCTGTGTTTTCTTCTAAGAGTTTAGTGGTTTTAACTCTTACGTTTTATGTCTTTTATACATTTTGAGTTAGTTTTTGTATATGGAGTGAAGTAGGGGTCCACCTTCATTCTTTTGCTTGTGGATATCCAGTTGTTCCAGCACCATTTGCTGAAAACACTATTCTTTTTTTTTTTTTTTTTTGAGACGGAGTCTCGCTCTGTCGCCCAGGCTGGAGTGCAGTGGCACGATCTCTGCTCACTGCAAGCTCCACCTCCCAGGTTCACGCCATTCTCCTGCCTCAGCCTCCTGAGTAGCTGGGACTACAGGCACCCGCCACCATGCCTGGCTAATTTTTTGTATTTTTAGTCGAGATGGGGTTTCACCGTGTTAGCCATGATGGTCTCGATCTCCTGACCTTGTGATCTGCCCACCTTGGCCTCCCAAAGTGCTGGGATTACAGGCATGAGCCACCACACCTGGCCTAAGACTATTCTTTCTCCATTGGATTGTTCTTGCATCTGATATGGTCTGGCTGTGTCCCCATCCAAATCGCATCTTGAATTGTAGCTCCTGTAATCTGCACGTGTTGTGGGAGGGACCCAGTGGGAGATGATTGAATCATGGGGTGGTTTCCCCCATACTGTTCTCATGGTAGTGAATAAGTGTCACGAGAGCTGATGGTTTTATAAAGCAAAGGCCCTCTCGCTTGGCTGTCATTCTCTCTTTTGCCTGCCACCAATGTAATATGTGCCTTTCTGCTTCCGCCATGATCCACGTGAAACTCTGAGTCAATTAAACCTCTTTTTCTTTATAATTTACCCAGTCTTGGGTATGTCTTTATCAGCAGTGTGAAAACAGATTAATACAGCATCCTTGTCAAAAATCAATTGACTGTGAATATGGCGAGTTGTTTCTGGACTCTTAATTATATTCTGTTGTTGTGATGTCTACACTTTTGCTAATACCACTTTTACTGTATTGATTACTGTAGCTTTGTACTAAGTTTTGAAAGTAGGAAATGTGAGCTCTCTACTTTTGTCCTTCTTTTTCAAGATCTAAATCATTTGGGCCATTCTGGGTCCTTTGCATGTCCACTTGAATTTTAGGGTCAGGTCGTGAATTTCTCCAAAATTGCCATTTCCCATTGGGGTTTGCTAGGGATTGCATTCCTCTGTAGATAAATTTGAGAAATATAGCATTCTTAATATTAGGTTTTCCAATCCATAACCATGGATTCCTTTCTATCTATTTAGGAGTTTTTAAATTTCTTTCAACAGTGTTTTGTAGTTTTCAGTGTACAAATCTTGCAGTTTTTAATTGAATTTACTCCTATGTTTTTCTTTTTGATGTTATGTACATGAAATTGTTTTTCTTAATTGTACTTTTGGATTGTTTACTACTAATATTTAGCCAGCAATCACTTTTAATAGGCCTTTGATGAAAATCATTTGCTTTTTTTTTTTTTCTGACAGGGTCTCACTGCCACCCAGGCTGGAGTGCAGTGGTATAGTCACAGCTTACTGCAGCCTTGACTTCTTGGGTTCAAGCAGTCCTCCCACCTCAGCTCCCAGAATAGATGGGAATATAGGCATGTGCCATGATGCTCAGCTAATTTTTTAATTTTTTGTAGAGATGGGGGTCTCACTATATTGCCCAAGCTGGTCTCAAACTCCTGGCCTCAAGCAATCCTCCTGCCTCGGCCTCTCAAAGTTCTGGGATTACAGGCTTGAACCACTACACCTTGCCAACATTTGGTGCAATTGCAAATTTAATTAAGGAGATATCTTCCAACATTCTAAACTGCCTTTATAAGTTTAATATACTCATTTTCCTTTTTAATTATGTCAGTGATCTGACAATAAATTGGTTTTCAGTCTCTTAAATGAGCCTTTGTATCAGTAAGTTAAATTTGAAATATGATGAACTTTATATTCTCTTAAATGTTCCAACAGTTTGTTAACTTAGATTTCAACCTGAAACCACAAGTCTAAAGTAACTATGCAATTACACACCAGAGTCTAGGTCCCAAATCTCTAATGTATTATCTGCAGAAAATTCCAAATGTGCAGACTTCTTAACACTGAGACATTAACACCTAAATTTTCCTGAACCCATGCAAATCCTTCTGAGATTGGCATGTGTGTGCCTACCGGGAAGGGCAGTTGCTATCCCAGTTGCCTGCAGAACTTGTTGGCAGTTTCACTCACCTAAGGAATAATCTAAAAGTCTTAATCAGTAATTGTAGCTGGTTCAAGCAAATGGACTTACACAAAATAGTATTTACATAAATGCAAGCCCAAGTTTCTCATTACGTTTTTTAAAAAGCCTTTATTTTGATGTTTCATATCAATTTCACCTTTAATGCCTCCCAATACCTTTAAAATTATTTTTATCATAGTTAAATGTATACAGAAAGGTAATGTGATGATTTTTTTCACTAAGTCCGTACTTTATTCCATTGTGCAAAAAAAAAAAATTATTATTTTCTATGCATTCCATGATGTGTAAAAAGATTGGGTAGTAAAATATAAGAAGGTTCTACTGTGCCAGGCTCTTGGTCCACATTTCCTTATTTAATTCTCACAACAGAAGGCAAAAAGGTGAGTGAATGGCCCAGGACAAGTCTCTGACTCCTAACCAGCTGGCTCTCAAGAGATACTTGCCAAAGGAAGAAATGGCCTATGTATACCATTCACACTTTAGTATGAATTTATTCCTACAGTATTATTTCCACTCTGCATCTGAAATGAAAGACAAGTGTTTCATGTAAGCTGCACCAGTAAGAGATGCCTAAGAGGCTGGCTGGTTTTTGCTGTGCAAGTGGTTCGACGTGGGGCTGCAGAATACTCTGGCCTAATTCAGAGCTGAGAACACAGACACCGTGGGCCCAGGAGTCCACCTGCCTTGAGTGTTGTGACTGCACTTGGGCAGGAGTGGAGCCAAAAAATAAAAACAGAAGCAGCCTTGGCACATAGTAGAACCTTCTTATATTTTATTTACTTCCCAACCTTTTACATGTCATGAAATGCATAGAATACAATACAATTTTTTTTTTTTTTTTTTTTTTTTTTTTTTTTTTTTTGGCAGAGAGTGGTTCCCCAAGGTGGATGCTATTCGGGGAAATCTTGCTGATCTTGCCCTCTTCCCAAATGCATGGGAAATATTACCCATTTGTCACACAAGCTGTCTGAGGACGCAGTAGCCTGTGAGGTCAGGGGAAGAGCCCTGGCTCCTCTGAACCTTCCTCTTGGTAGCACAGGCCATGGCACTTCGGCATGTCAGATCTAAGCCAGAATGCAACCTCCTCAGTCACCCACCCTGTGAGCTGTGGGCTGGCAGCCTGACCTCTCTGAGCCCAGGCGGGTGAGGAACCCTGCCCAGGTCCGTGGGGGGGTGGAAGGACCAGATGTCACGTGCCTGGCACATCCTGAGTCCCACTTCATGTCCTTTCCCTCACCCTCCGTGTTCCCTCAGCTGAGCTGGGCCCAAATCTTCATCCCAGGGAAATGGGACCCAGTGACCAACTGGGCTGTGCTACTGCAGGCACCTTTGAAATGAGCCCAGGGGAAGCAGTAAGAAAGCAGCAGGCTATGCTTGGAGAAGCGCCCGTCCTGTCCACCATCGCTCCACCTTTCTCCATCACTCCTTACCTGACCTACCCCAACACAGGTGGCCAGAGGCAGGAGGGCTCCCCAACAGCTCCTACAGGTGTTCCCTGCAGCTTCCAGCCAATTCTCACAGAGCGACAGCTGTTCTTCTGGCCTTTGCTTGGGGTCTGAGCCCAAGCACATGTATCCACATGTGCGAGTTCAGGCTGAGCTCCCACGGTGGGCAGCACCTTTTGTGTGTGTGCCTGTGCATGTGTGCACACATATGTGTGAACTGTGCAGGCTGTAATTTCCAAAACCAAATTTGGCTTTTTTTGATTTGTAAGTTATTTACATCAACGAATTTTAAAGAAGCATAAAATGAAATTAAGTTAAAGTTTTAGTGGATCACCTCTGAAAAAGAAAAACTTTCATTCTGTGAAATTGGATTTCTAGAAAATTCCAGGATTCCCCACAGTTAAAGGCACAAGGCAGGGACAAATTCTGGCCATGTCACATGCAGGGGGCATGGGTAGTAAGAGTGGGAAATGGGGTTCGGGGCTCAGTTCCCCAGCACCTTGCTCTTCCTTTTTCTGACTCTCCTGGTTTGTCTTTTCTGGTGTCTGTGAGCCCCTCAAGGGCAGAGGCCATTTCTCATTCATCCTAGCATCCAGTACCCAGGGCCCAGCCTGTCATGAGGAGGTGCCCAGCAATCTGAGCGTATTTAAGACTGGGTCCTGATTCTGTCTTTTGTCCCCTCCTTGGGTTCCCAAACTCTCTGTATTCTGCTCCTTCACATTTAAATTGACCCCCAAACAGGATCTCCCAGCCTCCTTGGAGATGTGGGCTCCATGCAGGGATGACAGAGGCTGGGGTCTGGAGCCTTCCCCCAGTGCCACCGAGCTGGAGCCTGCTGAGTTTGCAAGTCATCACGGAGAATCCTCGGCTCCTTCGGAGATACCACCCCTGGGCCTACTCTGGGTTCTGAGATGGCAGCCCTAGTGCCAACCTCATCCAGAAGTCATCACTCCCTGGGGGACTGTGAGGGTGTCATCGAATATCTGCCAATCTGCTGACAAGTAGACATCCCAATGGCCATGGAGAAAACATCCGTGCAAGGGCTTTGATCCTCCGAGGCTCCATGAGAACACTGCTATTATAATAGTTACTAAGCCTAATAAAAAGTATAATGATAGAATATATATCACGATGTTGACCCAAAATGGCAATGTTTAGTTCTTAGGGAATTCAAAGTACACAAAGTCCTTGAGAAGGACACAGCTCTCAAAGAGACTCAGGTCACCTCCCTGCAGTCGTCACCCTCCCCGGTAGCCAGTGCAGGCACAAGGATCTGCCACTCCCTGCTTAAACCCTACCCCCTTCCAGAGCTCCCCATTCCCTGTGGGAAGTCACAGGAACACCCAATCCTTGTGAGCCAGACCTTGGCCCAGACTCTCGCCAGTCACCAGCCAGCTGGCTGCTGCTGTTCCGGTGCCCTTCCTCATGCTGTTCCCAGCGGACTCTCCCCACAGGCTGCCCTTCATCCTCCAGAGCTCCACCAGGGTGATCGTAGACCAGAAGGGTCCAGGTGCTTGACCAGCAATCATTCTAGTAACTTTTGGGAGGTCACACTTTCTAGGAGGCCTCTAGTAAGTCCCTCCCCTCCACTTCCAGCTGGGGCCGGTGACCCCTCACCCTAAGACGTGAGGCCTCTAGATCTGTCTTATTCTGCTCCCAGCCTTCCAGGTTCTGGAGAGCAGGAGGCCCTGGCCCAGGAACAGGCACCCAGCAGATGCTCAGCAGCCATGTGTGCAACAGAACTAAATCTTCCAGCTTTGGCTGAAAGCAAACATCATGGCTGTCTCAGCAGGCACGTGCTCCCAGGGTTGTGTCCTTCCTGGAAGATCTCAGCTTCTCCCACATCTGTGTCTCCTGAATCCACACCAAAGGAGCCTCGTTCAGAAGGGACCCCAGGACAGGGCACGGACACCTGTAATCCCAGCACTTTGAGTGGCCAAGGCAGGCAGATGGTTGAGCCCAGGAGTTTGAGACTAGCCTGGGCAACATGGCCAAATCTGTCTCCACAAAAAACGAAAAATTAGCAAGGTGGGTGGTGCACACCTGTAGTCCCAACTACTTGGGAGGCTGAGGTGGGAGGATCGCTTGAGCCTCACAGGCCAAGGCTGCAGTGAGCTATGATCTAGCCACTGCACACCAGCCGCTGCAACAGAGTGAGACCCTGTCTGAAAAAATAAATAAATAAAAAATAAAAGGAAGGAGCCCTGGGTTTGATTCGGGCCTCACGATGTGCCCTCTCACTGCACGAAAGTGGCCCAGGGGCACACTCTGCCCCTCTCTAGGAGGTGGTAGTGACCTGGGAGGGCCTTGGAGCGGATCTTTGTGTCCCTCAGTACATGGAGAAGTAAACTGAGGCACAGAGAGACGGGCATGTGTCCCAGATGGTGGGAGCCAGTGCTCGCTGGGGCAGCCCCTCCTTGGACCCAGCGGCAGAATTTCAGCAGCAGGTGGGGCCAAATAATCGGGTCCAGGGTGAGAGAAACACCTGTGTAAATTTGTCTTATAGGGCCCTGGAGAGGAAGGGTAGGAGCTGGGGCAGGTCAAGGTGCCCCTGGAAGCTTCTAGAGACCTGGATACACACCAGACAGCAGCGGCTGATGAAGGAAACAGGTGGGCTTTTAACAAAGTGTGGACAGTCACGATTCTTTCCCTGTAGCCCTGGGACCCCAATGTCCTTAGCCACGGTCCCTCAGCTGCCCCGGGAGCCGCCAGCATGAGCCGGTGTCCCGTTTTAGCGCAGGCGTGCCCTGGGACACTGCGGGCGCCCAGTGACCCGACTGAGCAAAAAGGGGCTTCAAGTGGAAGCCCCTCTTCCAGGCACCTCCGTGTCACTCCTGCGCCTGCATAGGGTGCCTTCCCGGTAAGATCCTGAGAGTTTGCACGGGCCGGTCCGGGCTCCCGGCTCTGCCCACCTGATGTCACTCGAGGACTGCCCCTCCCGGCCTTCGCGCGGAGCGCGGGCGCCACCCAGTGGTGCATTCGAGTAACCGAACCCAGCTCTCAGCCAGATCCCCGCCTCCAGCGGGCTCCCCAGTTATTTTCTCTTAAAAAGGGCCTTAACTCTATGTTGAATAGGAGTGGTGAGAGAGGGCATCCCTGTCTTGTGCCAGTTTTCAAAGGGAATGCTTCCAGTTTTTGCCCATTCAGTATGATATTGGCTGTGGGTTTGTCGTAGACAGCTCTTATTATTTTGAGATACGTCCCATCAATACCTAATTTATTGAGAGTTTTTAACATGAAGGGATGTTGAATTTTGTCAAAGGCCTTTTCTGCATCTATTGAGATAATCATATCTCAATATGGTTTTTGTCTTTGGTTCTGTTTGTATGCTGGATTACATTTATTGATTTGCGTATACTGAACCAGCCTTGCTTCCCAGGGACGAAGCCCACTTGATCATGGTGGATAAGCTTTTTGATGTACTGCTGGATTCGGTTTGCCAGTATTTTATCGAGGATTTTTGCATCAATGTTCATCAAGGATATTGGTCTAAAATTCTCTTTTTTGGTTGTGTCTCTGCCCGCCTTTGGTATCAGGATGATGCTGGCCTCATAAAATGAGTTAGAGAGGATTCCCTCTTTTTCTATTGATTGGAATAGTTTCAGAAGGAATGGTACCAGTTCCTCTTTGTACCTCTGGTAGAATTCGGCTGTGAATCTGTCTGGTCCTGGACTCTTTTTGGTTGGTAAGCTATTGATTATTGCCTCAATTTCAGAGCCTGTTATTGGTCTATTCAGAGATTCAACTTCTTCCTGGTTTAGTCTTGGGAGGGTGTATGTGTCGAGGAATTTATCCGTTTCTTCTAGATTTTCTAGTTTATTTGCGTAGAGGTGTTTGTAGTATTCTCTTATGGTAGTTTGTATTTCTGTGGGATCAGTGGTGATGTCCCCTTTATCATTTTTTATTGCATCTATTTGATTCTTCTCTCTTTTCTTCTTTATTAGTCTTGCTAGTGGTCTATCAATTTTGTTGATCCTTTCAAAAAACCAGCTCCTGGATTCATTAATTTTTTGAAGGGTTGTGTCTCTATTTCCTTCAGTTCTGCTCTGATTTTAGTTATTTCTTGCCTTCTGCTAGCTTTTGAATGTGTTTGCTCTTGCTTTTCTAGTTCTTTTAATTGTGAAGTTAGGGTGTCAATTTTGGATCTTTCCTGCTTTCTCTTGTGGGCATTTAGTGCTATAAATTTCCCTCTACACACTGCTTTGAATGTGTCCCAGAGATTCTGGTATGTTGTGTCTTTGTTCTCATTGGTTTCAAAGAACATCTTTATTTCTGCCTTCATTTCGTTACTTACCCAGTAGTCATTCAGGAGCAGGTTGTTCAGTTGCCATGTAGTTGAGCGGTTTTGAGTGAGATTCTTAATCCTGAGTTCTAGTTTGATTGCACTGTGGTCTGAGAGACAGTTTGTTATAATTTCTGTTCTTTTACATTTGCTGAGGAGAGCTTTACTTCCAACTATGTGGTCAATTTTGGAATAGGTGTGGTGTGGTGCTGAAAAAAATGTATATTCTGTTGATTTGGGGTGGAGAGTTCTGTAGATGTCTATTAGGTCCACTTGGTGCAGAGCTGAGTTCAATTCCTGGGTATCCTTGTGAACTTTCTGTCTCATTGATCTGTCTAATGTTGACAGTGGGGTGTTAAAGTCTCCCATTATTATTGTGTGGGAGGCTAAGTCTCTTTGTAGGCCACTCAGGACTTGCTTTATGAATCTGGGTGGAAGTTCTGGCCAGGGAAATTAGGCAGGAGAAGGAAATAAAGGGTATTCAATTAGGAAAAGAGGAAGTCAAGTTGTCCCTGTTTGCAGATGACATGATTGTATATCTAGAAAACCCCATTGTCTCAGTCCAAAATCTCCTTAAGCTGATAAGCAACTTCAGCAAAGTCTCAGGATACAAAATCAATGTACAAAAATCACAAGCATTCTTATACACCAATAACAGACAAACAGAGAGCCAAATCATGAGTAAACTCCCATTCACAATTGCTTCAAAGAGAATAAAATACCTAGGAATCCAACTTACAAGGGACGTGAAGGACCTCTTCAAGGAGAACTACAAACCACTGCTCAGTGAAATAAAAGAGGATACAAACAAATGGAAGAACATTCCATGCTCATGGGTAGGAAGAATCAATATTGTGAAAATGGCCATACTGCCCAAGGTAATTTATAGATTCAATGCCATCCCCATCAAGCTACCAATGACTTTCTTCACAGAATTGGAAAAAACTACTTTAAAGTTCATATGGAACCAAAAAAGAGCCCGCATCGCCAAGTCAATCCTAAGCCAAAAGAACAAAGCTGGAGGCATCATGCTACGTGACTTCAAACTATACTACAAGGCTACAGTAACCAAAACAGCATGGTACTGGTACCAAAACAGAGATATAGATCAATGGAATAGAACAGAGCCCTCAGAAATAACGCCACATATCTACAACTATCTGATCTTTGACAAACCTGAGAAAAACAAGCAATGGGGAAAGGATTCCCTATTTAATAAATGGTGCTGGGAAAACTGACTAGCCATATGTAGAAAGCTGAAACTGGATCCCTTCCTTACACCTTATACAAAAATTAATTCAAGATGGTTTAAAGACTTAAATGTTAGACCTAAAACCATAAAAACCCTAGAAGATAACCTAGGCATTACCATTCAGGACATAGGCATGGGCAAGGACTTCATGTCTAAAACACCAAAAGCAATGGCAACAAAAGCCAAAATTGACAAATGGGATCTAATTAAACTAAAGAGCTTCTGCACAGCAAAAGAAACTACCATCAGAGTGAACAGGCGACCTACAAGATGGGAGAAAATTTTCGCAACCTACTCATCTGACAAAGGGCTAATATCCAGAATCTACAAAGAACTCAAACAAATTTACAAGAAAAAAACAAACAACCCCATCAAAAAGTGGGCAAAGGACATGAACAGACACTTCTCAAAAGAAGACATTTATGCAGCCAAAAGACACATGAAAAAATGCTCACCATCACTGGCCATCAGAGAAATGCAAGTCAAAACCGCAATGAGATATCATCTCACACCAGTTAGAATGGCAATCATTAAAAAGTCAGGAAACAACAGGTGCTGGAGAGGATGTGGAGAAATAGGAACACTTTTACACTGTTGGTGGGACTGTAAACTAGTTCAACCATTGTGGAAGTCAGTGTGGTGATTCCTCAGGGATCTAGAACTAGAAATACCATTTGACCCAGCCATCCCATTACTGAGTATATACCCAAAGGACTATAAATCATGCTGCTATAAAGACACATGCACACGTATGTTTATTGCAGCTCTATTCACAATAGCAAAGACTTGGAACCAATCCAAATGTCCAACAATGATAGACTGGATTAAGAAAATGTGGCATGTATACACCATGGAATACTATGCAACCATGAAAAATGATGAGTTCATGTCCTTTGTAGGGACATGGATGAAATTGGAAATCATCATTCTCAGTAAACTATCACAAGAACAAAAAACCAAACACTGCATATTCTCACTCATAGGTGGGAACTGAACAATGAGAACACATGGACACAGGAAGGGGAACATCACACTCTGGGGACTGTTGTGGGGTGGGGGAAGGGGGAGGGATTGCATTAGGAGATATACCTAATGCTAAATGAGGAGTTAATGGGTGCAGCACACCAGCATGGCACATGTATACATATGTAACTAACCTGCACATTGTGCACATGTACCCTAAAACTTAAAGTACAATAATAATAAAATTTAAAAAAAGGGCCTTAACTCTGCAGTGAGTAATAGCTCCACGATCTTAATGTAAAAGCGGCAGGATTGTTTCCTCTCATGGCTGAGGGAATGTCACCGGGTAGGTTCCTGCCAGGTGTGATGATGCAAATCAGTAATGATCCTTCATAGGCTTTCAAACCTACTTCAGGCATACTTGCACATGTACCTCTCACCTGCACCTTGGCATAACCTTACCGTCTTGGACAGCTTGGGCCATCATAACAAAACACCAGATGACTTAAACAACAACATTTTATTTCTCACAGTTCTGCAGGCTAGAAGTCCAGGATCAAAGTGCCAGGGGATTCCATTCCTGGTGAGGGCTCTGTCCCTGGCTTGCAGGTGGCAGCCTTGTCACTGTGTCCTCACATGGCAGAGAGTGCGAGTTCTCTTCCTTTTCTTTTAAGGACACTGGCCCTATTGAATGAGGGTCCCATCATTATGACCTCACTTAAACTTAATTGTCTCCTAAAAACTCTGTCTCCAAATACAGTTGCATTGGGGGTTAGGGCTTCAACATATGAATTTGGGGGCTGGCGGCGGGGACACAATTCAGTCCATAACCCCCACCTTGACATAACTACAACTTAACATGATGGCGCCTTGACATAACTACCTCTTGCCATATCTAAACCTTGAAGTGAATGCACCTTGATGTTGCTACACCTTGTTGTAATTACACCTAACCTAACTGCACCTTGACTTAACCTAACCTTGGAATAACCCCTTGACAGGATGGCATTAGCCACCCTGATGTAACTACACCTTGACATACGGTGTAGGAATCCTTACGCATCCCAATTTATGAACAAAAATTTGAGTCTTTCAGCAGTGGCATGACTTTCCTGAGTTGGCAAAGCCAGAAAGAAGCACAAGGGGCCTCCTTCATGTTCTCCTTCCTGCTTCCCTGATCTCTAAATTTGGAGCCTGGGTCAGGTAGCTTGTGGGAGTTGACCCTGAGAGAGTCATTCCCCATGCTCCCTTCTTCCTAAAAGTGACAGCATGTTTCTGAGATGTGAATCCTGTCTCCTTCCTACTGCTGCTCTCAATGCTTCACTTCTGATACCAGAAGTGCGGGCATTTTCCCCACACCAACCACTTCTCCAATTCTTGGAACACCAATTAGGTGTCCTATAATTTAACTCAGTTCTGATACTATCTACCTGGAGTTAGCATCAGATCCCACACATTACAGGCTCAGTCCCACAAGACCACTCCCATTTCAGATGCCAAATTCTAGTCCAGGTTGGCACCTGTGCTTCTGACCAACTATAAACTTGAGGTTTCCACAACCCCCTCTTTATACTGGATAGTTTGCTAGAATGGCCCAGAGAACTCATGGGAACAGTTTAGTTATAAATGATACAACTCAGGGATGCAAAGACATAAGAATGACGGGTGCATCAAAATCTCAGAACTCACCGCTATAGCACTTGTCCACGCATCCAAATGCTGCCTGCTCCCCCTAGACTACTGACATAATAATAATAAAAAGGATAAAACTCAGGGACAGCCAGTGGAAGAGATGTATGGAGCCAGGTATGGGGAAGGGGCATGGAGCTTGCATGCCCTCTCCAGACACACCACCTTCCCATCACCTCCACATGTTCACCAACCCGGAAGCTCTCCCAACACCATCACTTTGGAGGTGTTCATCATGTTGGCATTTTTCAATGGAGGCTTCATTTTGTAGGCATGATTGATTAAATCACTGGCCACTGGTGATTAACTCCATCCCCAGCTCCTCTCCCAAACCAGAAGTCGGCAGTCAGTAGGGCTGAGTATTTCAACCGTCTAATCACACAGTTGGTTTCCCTCACAACCAGCACCATCCCGAGGCCACCCAGGAGCCCCCACCCTCCTAGTCATCTCGTTAGTTACAAAAAGCCATATATCACTTTGGAGATCCCAAGGGTTTTAGGAGCTCCATTTCTTATTATATGTCACAATGTCAGTCTTCACATAAGAAGCAAAGGCAGAGGAAGGAGATGCCCTGAGCAGAGCTGCTCCAGCCAGCTCCAGCTTCCTCCAGGGGGAAAGTGAAGACCCCTGCTCCATCTCACTCAAAGGCCACAGTTGCTACTCCTGGCCCCCAAATCCTGCTGCTTCTCCAGTTCAGCTCTGGCATTTTTAAAGCCATTGTTCTAGCAGTTCCCTCAGAACAGGTCCTCACACACAGGTCCTTGGGGCTCTGGGGGCACTTAACACATTTTTATCAGCACTATGAAGAAAGAAAAGAACTTTTACCTGAGGTATGAGAGTCCATTTAAATTATCAGGCCCAGAGAGACAATAAAATGAGATAGTAATCAACCTTGAGCTACGTATTCAGCTCTTGAAACTGCTTGCCAAGGATAAGGAGCCATAAATTAACCTAATAAAGCCACACCAGGCACTAAACCACGCAGTATGGCCTCACAATGTAGAGCCAATCATGAATCAATGTTATTTCTTTCTTTTTTTTTTTTTTTTGCGGTGGAGTTTCACTCTTTCACCCAGGCTGGAGTGCAGTGGCGCAATCTTGGCTTACTGCAACCTCTGCCTCCCTGGTTCAAGTGATTCTCCTGCCTCAGCCTCCTGAGTAGCTGGGAAAGGCACCACCACCACGCCCTGCTAATTTTTTGTAGTTTTAGTAGAGACAGGATTTCGGCATGTTGGCCAGGCTGGTCTCAAACTCCTGACCTCAAGTGATCCGCCCGACTCGGCCTCCCAAAGTGCTGGCATTACAGGTGTGAGCCACCGTACTCAGCCTCAAGGTTATTTCTATAAACTAATGAGAATTCCTGATGGATTTATATCGGCCCACTTGTTGTCCCCGCTTTTGCCTTTAAAAAACTTCTTATAACAAAGACCCAATGAAGCTCATTTCCAAGCTTACTTGGGTCTGAGTCTTCCAGGCAGCTGTCCTTACTTTGGCTCAAGTAAACTCTTTATATTTTACGCCTCAAACTCTTCCTTTTAAGTCAACACCTACTAGTGCTGGGCCCAGAGCCAGGGGTGGCCTGGAATCAAGCTGGGCCCTTCCTCAGCTGGCCAGCCTTCCCTACAGCCAAGACATCCTTGGCTGTGCATGATTCATGGCCCTGTAGGGCCACCAAAGCTGGACCGGGTCCTGGCAGTGGCAGGCCAGTCTCTTCCTCTTTGTACAGATGGGAAGCTAGAGTGAAAGAAACTAATTCACCATAGTGCAGGCCAAGGAGAAAAGGAAAGAAGCAGAGAACATCCCTTTTCCCCTGAGATGTAGACAGTGGGTTGGGGGTGAGGACTAGGAGGGCTTAAGAGCCAGCCATGTCATCCGTCCCTGTAGCCCGGCTGTGGCTCTTGCAAGTCCCCATTCCTGTGAACAGTGTGAGCAGAGCACTCAGAGCTGAGGTTGGTGGGGTCAGGGGTGGGTGCTGGGCATAGGGAAGGGCAAAGATGATAAAAACATCCAAGAACCAAATTCCTGCTCATGGAATCTCATAGTCTTGTGAGGGAGACCAGCACTGCATGAGTGGGTAACGCAGCACAGCACAGCACAGCACAGCACAGCACGCAACCCGGGTGCAGAGGTGTCCAAGGAGCCAATGATTGATTAACTGCACAGAAGGGCTGGGGGCGTTGAGGAAGACTTTGAGATTAAAAGATAACAAGAGTTTTTCATATAGACAAGAAGAGGGCTTCATGTTCCCAGGGAGAGGGAATAGAATGTCCACCGTGTGCACGGACGCAACAGCAGGGCTGAGCTGGCTGCAGCTGCCATGCTGACACTGGACCATCAGGGCTGGGCGATGCGGGTAGCAAGAGCTGCAGCTGGACATAAGGCAAGGTCATACCTGTCATTAAGGCATGGGAGGTCATTTTCCAAAAGGTTCGAACTTTATCCTGAGGGCAGGGAAGAATTGGGGGCCAGAGATGGGCAGAATCTGACCATGGCTGAGAGACTGGCCCAAGTCTTTGGAGATGCTGCCTGACTCTGGGATGTAGGTTCTGCAGTATCCAGTGGTGAAGGTGTGGGCAGGCTGGGAGGTAGGAGGAAGAAGACCAATTCCAGGTCCATTCTGGAGGTAGAGTCTCTGGATCAGGCCTGAGGGAGGACCATGCTTTGGAGGGAAGGCCCTGGTGGGCCTTTGGAGGAAGTGGAAGGTGGGAAAGAGTACTTCTACCAGGCTGCAGTGCATTCAGCTGCATGTATCGTGAGCTGACCACGGTGGGAAACGGATTTTGTCATCTTGGACTTCTTACAAAGTTCAAGCAAAGAGGTGGCTGGTGTTGGTCGAACAGCTGCCAGCATCTGGGATTCTATTTTTGCCATCTCTTTGGCCATGAAGTCCTTGTCCAAGGCAGGAAGAGGAGGTGGCAGTGTAGTGGATGTGGTGGTATCCTGCCCAGGTCACCTGTTCAAGCCAAGGCATTCCCTACAGCTGCTGGGGAGAGCAGCTGCTACAGATGCCTTCACCCCTGCCTGGGAACTACCTACCGGCTGACGTGAGAGACAAAGGCTCTGCCCACTTTACTCAAGGCAGGGCAGCTGCAGGGCCAACCAGCTCCAGAACTCCCTGCAGTGTCAGCCACAGCCTCAGTTGCAACCTCATTGCCAGCCAGCTTTTCCCACTGCCCCCTCATTTGTCCCAGGTGCATCTTCCAAAAGCCCCCGCAGTAAACTTCCTGCATGCACAGGGCTCTCCGTCTCAGACTTTCTGTCCCCAGAAAGTCAGTCTAAGCCCCGTATCAGGAAAGCAACCCCAGCCCTGGAGCAGACCTTGGCTTCTGTCTCAGTGGCCAGAATTGAGCCCTGGCTGCCAGGGAGCCCAGGCACAGTATAATCTCAGGAGTGTGCTAGCAAAGGAGAAGGCAGGAATGGGTGTCCGGGGCACTGACTGTCACAGAAGTTTCAGACACTTAAAACCACACATTTAATTTATCAAATCACCTGAGAAGACAGAATGCACCGGGACAGTTAATGTTCCTGGGATGATGTTTTGCATGTTCCGATAAGCTGGGTCTGTCCTTTAAAAACTTCTTATGGCTAAAGGTTGAGATGAGGAAGAAAAGGTGGAGAAATACAGAGGTTGGCATTTAAGAAGGCATAATCTAAGTGTTGACTGCCATGTGTTCTGGATGTGAAATCTGGACTGTTTCCTCATCTGTCAGTTGAGGACATGATGCCTCTAAGGAGTCGCCATGACCCAGCAAGGGAGGCCCTTCAGGGGATGGAGATCCTAGATGTGGACTCAGAAACCAGTGTGTTTCCTGGACCCTCCTGGCAGGTAAGTTAGAACAGAAGAGGCATCTACGTGGTGCCTTGACTGACCCCAGGTATTTTGCCACTAATTCCAACATTCCTTCTCTGAGAACACAAACATACATAGGAGATGGAGGGGTTTACAATCCCATTTCATACCTATACACAGAGTCCTGGGCCACTGAATTAGTAAAAGTTCATGGTGATTAAGCCTCTGCACGGGGGTGGTCCAGTATCACCATGGAAACATCACACCCTTCTCCCAGCCCAGGAAGTGATGGAGGGTGATGGGTAGGCACGGTGTCAGGAATCAGGCTTGGACACAGGCACATGCAGCACTGGAGATGACTGATGGAGGGAGAGAGGCTCTGGAGCAAGGGAGTTTATCACCTGCTGGTGTGCCAAGGAGGACCAGATCCAACTGAGTGAATCTAGCAGCACAAATTGGGATCTGAGCTCTGCAGATTTGGGGGAGGAAGTGGCAATGCTCCCTCACAGTCCCTCCCTTTGAACAGGAGCTGGCCTTTGACTCTCAAGTCCAGCATCTAGTTATTACTGAGATGTGCTTCCCTGCAGATTCCTTCTGGGGAGGCAAGTAGGGCTGCCAGTTTCACTGGGGCCAACCCTAGAGATCAGGATATCATTTGTTTTTCAAATTTTAACATTTTATTGTGCTTTTCCCTCTATCTTTTAAAGATCATGGCCCAGTTATTGGCCAAAGCAGAGGCTCTGGCTGTCTTGGGACAAAGCTGCCAGTCAGAGCTGCTTGCTCAGTGTGGGGCATCTGGTGTGGCTGGTGGGACCCTGTGTCTCAAGGTACTGCACCCCAGTGCCCAGCACATGCTGGGGCCTCAGGAGTTGGTTGTGTCTGGGTCTAAGTTTCCCCATAGCCAGCCAGCCCTGAGACAAGATGGGTGCAGGATCCTGGGAAACCCAGGGGAAAAGACGAGTGAAGAACCTGGAAAGGAGAAAGCCTGTGAAGCTCACGCCAGAGCCCACTGTTATGGGAAGTCAGGGACCCCAAATGGAGGGACCAGCTGAAGCCATGGCAGAACGTGGATTGTGAAGATTTCATGGACATTTATTAGTTCCCCAAATTAATACTTTTATAATTTCTTATGCCTGTCTTTACTGCAATCTCTAAACATAAATTGTGAAGATTTCATGGACACTTACCACTTCCCCAATCAACACCCTTGTGATTTCCTATGCCTGTCTTTACTTTAATCTCTTAATCCTGTCATCTCATAAACCGAGGAGGACGTATGTCGCCTCAGGACCGTGTCATAATTTCGTTAACTGCACAAATTGTAGAGCATGTGTGTTTGAACAATATGAAATCTGGGCACCTTGAAAAAAGAACAGGATAACAGCAATGTTTAGGGAACAAGAGAGATAACCTTAAACTCTGACCACTGGTGAGCCAGGCAGAACAGAGCCATATTTCTTTTCTTTCAAAAGCAAATGGGAGAAATATCGCTGAATTCTTTTTCTCAGTAAGGAACATCCCTGGGAAAGAGAATACGCACCTGGGGGGTAGGTCTATAGAAGGCCCCCCTGGGCGTGGCTGTCTTCTATGGTCGAGGCTGTAGGGGTGAAATAGACTCCAGTCTCCCACAGCGCTCCCAGGCTTATTAGGAAGAGGAAATTCCTGCCTAATAAATTTTGGTCAGACCGGTTGCTCTCAAAACCCTGTCTCCTGATAAGATGTTATCAATGACAATGGTGCCCGAAACCTCATTAGCAATTTTAATTTTGCCTCCATCCTGTGGTCCTGTGATCTCGCCCTGCCTCCATTTGCCTTCTGATATTCTATTTACCTTGTGAAGCACGTGATCTCTGTGACCCACACCTATTCGCACACTCCCTCCCCTTTTGAAACTCCCTAATAAAAACTTGCTGGTTTTACGGCTTGTGGGGCATCACGGAACCTACTGACATGTGGTGTCTCCCCTGGATGCCCAGCTTTAAAATTTTTCTTTTGTACTCTGTCCCTTTATTTCTCAAGCCAGCCGACACTTAGGAAAAATAGAAAAGAACCTACATGACTATCGGGGCAGGTTCCCTGATAGCCCACTCCTGCTGGGGCCTCTGAGAAGCCTGCCAAGAGCCTCGGGGTGTTCCCTCCAGAAGACAAGAGCCTGGGGAGACCCCTACGCTGAGAGGAGGGCTGCCCCTCAAGGCAGAAAGCAGCACTGCAACAGCTGTGGGTGGATGGACTTTGGGGGTCCAGGCTGAGCCTCTAGTGTCTGCACGTGGGATGGGAGGCCGGTGTTTGTTGAGACTTGGACAAGTCTTGCAGTGTGGCAAGAGACGATGGCCAGTGTGCAGCAGAGAGCCATGCGGGGGTCAGCTCTCCTCCTACTGAGCCCTCTTCACCTCTCCCAGCCCCTACTGGTGCACTCCCATTTTTGCCTAAGCTGTATGAGTTTGGTTTCCGGAACTTGCACCCAAACTGTCCTTACTGAAGTACAAATGACATTATAAACCCGAAGCCCTGGAGACAAATGTGACCTCCCTTCGCTCTTGCTCTAGAAGCAAGGCCGGGTGGGCTGGGATCCCACCCTCAGAGAACTTAGGTTGTGAAATGCTCCAAGGGGTGCTTTTCTTGAAATTACTGACAACACCTAGTACCTGATGGCCAGTTCCAGATGCTAACAAGATGAAGTCGACCAACTGCTCCTTTTTACCAAACAACTTTTATTTGCATGTGGCTACTTAGTAAATAGTAATCAGTGATCATCCTAGACAGCTGCCAGGCAACAAAAGGAGAGACACATAGAAGCTTTTCAAGGTATCAGGTTGCAAAAAAAAAAAAAAAAAAAAAAGTATCAGAGTGATCAGAAAGTGAGCAGTGAGCAGTAGTGAAGCCAGAATTTTCTTTCCCATGACTCCTGTAGTTCTGTCCCTGTCCCCGCAAACCCCAGGAGGGGAAAAATGTAGATACAAAACTGTAAGGCCTCAAACCAGTTAGGACAAGTCCCTTTCTCGTAATAATTTATTTCATTCCCAATGACAGAAGGCACGTGCAGTTACAGGGCTGTGCCCTATTCGTCTGGGTCAACAGAAGAGCACAGCTTTCTTTAGAAAAACATTTACTTTAAAACCAAGCACCTTGATTTGATATTTTAGTGTGCACAACTTTGCCCGTTGAGGTCCTGGTGAGCCCTTGCCCAACCCCGTGGGCACCACCATTCCGCCAGGCCTCGGAGGGCCACCGGGTGCTTAAGAGAATGTGAGGGGGGTGAGTGCAGGTGGCGCAGCGCGGTTCCTGGGACATGGGTCCTTCACTCCTCGCTGAGATGTTGCGGCAGCCTTTTCTTCCAATGCGGTTGTGGCAGGAGAATCCACGGATGTAATGTTTTCACCTTTTTCCCTGAGGGTGCTTTCTGAGGAACCAGTCCTTAAGAGGTGGGGTCTTGGATTCCTGACCCAGGCGTCCGGCAGCTGCTCAGTTTCCGAGATGTCAGACTCATGGAGGAGCAGGCTATGCCCTTCCCTCCCCATTCCCCACCCCTCAAGCCCCAGGTCTTACTGTATAATGATTTATTTTCCCCACACGTCTACCCTCAAAATTGGCTTCATGCAAATTTCCCTTGAATCCTAATGCTGGAGAGGAAAGGGGAGGGGAAGTGGGAGGGTGGTGGGCAGGGTGGCTTGACCCTGTCAGCCTCCCAGGGAACTCGGGACCACGGCTCCCCAGCACAGGCTGAACAAGTACCAGGAACAAGGTCTATGCATCTGCGTTAGATCTGAAGGCCTTGGCAGCACCTCTTCAATTTTAAGAGAATCAGGCCGGGCGCGGTGGCTCACGCCTGTAATCCCAGCACTTTGGGAGGCCGAGGCGGGCGGATCACGAGGTCAGGAGATCGAGACCATCCTGGCTAATACGGTGAAACCCCATCTCTACTAAAAATACAACTAAATTAGCCGGGCACGGTGGTGGGCGCCTGTAGTCCCGGCTACTCGGGAGGCTGAGGCAGGAGAATGGCGGGAACCCGGGAGGCGGAGCCTGCAGTGAGTGGAGATCGCGTCACTGCACTCCAGCCTTGGAGGAAGAGCGAGACTCCGTCTCAAAAAAAACAAAATAAAACAAACAAAAAAAAGATCAGACTGAGTATTCCCCTAGACCTACTCTAGGGAAGCCCATAGCTGAGGCAAAATCCCCAAACAGACTTGGCATTAGTGGGGCTAGGATTCTCCATTAGTGGAGTGAGGGCTTTGATGTGAGTTGTCTAGAAGAGCAAGTTCATGGTCAGATAATTCCAAGAGACAGTTGTTTTCCCAGGAAAAAGAAAAGCTTCCTCCTATTCAGCAGAGTGAATTTAAATGTCCAAACAAAGTGTGGTGTCATCGCTCAGTCTGCAAGGACGTTCTGTTAATCCCGTGGACGTTTTAGTGGATCTTCCGTTTGTCATCCAGATGGCAAACGTTGGAAGCTGCTTTTGGGGACCAATAATTGGAGCTTTCAAAGAGCATTTCCCCCTTGGCCTGGCGCCTGTGCATCAGTGGTAATAGATGCTGAAGGCATGGAGAATGTAGAGCAGCGTGGCGATGAAGGCGAAGAACTGGAAGGAGGTGGAGAGTGACTGTTAGAGACAGCAGCGCCAGCTCCTGCCCACCCCTCAGGTACCCTCAGCCCCACTGCCCAGGAGGCCACGCATGACCCTGCCTCCTCGCCTCCTGCGTGGCCTGAGGGCAGCAACCCCTGGCCAACAACTCCCTCTTCTGGAAACTCTCCATCAGGGCCTCCCTGGGGCCGTCCTGGTGTCCTGCCCCGACTGCAGTCTCCACCTCATCTGCACCTGGCTGTGAAGCAGGCTCACCTCCACCACAGCTCTGGGCCCATATCCCACGCTGACCTCCTGCCCGAGGCCCGCTCTCCTCTGCCCACCTCCAGCAAATCTGTGTTCTGAACACTCCTACAGCTCCCCTCGCTGGCCCAGAACTCTGCCCTGAGCGGCTGCTTATCAGCTCCTCGTGAATGTTCAGACATCCTCCAGCTCTTCCTGGCTCACACTGAGCCCCTGACGTTTCCTCACAAGCCTGACAAGCCCAGTGGGCCCCAGGGTCCTCCTCTCGCCCCACTCCCTGAGCCTGACCCCTGTGGCCCCTGGCTCCTCCTGCCTCCCTTGCCAGCCATATGCAAAGCCACCCCAAAGGCTACTGATTTCCCTGCCTAGCTCTTGGGACATTCATTTTTCCCTTGTCTCAGCCACCGGCATCCCTCGGCAGGACTCCTCATGGCCTCACTTGTCCACTTCTTCCTGCCCTGCCCCTCGAATCTGCTCCACCATTTGGGCAGGGCAGGCAGAAGTGGACAAGTGAGGACACTTCTCACTCATGGGGAGAACACAATCCCGTTGCCCCACGTTGAAGCTGTATGATGGCTCTGCTCTTTTCTCAGGGTAGGGCCGTCACCTTCAATACCTTTCAGGCCCTGCCAAACATCCCAGCCCCACTCTGCCCCACTGTCCACTCACACGCTCCTCATTCAGTCAGTCAGTCAACAAATATCTTTTAAGGACCTGCTTTCCTTCAAGAGCAACTGTGGGTATAACAGTGAAGAAAATATTCAAAAATTCCTGCCCTCATGGAGCTTACATTTGAGAGATAAGAAGCAGATAGCAGCAAGATAGATGAGTAGCACATACATGGGTTAGATGGAGGTAAATGCCACCCACTGTGGAGTGCACTGTGACCCTCTGGGGTGGCCACAAGATATTTCAGCTGCCTTCTGGCCTGTCTGCCTCCCTTCCCTCCTCATCAGGTGAGTTTAACTTCCTAAACTTGCAAGACCAGCAACGGCCCCTGCAATCCTCCATGGCCAGCTGTCCCAGCTACACCACCCTCCTGGCTGCCCTTGAGCACACAGAGGGTCCTTGGCAGGGGTAACTGCCTGGTGGGACCTTAGCAGGGGTAACTGCCTGGTGGCCCCTGCCTCCTTCTGTCCTCTTGACAGGGCCTTCCCTGATGCCTCCTCCCCTGAGACCTCGACATTCCACTTTCCCCTTCCCTGCTTCATCTCTCAATAGTTCAGCCATGCCGAGGGATGCGGGCCCCATTCCAAAGGCAGTGGGTGCCATTGAAGGATTTTCAGTAGGAGAGAGACATCTGTTCCAATTTGTGTTTTGGAAAAAGAAAATTCTGCAGACAGCGTGGGGGGTGTCTAAGAGAGAGGAAAGCTGGAGTGGGAACAATAGAAGGTAAAAGAGGACCCCTGAACGTGGGTGCACATGTTTACAGGGACACACATCCCTATCCCCTGCCCCCATGGCTCCTTCCACTTGAGGGCTCAGGGTCTATACAGCACAAGCAAAGTTAGGCCTCCTGCACGAAACATCCTCCAGGCAAGACTGCTGTCCTTGGCCAGCCCACTCACCGAGGCTGCCGAATTAATGTAGTAAATTCTTGGGTCCAGCAGTTTCTCAGAAACAATCGTGGCATGTACTTGTAGGACGGCAGCGCTCATGTACAGGATGCCAGTGGTCCCGTGGTACAGGCTGTCCTGGAAATGCAGAGCAGAGCCACGCATGGCCACATCAATCAGGTGAACATTTTCCTCTCTGGCTACATAGCAGTAAAGAATGAGCAAATGAGGCAGGCCAGCCCCCTAGAGTCCTGCCTTTTTTTTTTTTTTTTGCAGTGTGATTTGGTTTGGCTCTGTGTCCCTGCCCAAATCTCATCTCGAATTGTAATCCCCACATGTTGGGGGAGGGACCTGGTGGGAGATGACTGGATTATGGGGGCAGTTTCCCCATGCTGTTCTCGTGATAGTGAGGGAGTTCTCATAAGATCTGATGGTTTAAAAGTGTGACACTTCCCTCTCTCACTCCTGCTGCCATGTAAGGTGTGCCTTGCTTCCCCTTCGCCTTCCACCATGATTGTAAGATTCCTGAGACCTCCCTAGCCATGCAGAACTGTGAGCCAATTAAACCTCTTTTCCTTATAAATTACCCAGCCTCAGGTAGTTCTTTACAGCAGTGTGAGAACAGACTAATACAGAAAATTGGTACCAGGAGTCAGGCACTGCTATAAAGATACCTGAAAATGTGGAAGCAACTTTGGAACTGGATAATGGGCAAAGGTTGGAACAGTTTGGGGTACCCAGAAGAAGACAGGAAGATGTAGGAAAGTTTGGAACTTTCTAGAGACTTGTTGAATGATTCTGACCAAAATGCTGATGGTGATATGGACAATGAAATCCAGGCTGAGGTGGTCTCAGATGGAGATGAGGAACTTATTGGGAACTGGAATAAAGGTCACTCTTGCTATGCTTTAGCAAAGAGACTGGTGGCATTTTACCCCTGTCCTAGAGATCTGTGGCACTCTGAACTTAAAAGAGATGATTTGGGGTATCTGGCAGAAGAAATTTCTAAGCATTGAAGCATTCAAGATGTGACCTGACTTTTCCTGAAAGTGTACAATCATATGCATTCACAAAGAGATGGTCCAAAATTGGAACTTATGTTTAAAAGGGAAGCAGAACATAAAAGTTTGGAAAATTTGCAGCCTGATCATGTGTTAGAAAAGAAAAACATATTTTCTGGGGAGAAATTCAAGCTGTCAGCTGCAGAAATTTTCATGAGTAATGAGGGTCCCCAAGACAAAGGGGACGATATCTCCAGGGCATTTCAGAGATCTTCACAGTAGCCCCTCCCATCACAGGCTCAGAGACCTAGGAGGGAAAAATGGTTTTGTGGGCCAGGCTCAGGGCCCTGTTGCTCTGCACAGTCCTGGAACACAGCACTCTGCAACCCGGCTGCCCCAGCTCCAGCAGCTGGGGGCCAAGGTACAGCTTGGGCCATTGCTTCAGAGTGTGTAAGCCTCAAGCCTTGGCAGCTTACACATGGTGTTGGACCTACAGGCATGCAGAAGGCAAGAATTGAGGTTTAGGAACCTCTGCCATGATTTCAGAGGATGTATGGAAATGACTGGATGTACAGGCAGAGTCTGCTGCAGGGGTGGAGCCCTTATGAAGAACCTCTACTAGGGCAGTGCAGAAGGGACATGTGGGGTCAGACCCCCCACAGAGAGTCCCCACTGTGACACTGGCTAGTACAGCTGTGAGAAGAGCTGTCCTGTAGACCCCAGAATGGTAGGTTCACTGACAGTTTGCACTGGTCACCTTGAAAAAGCACAGACACTCAATGCCAGTTTGTGAAAGCAGCTGCAGGGGCTGTACTGTGAAGAGCCACAGAGGTGGAGCTGCCCAAGGTCTTGGGTGCCCACCCTTTGTAACAGGGTGACTTGAATCTGAGACATGAAGTCAAAGGAGATTTTGGAATGTCGACATTTAATGGCTGCCCAGCTGGGTTTAGGACTTGCATGGGGCCTGTAGCCCCTTTGTTTTGACCAATTTCTCCCATTTGGAATGGGAGCATTTACCCAATGCCTGTACCCTTATTGTGTCTTGGAAGTAACTAACTTGCTTTTTGATTTTACAGGCTCATAGGCAGAAGAGACTTCTCTTGTCTTAGATGAGACTTTGGACTTAAACTTTTGGGTTAATGCTGGAATAAGTTGAAACTTTGGGGGACTGTTGAGAAGGCATGATTGTATTTTTAAATGTGAGAAGGATGAGATTTGGGAGGGGCCAGTGGTATAATGATATGGTTTGGCTCTTTGTCCCCACCCAAATCTCATCTCCTATTGTAATCCACATGTATCAAGGGAGGGACCTGGTGGGAGGTGATTGGATCATGGGGGCAGTTTCCCCTATGCTGTTCTCATGATAGTGAATGAGTTCTCATGGGATCTGATGGTTTAAAAGTATGGCACTTCCCCCTCCCCCATCTCTCCTGCTGCCATGCAAGGCATGCCTTGCTTAGCCTTCACCTTCCACCATGATTGTAAGTTTCCTGAGGCCTCCCTAACCATGAGGAACTAGTCAATTCAACCTCTTTTCTTTATAATTTACCCAGTCTCTGGTTGTTTATAGCAATGTGAGAATAGACTAATACACAGTGTTTTTAATGTAATATCTATGTCGTAAGCAATGGCAGACTAATAAAGATCAGTATATTTCAGTTACGCAAAGTCAATCTTGGTCTGAAATATTAAATGAAAAATTCCAGAAATTAACAATTAAATGTGTGCCTTTCTGAGTACAATGATGAAATCTTGCACTGTCCCGCCCTGTTCCACCTGGGATGTGAATCAGACATTTGTCTAGCATGTCTACACTGTCTGTGCCACCCATGTTAGTCGCTTTGTACTCATCTGGGCTATCAGATCAACTGTTGTGGCACTGCAGTGCTTGCATTCAAAGAATCCTTATTTTACTTCATAATGGCCCCAAATTGCAAGAGTAGTGATGCTGGCAATTTGGATATGCCAAAGAGAAGTCATAGGGTGCTTTCTTTAAGTTAAAAAGTATAAGTTTTCAGCTTAATAAGGAAAGAAAAAAAATATGCTGAGGTTGTTAAGATCTACAGTAAGAATGAATTGTCTATCTGTGAAATTGTGAAGAAGAAAAAAGAAGTGCATGCATAGCAAATTCGGAGTTCAGTACTCTCTGAGGATTCAGGCATCCCCTAGGGGTCTTGGGACTTATCCTCCGGAGATGGGGGACCACTGTATACTGTCTTAGGTATGCTGAGGAATTGTTTACTTCGTATACATGTGATAATGTGAGAAAGTTTGCGGAGTTTTTTTGGAAACATACTGAAGTGTGTGGAATAGAATGGCATGATGTTTGGTGTTTGCTTTAAAATTCCTTAGTGGGGACAAAGGCTAGATGAAACAAATGTGGTAAGGTCTTGATAATGCTGGAATCTGGGTTATGGCTACATGAGGGCCTATAATACAATATTCTGTACTTTTAAATATGTCTTCAATTGTTCAGTGTGGAACAGTTTTAAATGGTTTTTTGAGATGACGTGATAAATAAAAATTAGTGATGTAATATTAAATGAAAGCATCTACATCCAAAATTATTTGTAGAGTACAATTAAAGTATATATATACATATATATACATATATACATATGTATATACGTATATATGTATATATACTTTGCATATAATTCATGTGGGATATGGAAGAAATACCCTGTCGCAGGGATTGTGTTAGGGCCTTGAGAATGGAGTGATTTTTTTCCTACTAGCTTTTTCTTCAGTGTTGCTCCAAGGATTTTACCAGGAAGAAAATTTAGGGGAAACACATCAGAATATGCTTGATCACAGGTCATTGTGTATTCTCCTAACAGGGAAGCCAGTGAAGGGGAATACCAGGAATTATTTACGCTTGCAGATAAATGTCTTCATTTTAGCGTGGTAGTAAAAATGGTAAGATAAAAAGTCTTGGTTCCATAGGAGCCTAGCCCAGGATCCCTCCCTGCCCAGAAAGGCCAATTGTCCTCACCCAACCCAGAACGTCCACCCAGGAAGAGCCATGCTGCTGGTTCTTACCAGAACTCTCCAGGATTCAAATCTTTTGTAAAATCCAAACAAGTAAGACAACAGGAACATCAAGGAGATGAGAAACGAGGTGAGCGAGACATACATCACCCATCCTTGCAGCAAGGGGTATACTATGTGGGTGGCGGCTACCATGGTCCAGACCAAGAACCCAAATATCTGGAAGATAAAAGCATAAAAGAAGGGGCTTCATTAGCTAGTGTGGAGTATGTTTCCCTTTGCAGGGTGTCTCTTTTCTGTCTCTAGTTACAAGTTCAGGTGAAGTTAGGAGGGAACCAAGAGGAAAATGGGGAAGGAAGGCTGGCCCCGCTGAGTCACGGTAAAGTCAGGTCCGATTGTTAGAAAATTCAAGGGGTTAATGCAGAGGTCATGAACAGAGGGACTCTCAGCCAAATCTAGCTTGTGAATGTGTCTTTTGGCTCAAGCAGTATTGGCATATACACTTTTTAAACAATTCTGAATAAGTTCCCAATATTCAAAACAGGATATTTCACATGGAAAATCCAGATTTGGGACATTTCTTTAGAAATCCATGGTTCTGGCCACAGTGTACCCATTTCTCAGGCCAGAGTAGGCTGAAATGAGTAGTGACTATCTCTTTAAAAAGGGCCTGGAGTCCTCAGTGGACCACATCCCCTCACCCCACTAACCTCACACCATGCTGTGGGACATTCCCTGTTGCTCACTGACACTGTGTAATTGTTTACTAATGAGATACAGCTTATTTTTATATATTTGTTAGCCATTAATATTTCCTCCTCTGTAAAGTTTTTTATTTTTTAATCAGTTAAATATTTTAAAATTGATTTTTCTTTTTCTTATTGATTCATAGGAATTCTTGCTAATGGTGTGGATTTCATGGACTGCCATAAACATTGCAAATATATTCTGCTAGCATTCACATATTTTCTGGTTTCCTTTGATTAACTAAGCCCGCAATTTTAATGCAGTTGAATATGTCAATCTTTTCCTCTATTGACTATGTTTTTTATCAAGTTTAAGAAATTCTTCTCACGCACACCAACATGGCACATGTATACATATGTAACAAACATGCACATTGTGCACATGTACCCTAAAACTTAAAGTATAATAATAATAATAATAATAATAATAATAATAATAAAGAAATGCTTCTCTATTTTGAGTCATGAAGATATTCTTGCATTCCAGATTTTCCTCCTGAGATAATTTTCCTTCTTCCTGGAGTGCAACCTTTAGTAGTCTCTTTAGTGAAGGTCAGAGGGTAGTAGTCTGTTTGATTTATTAGAAAACGTCTTTAAATTTCCCCTGACAATTATTTTCTCTCCGCACTTCCAAGATATGTTTCCACTGTGTTGTATATTTTTCCATAATATTCTGTTGTATTCTGGCTTCCATTGTTGCCATTGAAAAGTCAGCTGTCAGTTGAACTCTTGCTTTGTAGGAATCTGTCTTCCTTATTTGGCTATATTTAGTCTTCACTCTGTCTTCGGCATTCTGCAGTTTGTGAAACAGTGATACCATGTGTCGAGATGTGGATATCTTTTTATTACTCCTGCTTAGTATTCATTCTACATTTTAATATCTGAAAATTCCATTCACTTGGCCTTAATAGCTTGATTCTGCAGTTTGTGGCTTCCATTAACTTCTATTCTTGTTCACTTGTTTCCTCTTATGTTTAGTGAATTTTGATTGGAAGCTCATGTCCGTGGAGGTAGCTCAGTTCTGAATGATGTATTAGAAACTTTCTAGACCAAACAACTTCACTCACTTTTTTTTTTCTTGAGAGAGTCTCTCTCTGTCACTCAGGCTGGAGTGCAGAGGTGCAATCATGGCTCACTGCAGCCTCCAACTCCTGAGATCAAATGATCCTCCCACCTCAGCCTCCTAAGTAGCTAGGACTACAGGTACATACTACCACACCTGGCCAATTTTTATTTTATTTTTTGTAGAGACAGGGTCTTGCTGTGTTGCCCAGGTTGGTCTTAAACCCTTGGCCTCAAGCAATCCTCCTAGCTTGGCCTCCCAAAGTGCTGAGATTACAGGCAAGAGCCACTGTGCCCTGCCTTCACACCCTTCTGTATAGCTCAGCCAAAAGATATACAACTTCAGTTCTGCTTTCCGAACTATATCCTTAGCTTTCTGGGACCAGCAGTTCTTATCTTACAACTGGCCAATACATAGACATAGATATGTCACCCTTTCCCTTCTGAGGTTTCCACATGCTGTTGTCTGGCAGTTGTCTTTGGATTTATGGAATATTCACAGTCTTTTAAGGAGAAAAAAGAAAAGGGAGATGAGAAGCCAGAAGAGAACAGGAAGTTGACCACAAGGCAGAGACTCCTCAGCAAGGAGCACAATCATAGCTTTATGGGGTGGGAAAACAACTCCAGCAGCGTGGCCACCTCTTAAAGCACCAGTTCTGGTAGCAAATTCCTCCTTAACAATCAACATCCAAGTGAATTTTGGAAGTCCTAGGCTGGTCTGAGACTGCCGGAGAATGAGTCAAAGCCGGCTTGTCCTAGGGAGGGGGTGGTGAGGAACGGAAGCCGCTGTCCTCTGGCTCCCCCACAACTGTGCTGCTGAGTGTCAATCCCAGTGACAAGGGCTGCTGATGCTTCAGAAAGGTACCAGGCCTCAGCTTTAAGGCGCTTGCCAAGAAGCCATGAGAAGTGCATTAAGATGCTGGCATATGAACAGCACCCAAACAATGCTGGTTATTAGTGGTTCACCAGGTACTTTACAGTTGATAAAATGCATTCACTCAGACTGCCTCATTTAGACCACACAACAATTCTAACTCCCTTGGAAAGACCAGAGAACTACCATTCGACACCTTCCACTGCTTACTGCCAGCTCACCTGTGCCAGGCATGGGGACAGCAAGGGAACCTCAGCCCCATCTTGCCAGTCAGTGCCTGCAGTGGGGTCCCGGTGCCCCTCTTGCCATCAGAAGCTTCCCTGGCCAGACACAGCCATATGCACGTTACTTACATTTGCACATTTAATCTTTGCCACAGTCCATGAGGTAATACTGTACCGGAGGGGATTAGGGCCTGAGGTCACACAGGCAGTGCGTGGTGGGACTCAGACATGGTGTAGGACAGTTGTGGTTCTTGCCCTAAAAACCAGGTTTCAAGGCCAAGGGCAGGGCCAGGTAGAGGCTCCTAGAATATGCCAGAGGGTGGCCTGCTACAGTCCCAGCCAAGGTCTGCCTGGGGCATTAGAGGCCTTGATGGGGACATCACACCTGGAGTCTCAGGGAGCCCATCAGCGGCCTCCTCTCTCTGGGTTCCAGCTATAGCTTAGGGATCCTTGTCCTACCTTTCACAACAGGCCAGGGGCCTCTGAGCATTTGGGAATCTGCTCAAACGTCATGGGAACCTTCCTGCAATGGCTTCAGTGTTGCAGAATCAATGTTCTGCAGAAGAAAGTCACTCACTTCTTATTTCCACACCCCTCTACCTCCTAAACAGGAGGAGGGACCAGAGCCAAGGGCTGCAGGTGGATTGAAACCCAGTAGAGTTCGTGATCTCATTTCTGTCTCAAGTAGTCTAGGTTGGATTCCTTACAGTTGTGAAAACTTTGAGTATTTGTTTTTACTTTTTCTTAAAGCTCATATTTGGCTTTCCAAATTTCCTGGTGGCCTAAACTGCTTTCCCATTTTAATGTTTATTTTTGTATTTCCTCAGAGCGGGAGATATTTTTCAACGGTTGGGGCTGGCCCTCAAAGTTGAGAAATATTTGATTACAGCGAGCCATTTAGAGCAAGTAGATTTCAAGCACAACTTTGGCAGATCCTTTTCTTATAAGCAAACACACACAGTCATATACAAATTTTCCAAGAGGCTGAACTGAAACTTGAAAGGACGTCTTAAGGAAAGATGGAGCTTAACAATAGGTTTTTAAAACCTATTCTTCTCTAGAACATGAAGAGCTCCTTCATGTTTAGAAAGTGGTTAAGAACTAGAATATAATAAAATAAAATTTCCAACTAAAAAAAAATATTGTCAAATTACCATCTTATAACCTGCATTTTAAATTTAACGATGTAGTGTGAACTTTTTTTAACCAATAAATCTAATCGCGTCATCATTTAAAAAAAGAAAAAAAAAAGAACTAGACTATAAGAACTGGGGTAAAAACACCCAGATTGGTGTCCAGGAAGAAAGGGCTGATACCAGGTTTGGAGAGGGAGGTTGAGCCTGGATGTTACCACACCAGATAGTGAGAAAATTTCCAAAGGCTCCTGAGGTCCAGTCAAAAGGACTCAGCAGACTCCTGCTGCCCAAAGATGGGACCGCTTGAGCTTCTTACAGCTATGATGGATTGGAATGCATCAACTAAGGTAAAATCCATGAGTTCAAAATGATACTTAAAACAAAAACTTATTTGGTCACTTTTGGAGGATGCTTATTATTTTGAAAACTGCTTTAAAAGAAAGAGAAGCCGGCAAAAAACGTGGTGTGGGGGCAAAGAGCTTCTCAAATATACGCATACCTGAGCACTACCCTCCGGGCGGCACTCCAAGTCCTGCTACTCCTAGAAGCCTTTGGGGACTTCAAGAAAGCCCCAGGGTCTGGGGTCCTGCCCCAGAGAGTCTGCTTGAACAGGTAAGGGAGGCTGCGTTGTTCCCCAGGTGGGGTGGCCAGGGCTGAGAAAGCTTGAGGCCAGCTCTCTGCTTCTACTCTCACCTCCAGTCCATGCACCATGCAGCGCCTTTCCTCCTGGGTTTGAATCCCAGCTCTGCCTGGTGGGTAGGTCATTTAGCTTGTCTGTGCCTCTGTGTGCCTATCTATCAAATAGAAGAGGTGGGGGTCTCACTGGCCCCTCTATCATCTGGCCCTTGTGAGGGTTTGGTGAGTCTGCTGGCACATGGTGAATGTTGGCTGTAGTAGCCATAACCATTTGGAACGGCACAGAGGGCAGGAAGGGACATTCCATGAGAAAGATACAGAGGAGGGAATGTCCAAGAGAGGCCTCTCTAAAGGATGGGAAATTCACTTTTGGAAAGGAGAGATGGGAGATCAATCAGCTGGGTGGGTGAGATAACATTTAGAGGGCACAGACTCTTCTTATGAGTTGATGATGGCTTTGGTCACCAAGAAAAATGTACCTACACACACACACACACACACACACACACACACAATTTTTGCCTACGAATCTGGGGACTCACAGACCCCCAGTGTCCGTCTGCAACCTCCCAGTTGAAGTCCATTGCCACCTCCAGGTTAAATAACTGTGCCATCAACGACTCTATTATTTTGGCAATATTGATCAAAACATTAAATGCCCATACTGTTCAACTCAGTAATTTCACTTGATGGAATTTGTCCTACAAATGATGCATGTGAGCAAAATGACAAATATAAAAGTTGTTTATTGCAGCCTGTTGATTACAGAAAAGCTAGGAAATGACCCCTTTATCCAGAGGGGACCAGTTAAATCAATTATGTCTGCAAAGTGAAACACTCTGCAATCTTCAAAAACAAAACAAAACAAAAAAAAAAAAAGAGAGAGAAAATTCTATATCCCAAAATGGAACAAACTCCAAGAATTTGTAAAGGCACAGACCAGTGTACCCAGTGTGCTAGGATTTGTGCAGAAAAATAAGAAAATGCATGTGCGAGTGTCTGTGTATATGTGCATTTGTTGTGGGTGAACAGAATACTTCCAGAATGAGACCCAATCAGCCAGTCAGTGCCTTGGTCTCGGGGAAGCAGAACCTCTTGGCTTGGAGACAGTTTTGAATGTAGGACCCTGTTCACGTTTAAACTAACCCCAAACAAATAATATGTAAATTTAAAAAGAAAAGAAAGTCGCGTGGGCACTGGAGTCTCACGGAGAATTCTGAATGGGAAGAGATAAGGAGGATGGCCTTTGGGTAGAGTGGATCTGCTCACCTGCACAGAGCAGCTGGAAGCCCCTCATGGGTGGGAGAGGGGCTGCTGCAGGGGCCGGGATCACACACTGAGGTTCTGAGACAGACGCTGCCTGAGTAATGATGCCCTGGGAACCGTGAAGGATATGTCAAAAAGATGCATGGTCTCAGGTCTGTGTGGCCAGGGCTCTGGGCTGTGGCTGGGAGGTGTGGGTTTGGGGTGGGGCAGACAAGGAGCTGAGAAGGAGGGAGGAGTGCCAGGGGTGGGTACCCTGTGGCAGGTTTTTCTGCATAGCTGGGCATTGCTTCAGCATGGCAGGTTTCACGTACTGCCAACCCCAAATTCCTTTTCTTACTGCGTCTCTTAATTTTTATGACAGCTTTGCCTCTCCTTCTCTTCCCTGGCACTCAGGTGACCACAGGCTTCATAAAGCCTAAAAAACTTCAGGCTGAGAGAAAAAGACCCCAGTCAAGATGGGTGCGGCTCTTGTCATCAGCACACAGGTGAGCCGGGGTCTCCTGGTCCCACCACGGGCCAGGCAGGAATGGGCTCTGCAAAGGACACATGCGGGCGTTGCCCACGGCGGGAACCTGGATGTCCTGAAGGCTCCCTCTGCCATTGTGATATTTCAGGATGAAGGAAAGGATTGTCCCTCGCATTCACGTATGCAGAGTGCATGCTGTTTAAGTCCAGGCTCTCTTGCCTACTAGATACCTCTCTCTCTTTTTAAAAATTGTGGTTAAATACATATAACAAAATCCACCATCTTAACCATTTTTAAGTGTACAGTTCAGTGGCATTCATGTTCATTCACACTGTTGTGCACCCATCACCACCATCCATCTCCAGAGTGCTTTCCATCTTGCAGATCTGAAACTCTGTACCCATTAAACAACAACTCCCCACTCTTCCCTCCCCGCAGTCCCTGGCAACCACCATTCTACTTTCCGTCTACTCTGGGTACCTGATATGAATGGAATCATGCCGTATTTGTCCTTTTGTGACTGCCCTTCTCGCTTAGCATAATGTCCTCAAAGTTCATCTGTGTTGTAGCATGTGTCAGAATTTCCTTCTTTTTCAAGGCTGAATAATATTCCATTGCATATGTGTGTCACAGTTGGTTTATCCACTCATTTGCTTATACGCATTTGGGTTACTTCCACCTTTTGGCTATTGTGAATAATGCTGCTATGACCACGAGTGTCCAAATAGCTCTTTGATGCACACTCCTGAAAAGGAAAAAACAGCTGGGTGCAGTGGCTCACACCTGTAATCCCAGCACTTTGGGAGGCCAAGGTGGGGATCACTCGAGCCCAAGTGTTCAAAAGCAGCCTGGGCAACATGGCAAAACCCTGTCTCTAAAAAAATACAAACATTAGCCAGACACGGTGGCACATGCCTGTAGTCTCAGCTACTCGGGGGGCTGAGATGGGAGGATCACTTGAGCCCGGGAGGCAGACAGCCTTGATTGTGCCACTGCACTTCAGCATGGGTGACAGAGAAAGACCCTGTCTCAAAAAAAAAAATGAAAAACAAGACAAGGCCTACCCTAGGGCTGTGCTTCAGACCCCATCAGGCAGTTGCCATGCAAAATGCCTCAAGAGTCACAGCTCTGTCAAACAGTTGTGCGCATGTTCCTGCCACCATAGCATCCCTTGGGAGTTTGGTTCTGTTCATGCAAAATGAGTGGGAGTTTGGTTCTGAACATGGAGCGCTAAGGGGATCTCGAAAAGGACACCTTACAGCACGAGAACTCAAACAGGAAGGCAGAGCGTCACCTTGCTTGACCTCAGCTGGGAATGTGTGTGCGTGCCTGGCAACTCAAGTTTTTAGCTGCTCTGAGCATGTCAATGACTGTGAAAGTGCCAAGTGTATTAATTTGGGGGTTACAAATACATCTTAGCAAGTAGGTGGATTTGCAAATACAGAATCCAGGAGTTATGAGGGTCCACTGTGTTTTCAGTGTCAAAATTATCTTCCATCAAGTTGATAAAACCTCATTTACTCAATTAGGCCCTAGTCAGGGTATGTAGAGTGTTCTAGCTTTTTCCTGTTACAAATGATGCTGCAGCGAATACCTTGTTGCAGAGAGAGTTCTCTCATTACAAACTGTTTCTGTGGAGTGAGCTCCCCACCTGGGATCTCACCAGTAAGGGGATGTCACTGCCCATGCCATTAGGCTCATCACGTTCCCTACTAGGGATACATACTTGACTTAGTCCTGGTCAACGAGACAGAGGGAAAGTCTACCTGGTGCCTGAGAAGGGGGCACAGGGCACAATGGTCCCTTTCTTGCTCTGGCCATTACTGTGCAGTGGTGAACCTGGAGCTATGAAATGGAGGAGGAGAAAGAGGAAAGGAGCCTGCATCCCAGATGACACGACCGAGCTGCTGACCCAGATCGCAGGACACGAGATAGTGCATTTCCCTTCTGTTAAGGCCAGTCCCAGCCAGCGACAGCCCTTTCACAGCACTGCTGAGGAGCCCCTGGGATTCAAGTCTGTGCGGGTCGCCCATACCCCTCACCCTCTCTTCAAACACTCCACTGCCTCACCTGACTCCCAGGCCAAACTCAGGACACCCACCCTCACCTTTATGCTGGGCTCCCCAAGCCTCCACCACTTCCCCCAGTCCTGGGACTGGCAAACTATGAGTGAGACTCATTCATGGATTGTGACTCCATTTAGTGGATTATCAACCAGCATTAAGAACTGAAGCCAACAGGGCATAATGGCTCACACCTGTAATCCCAGCACTTTGGGAAGCTGAGGTGGGAGGATTGCTTGAGGCTAGGCATTTGAGGCCAGCCTAGGCAACAAAATGAGATACTGTCTCTAGAAAACGTTTCAAAAAATTAAGTGATCACACCTGTAGTCCTAGCTACTTGGAAGGCTGAGTGCGGGGAGGATCCTTTGGGCTCGGGAGTTCGAGGCTGCAGTGAACTATACTTGTACCACTGTACTCCAGCCTGGGTGACAGAGCAAGACTCTGTCCCCCACCCTAAAAAAAAAAAACTTAAGCAGACTAGGATGTAAAGTTTAGGAGCGTTTTGTGTACAGGAAAGGGAAATACTGTTTCCTGGATCTTTTGTTTCACTTACACACACACCCACACCCGCCTGTAGTGTACCAGGTTGCGATGGAAATCTCTCCCTTTTTGTGGATGAGTTTGTGGAAGCCCTTGCTCCAGCGTGCCTTCCTTCCTGCCCACCCCTGGACCATTCCTCCCCTTCACAGCACTGTCCCATGGGTAGGCCACAGCCCAGCACAGGCCCCAGCCTGGCGGCTGCAGCAGGAGCCCCATCCCAGGGCCTGAGGGGCCATGCGGGGGTCTGGGTGGGAGTGGGAGCCGCTGAGGAAGGTGAAGGGAAATGTGGTGAGATGACAGGCCCGCTGTCAGGGAGAGTGGGAGGAGCCCTGGAGTGCCCTACCTCTGTGGGGCTGGAACTCCCTGTATCCGAGCTAGGGTCTTCCACACGCATGCTCCTACCCCAAGTGCCACAGCTGGAGGTCAGGGACCCAGCCAGGCTGTGCTGGGTGCTCCTGGGCAGGGCTCACCTGACTGCAAGTCTCCCTGTGGGTGGCTCAGAGACCCAGGGTCCACCTGGGTGCTGCTTATAGCCCATGAGGCAGCTCCCACCCCCGTGTCACTGGCCCTGCAGCCTCATGAAGCCTGAGCAGCCATCCTTATCTCCTTTGTGCTTCGAATACAGGAGGATGCTGGCTTTAAAAGGCAGAGGGGCATCCTCAGTTACCCAGTAGGGGTGTGGCAGGTCTGTCTCCAGCACCCCAAGAGCACCCTGAAAACAAGTAGCATTGCATGAAAGTTCCACACTCTGCAGTTCAACCTAGCACACTTCCAAACCCTGAGTCACTGCGTCCTGACTCATGGAGGGAGAATTTTCTTTTTCTGTGGCTTTAAGGCTAGCAGGAAATTGCCAGCCCAGGCCCCTAAGGCCTCCAGTGAGGGCCAGGTCTCATCTCCCGCTGGATAACAGTGTTGGCAGGAACTTCCATCCAGCACTGGTGGGAACTCGCGTCCGCAGCTGCTCCTGGCTGAGCAAGTCAGGCGTCCTTGGTACTCATAAGCACTCACTGAATGGGGCTGGCAGTGCGCCCGGCCTCCCTGGGATGGGCGCACCAGAGTGGCAGGAAGTGCAGTCTGGGAGGGGCCCTGAGTCAGGGCCAGGCATCCCCATTCCTGCTTCCTCCTCCCCCAGCACCACGTCCGCCCATTCAGACTGATTGCCTTCACTTTTTACTGACCAAACAGCACAGATTTGCAATGTCACATAAAATTGACTAATGAGAACATTCTTTTCCATCCAAAGTCTAAAGCCCTTTTCCTTCTTGTCTCTTAAAAAAAAAGGAAGAGGACAAAATTAAACACAGCATTTGGGGGGCATATTTTCCCTTTTGACTACCTGTGTACCTTAGAAAAGCACAGAAATGCTGTAAAGCAGCAAGGGGAAGGCATCCTGCTCCCACCGCGGCCCGGTGGCTGGGCTTCCCCACTCTCCCTGGCCCCCTGCCCCAGTGTCCTCTTTCTCACTCTCCCTGTACATTGATTAACTTCATGTTCCTGCCCATGTTCCCCAAAAGAAGTTGCCTGATGATCCCTGGACTCAGGCTCAGGGGAAGTCCCCATACCCTCCTTTCTCCTCAGGAGCCCACAGACATTTTGTGACTAATAACCTGCCCTTCATTAGGCACCGGGTCACTTAGTTCTGGTTGATGGATTGCCTGCTTGGCTCTCCCCAGCTGATCCCCAGTCTATCTATGACTAGACCCTGAAAGGCAGGGACCAGACCATGTCACCTCCTCCAGGAAGCCACCCTTGACTACCAAGTCCCCCAGCATACCTCCCCTAGGATCACTCTCCACTGTCATTGTCTCTCTTTTCTCTTCCCTGCCTCCTGTTGAAACTCTGAGCTCCTGGAGGCAGGACTGTGTGCCCTGAGGTCTCTGTCCCTGGAGTACAGCATGGAGCCTGGCATAAAGCAAGTGCTTGGTACATGTCACTGACTCACTTGAGAAAGGAGGAGGGGGTTGCTGGACACACCACTCACTAGCTGCTCACAGCCTCAGATTCCTGGGACAGACGCCCATGGAAGTGGCATCGCCTGCCGCCTTCTGGGCCTTCCACTGTGGCCTAGCCACAGACCGGCATTCCTGCCAGGAGCCTGAACCAAATGGAGACAGACGTGTATTTGTTTCATCCTCACCTATTTCCTGCTCCATCACCTCCCAGGCCCCAGAAATTCTCACAGTAGGGTAGGGAGCAACTGTCCCTCAGGATTCCCTGGGAAGGCTTTTCCCACCACCCTGCCTCCTCCCTGACCCCATCGGCACCCCTTGTCATCCTGAGATGCCCCACCACCCTGGTACATAGGACAGACTACTAAAAAATGTGCTGTCAGAAAGGACAGTGCTCAAATAAATACACATCCCCCTCCATACCTCCCCCAACATCACTGGGGCAGAAAGAGTCCAGATGGGCAGTGTTGGAGGGAGGCTGGTGGGGGTATCTGTGAATAGTGCTGAAGTAGAAAAGCAAAGCTCAAAGAATCCAGTCTTCTTTGAAAGAGGTCTGAAGACTCTGGAGTCCCAGACTCATGATATCCGGCCCCTCTGGATGGGGATCCCACTGAGACTGTACTCTGGGACCCCGCTGGTATCTTCTAGGGACAGTTTGTGGCCAGGGGACAGGAAGTGGTGCCATGGGGAGCTAGTGCTGTGGAACGCGGTACAAGGGCTGGCCCTGTCCAATGGAGTGGGGCCTGTGTGGGGCCTGAGCAGCCATCCATTCTGGCTGAGATGGGGGAGCTTGACCAGGTGGTGACTGAGGGACAGGCTGGTCTCTTCAGGAGGCAAAGGGGGCCCGAGGCTAGGGGCTGGCTGGCAGGGATGGACGAGGCAGGGGAGGGGCTGGAAAGAGATGAGGGGGCAAAGGTCAGGGTGCTCGAGCTCCTCCGCACTAGGGCCCTTTGCCCTGAGTGTTGCCAATCTGGACAACACTCTAGGAGCCTCTCCTGACTCCCACAGATCTGCCCCGCCCAGGGGAAAGTTCTTCAGGGAGACAGCTCCTGGGAATGGCGGAGAGAGCCAGCACTTCTACTGGCAAGGCTCCTTATCTAGGGCTCGCCCTGGGTCCAGTGGGTCAGACTGCCCGGGGCCTCTCTGTTAGACTCCATGCCAGCAGCCGGTGGCTCCTTCAGAGCAGCCGTCAAGTCTGTGGACCCCTCCGGGTGGGCTGGCCTTCTGACAGTGTGCTTGGTTGCCTGTCTTGGCCAAGTTGAAAGAGACCACTGGTTCAGGGACGGCTGCTCATGGTCCTGCTGGACGGCCAGGGAAAGACCAGGGCTGGAAGTTCAGACAGGGGCCGGAGTGGCCAGGGATGCGGGGCCAGGCCAGGTGGTTCCCAGCATCTCTCTGCTGTGTGGTGTGGGCTCCCTCGGTGGCTGATTCCTTGCTAGGTTCTGGCAGGGGAGGACTTGGAGGGAGGCTGGGATGTTAGGAGAGAAGTGGGGGCTTCCTGCTGCCTTTTCCAGGCCTTGCCATTGTCTCTCCAGAATCAGCAGCAGCAGCTGGAGATGAGGGTCCCAGTGCCCTTTCTTTAGGGTGACCACTGTCTCCCAGCACCCCCACACTGGTCTGAGCACTGGCAAGACAGAGACAGCTTCATCTATAGGTTTGAGCATCAGCATCGCTGCCCCTCTGTCCCTGATTCTGGGGTTGGGCAGCAGGCACTGTGAGCACTTATTATTCTCTGGATTGTTCAGTGACCCCTTTCTGTTCATCGAGCCTTCCAACGACTGTGTCAACAAGTCCTTGTATTGAATCCCCTCTGTGTGAAGCACCTATCATGGTTTCTGTTTCCTACTGGACCGTGACAGGCACAGCGCCTTTACAGATTTCCTTGGCTGTTCTCCACCGCCCTCATTACGCATCAGGCTCCATAGGCAGGGGCCATGTCTGTCTTGTTTATTTTGTATCGCCAGTGCTTGGCAGAGAGAGAGTAGGTGCTCAGCTTGAATGAATACTTGGAATTTAAGTGGGAGACTTAAGTCTTTATGTACCCTGACTTTATATATTTGTTAACTTCCTGGTCCTAGGCAGTCCTAATCTGAACAAGAAAATGCGTCACCCATCAATCCAAGCCCTCCAAGAATGTCAAGCTCCTCCTTGAATCATCTTGTCCTGACACCACCTGGCTCCCAGGGCCTCTGGGCAGCTGTGGCTGTGCAGCCCCTGCTTTTCACCTGTCTCCTGTCCTGGAGTGCTCGTTGCATCTTCAGTGTGTTAGTTGCACCACTCCTTTAAGAGAGGCTCATGCCTTACCTTATCCCCTCAATGACTGTCTTATTTTTGTATGCCCCTAAGAGCAGAGCATGGGGCTAGAGTGGCAGTAGTGTTTCAATAAACACTTGTTGACTTACAATTGTTACTTGTCTTACAATGCGCTTTCTAGTAAGAGGTCCAATGACCGCCAATGCTAAAGTAGTATGGGCTGGCATTATGGAGCACTCACTCACCATGTCCTGACATTTCCTATGAAGTCCACATTCAAACCCCACAGCTGTCTTATAGGATCCTTGTTTCTCTTTATTGTTACTCTTTCCATTGTTGATGAAACTGCGGCTGAGAGTGATGAAGTAACCTGCCCAGGGTCTCACAGCAATGAAGAAGCAGAGCCAGACTTTAGGCCCCATCCTGACTGACTCTATTTTACTGAACCTGAATACACAGTGCCCTCCCAGAGTAGGGGCTGGGCCTGGCCAAGGGGCCAAGGTGGCCACAGGCAGTGTGGGGAGGTTCACATCCAACTCCTGTCCCATGGCCCTTTTCATCTTCTCTCCTGGGAGGTCTTGCTCTTCCCCAGCCCAAGGCCTTCCCTTTCCTCATGTTCTCCCGTCCTTGTTTTCCAGGGGACATCCTTGGCCATTATTCCAACGGGACCCCATGGTCCCACGGGCACAGAGGTTGGTGGCTCCCATGTCCTGCAGGAGAACAGAAGAGAAGGGTGCTGCCCTGTGGGAGCCAGACCAAGGACAGGAAGACGCCACATGGCAGTGAGGGGAGTGAAGGGAGGGACAGAGACAGAAAGGCTGAAGCATGAAAAGAAAATTATAAAATAAACTGGGGTAAATTGAGTTAACTTTGCTGCTCCTGGAAGTATGGAGAACTGACAGGGGAGCAGAGGAAAGCAAGGGAGATGATTTCTCCTCCTGGAAAACTCAACTTCTAAGGCACAGTTGGAAGGAAGGGGAAGATGCCTGCCTTAAGGTCAGGCCTAAGAGGAGCCCTAATTTCTTCTCCCAGCCCCACCCATTCACTTTCAGTCCACAGAGAGTTGGCCCTAGGGGGCTCCCGGGAAGCCCCTGGCTTCAGTGAGCTTCAGACAGGCTCTTCCATATAAACAGAGTAGAAGCAGCAGCAGGTTGGAATGAAGGTGGTACTGGCCATTTGGGTAAGACATACAATGAACTTGCCGAACTGGAAGAGCTCAGGATGAACTTCTAAGGGCTCAGAGGATTTATCTCTGACTAATGTGCTGGTGAGTTAAGCAGCTGAAAGGAAAACATCTAACATCAAACAAAGAGTTTGCATGGTCTCCGCTTTTAACTTTCTGAACCTCTAGAAATCTTAGCTGTTTGTTTTAAACTAGTCAAAAATCTCATAAGTCAACTAGTGACAAGGTTGACAGTTAAAATAATTTATTGGAGTCATAGTCATAAAGCATTTCCTTGTTCACAGTCACCCTGGGTGAGCTTGCAGCTTCCACCCTTCGGCTTATAAAATTCAGCTTATAAAAAAGCTGATGAGTCACCTCGTATCATACAGGTAATGGCATGGTCAGCCCCCAGCACCCGCAGACAGCTGGCTCCAGAGCAGGGCACGGGTGTGAGCCGCACCCACCCCAGGCTCCCCCAAGGCACACACACTTGCTACATGAAGGAGAGAGAAAATAAATGGATGTCTGTTCTCATCTTAAAATTCACCCATTCAAACCTTTTTTGCACTTGGAGATTATGTTTCAAAATTAATATTGTCTTTAAATAAGAAATCTAAATTCACCAGTAAACTACATAAAACATGAACTTTACTGATAAAGTTTCATCAATCACTAGTGGGGATGTAAAACACAGAAGTTATTCTCCAGCCACTCTGGAAAATAGTTTGTCAGTTTCTTAATAAAGCGTACACTTACTACACCACCCAGCAATCATACGGGGGCATTTTCCCTGGAGAACTGAGCATTACCCCCACACAAAAGCCTGCACACAAGTTTTCACAGCAGCTTTATTTGGAACGGCCAAGAACTGGAAACAGGCAAACTGTTTCTCAATAGGTGGATGGTTAAACAAATGACGGCAAAGCCAGACCACGGAACGCTACTTAGCAGTAAGAAGGAAGGAGCTATTGACATAGGCCACAGCTTGGATGGTGCTCAAGAGCATTAGGCTGAGTGGAAGAAGCCAACCTCAAAGACCCATATACTGTGTGATTTCATGTATTTATATAACTTTCTGGAAATAACAAAATTGTAGGAATGAAATTTGTGGTTTTCAGGGGTTTGTTCAGGAGGGGGTGAGGGAGGGCAGGGTAGGGGGTGCACCCTGAAAGGGTAGCACGAGGGAGCTCTTTGTGGTGAGTGGCAGTCCTGTGCCTTGATGCAGTGGTGATTCCCTGAATCTACACATGTGAGAAAAGTGGAGCCCCCAAGTACCAAGGGCAGCTTCTGGGCTCTGATACTGTACTACTGTTAGGAAAGATGCAGCCACCGGGGGAAGCTGGGGAGGAGGATAGCCTGGGGCAAGTTTTCAAACCCATCTTGCCCTCCACCTAGAAACAGACTTGGGGCTGCTGGGGGGTACACAGAGGGAGTGAGACTGGCCATTTGGTTTGTGTGGGAGCTGGGTGAGGCCTGTAACTGCCAGCTTTCCCCCACTTCCCTGACAACCTGCATGACCCAGCAGAAGCAGCCATAATCTTCCTAAGTGCACAACTCCAGTAACTTGGGAATCTCACCTTTACCCCTCACAGCAGCAACAGCAAGACCCACCCAAGGAGAGTCTGAGCTCATACATGCCTAGCCCTGCCCCTATCTGATGGTCCTTCCCTATCCACTCTGGTGGAAGACAAAGGGCATATAATCTTGGGAGTTCTAGGGCTCCACCCAACACTGGTCCCTCTCCATACTACTACAGCTGCTGCTTTTTGGAAAGTGTCACCTCCTGGCAGGGGGCCAACCAGCACAAAAATAGACCATTAAACCACCAAAGCTAAAGACCCTCACAGAGTCCACTGCACCCTCTGCCACCTCCACCAGAACAGGCACTGATATCCATGGCTGAGAGACCCATAGACATTCCACATGACAGTACTCTGTGCAGACAATCCAGAGTACCAGCCCAGAGCCAGGTAAATTCGCTGGGTGGCTAGATCCAGAAGAGAGACAACAATCACTGCAGTTTGGCTCACAGGAAGCCACATCCATAGGAAAAGGGGAAGAATACTACATCAGGGGAACACCCTGTAGGACAAAAGAATCTGAACAGCCTTCAGCCCTAGACCTTCACTCTGACAGAGCCTATGCAAATGAGAAGGAACCAGAAAACCAGCCCTGGTAATATGACGAAACAAGGATCTTCAATACCCCCCAAAATCACACTAGTTCACCAGTAATGGATCCAAACCAAGAAGAAATCCCTGATTCACCTGAAAAAGAATTCAAGAGATTAGTTATTAAGCTAATCAGGGAGGGACCAGAAAAATGTGAAGCCCAATGCAAAGGAAGTCCAAAAAATGATACAAGAAGTGAAGGGAGAAATATTCATGGAAATAGATAGCTTAAAGAAAAAACAGTCAAAAATTCAGGAAACTTTGGACACACTTTTAGAAATGTGAAATACTCTGGGAAATCTCAGCAATTGAATTTAACAAGTGGAAGAAAGAAATTCAGAGCTCAAAGACAAGGTCTTTGAATTATTAACCCAATCCAACAAAGACAAAGAAAAAAAAAAAGAAAATATGAGCAAAGCCTCCAAGAAGTCTGGGTTTATGTTAAACGACCAAGCCTAAGAATAACTGGCGTACCTGAGGAAGAAGAGAATTCTAAAAGCCTGGAAAACATATTTGGAGGAATGATCAAGGAAAACTTTCCTGACCTTGTGAGAGACCTAGACAGCCAAATATAAGAAGCACAAAGAACACCTGGGAAATTCATCACAAAAAGATCTTTGCCTAGGCACATTGTCATCAGGTTATCCAAAGTTAAGACGAAGAAAAGGCTCTTAAGAGCTGTGAGACAAAAGCACCAGGTAATCTATAAAGGAAAAGCTATCAGATTAGCAGCAGATTTCTCAGCAGAAACCCTACAACCTAGAAGAGACTGCGGACCTATCTTCAGCCTCCTCAAACAAAACAATTATCAGCCAAGAATTTCATATCTAGCAAAACTAAGCATCATATATGGAGGAAGGATATAGTCGTTTTCAGACAAACAAATGCTGAGAGAATTTGCCATTACCAAAACACCACTACAACAACTGCTAAAAGAAGCTCTAAATCTTGAAACAAATCCTGGAAACACATCAAAACAGAACCTCTTTAAAGCATAAATCACAAAGGACCTATAAAACAAAAATACAAATTAAAAAGCAAAAACATAACCAAAGTAGACAGGCAACAAAGAGCATGATGAATGCAATGGTACCTCACATTCCAATACTAACATTGAATGTAAATGGCCTAAATGATCCACTTAAAAGACACAAAACCACAGAATGGATAAGAACTCACCAACCCTCTGCTGCCTTCAGGAGACTCACCTAACACATAAGGACTCAAATAAACTTAAAGTAAAAGGGTGGAAAAAGGTACTTCATGCAAATGGACACCAAAAGCAAGCAGGGGTAGCTATTCTTATATCAGATAAAACAAACTTTAAAGCATTATCAGTTAAAAGAGACAAAGAGGGACAGTATATAACGGTAAAAGGCCTTGTCCGACAGAAAAATTTCACAATCCTAAACATACATGCTGCTAACACTGGAGGTCCCAAATTTATAAAACAATTACTAATAGACCTAAGAAATGAGATAGAAAGCAACACAATAATAGTGGGGGACTTCAATACTCCACTGACAGCACTAGACAGGCCATCATGACAGAAAGTCAATGAAGAAACAATGGATTTAAACTACCTTGGAACAAACGGACTTAACAGAAATGAAACAGGAGATATTACAACTGACAGAACATTTCATCCAACAACTGCAGAATACACATTCTATACAACAGCACATGGAACTTTCTCTAAGATAGACCATATGCTAGACCATAAAATGAGACTTGATAAATTTAAGAAAATTGAAATTATATCAAGCACTCTGTCAGACCACAGTAGAATAAAACTGGAAATCAACTCCAAAAGGAATCTTCAAAACCATTCAAATACATGGAAATTAAATAACCTGCTTCTGAAAGCATTGAGTCAAAAACAAAATCAAGAAGGAAATTTAAAAATTCTTCAAACTGAATGACAATAATGACACAACTTATCAAAACCTCTGGTATATAGCAAAGGCAGTGTTAAGAGGAAAGTTCATAGCCCTAAACACCTACATCAAAAAGTCTGAAAGAGCACAAACAGAAAATCTAAGGTCACACCTCAAGGAACTAGAGAATCAAGAACAAACCAAATCCTAACCCGCAGAAGAAAGGAAATAACCAAGATCAGAGCAGAACTAAATGAAATTGAAACCAAAAAAACCCATGAAAGATAAATGAAATAAAAAGCTGTTTCTTTGAAAAGATAAATAAAATTAATAGACCATTAGCAAGATTAACCAAGGAAAGAAGAGAGAAAATCCAAATAACCTCACTAAGAAACGAAACAGGAGATATTACAACTGACACCACCAAAATACAAAAGATCATTCAAGGCTGCTAGGAACACCTTTACACACATAAACTAGAAAACCTAGAGGAGAAGGATAAATTCCTGGAAAAATACAACCCTCCTAGCTTAAATCAGGAAGAATTAGATACACTAAACAGATCAATAACAAGCTGCAAGATTGAAATGGTAATTTAAAAATTACCAACAAAAAAAGTCCAAGAACGGATGGATTCGCACCAGAATTCTACCAGACATTCAAAGAAGAATTGGTACCAATCCTTTTGACATTATTCCACAAGATAGAGAATGAAGGAACCCTCCCTAATTCATTCTATGAAGCCAGCATCACCCTAATATCAAAACCAGGAAAGGACGTAACCAAAAAAGAAAACTACAGACTGATGTCTTTGATGAACATAGATGCTAAAATCCTTAACAAAATACTAGCTAACTGAATCCAACAATGTATCAAAAAGATAACCCACCATGATCAAGTGAGTTTCATACCAGAGATGCAAGGATGGTTTAACATATGCAAGTCAATAAATGTGATACACCACATAAACAGAATTTAAAACAAAAATCACATGATCATTTCAATAGATGCAGAAAAAACATTTGAAAAAATCCAGCATTGCTTTATTGTCAAAACTCTCAGCAAAATCGGCATACAAGGGACATATCTTAATGTAATAAAAGCCATCTATGACAAACCCACAGCCAACGTAATACTGAATGGCGAAAAGTTGAAAGCATTCCCTCTGAGAACTGAAACAAGACAAGGATGCCCACTCTCACCACTCCTCTTCACCATAGTACTGGAAGTCCTAGCCAGAGCAATCAGACAAGAGAAAGAAATAAAGGGCATCCAAATCAGTAAAGAGGAAGTCAAACTGTCACTGTTTGCTGACGATATGATCGTTTAACTTGAAAACTCTAAGGACTCTTCCAGAAAGCTCCTAGAACTGATAAAAGAATTCAGCAAAAGTTTCTGGATACAAGATTAATGTACACAAATCAGTAGCTTTTCTATACACCAACAGCGACCAAGCAGAGAATCAAATCAAGAGCTCAACCCCTTTCATGATAGCTGCAAAAAATAATAATAGTAATAATAAAATACTTAGGAATATACATAACAAAGGAGTTGAAAGACCTCTACAAGGAAAACTATAAAACACTGCTGAAAGAAATCACAGATGACACAAACAAACGGAAACACATCTCATGCTCATGGATGGGTAGAATCAATGTTGTGAAAATAACCATATTGCCAAAAGCAATCTACAAATTCAATGCAATCCCCATCAGAATACCACCATCATTCTTCACAGAATTAGAAAAAAAAATTCTAAAATTCATATGGAACAAAAAAGAGCCCACATAACCAAAGCAAGACTAAGCAAAAAGAACAAATCTGGAGGCATCACACTACCTGATTTCAAACTATACTATAAGGCCATAGTCACCAAAACAGCATGATACTGGTATAAAAATAGGCACATAGACCAACGGAACAGAATAGAGAACCCAGAAATAAACCCAAATACTTACAGCCAACTGATCTTTGACAAAGCAAACAAAAACATAATGTGGGGAAAGGACATCCTTTTGAATAAATGGTGCTGGGATAATTGGCTACCCACATGTAGGGGATTGAAACTGGATCCTCATCTCTCACCTTATACAAAAACCAACTCAAGATGGATTAAGGACTTAAACTTAAGACCTGAAATTACAAAAATTCTAGAAGATAACATTGGCAAAACCCTTCTAGACATTGGCTTAGGCAAGGATTTCATGACCAAGAACCCAAGAGCAAATGCAATGAAAGCAAAGATAAATAGCTGGGACCTAATTAAACTACAGAGCTTTTGCACAGCAAAAGGAACAGACAGCAGAGTAAACAGATAACCCACAGAGTGGGAGAAAATCTTCGCAATCTGTACATCTGACAAAGGTCTAATATTCAGAATCTACAAGGAAGTCAAACAAATCAGTAAGAAAAAAACAAACAATCCCATCAAAAAGTGGGCCAAGGACATGAATAGACAATTCTCAAAAGAAGATATACAAATGGCCAACAAACATGAAAAAATGCTCAACATCACTAATGATCAGGGAAATGGAAATTAAAACCACATTGTGAAACCACCTTACTCCTGCAAGAATGGCCATAATCAAAAAATCAAAAAAAAAATAGATGTTGGTGTGGATGTGGTGAACAGGAAACACTTCTACCCTTCTGGTGGGAATGTAAACTAGTACATCCACTATGGAAAACAGTGTGGAGTTTCCTTAAAGAACTAAAAGTAGAACTACCATTTGATCCAGCAATCACACTACTCAGTATCAATCCAGAGGAAAAGAAGTCATTATTCAAAAAAGATACTTGCACACACATGTTTATAGCAGCACAATTCACAATTGTGAAATTGTGTAACCAACTCAAATGCCCATCAATCAATGGGTAGATAAAGAAACTGTGATATATATATATATGTATATATATAAATATATACATATATATGATGGAATACTATGCAGCCACAAAAAGGAATGAATTAACAGCATTCGCACTGACCTGGATGAGCTCGGAGACTATGATTCTAAGTGAAGTAACTCAGGAATGGAAAACCAAACATCGTATGTTCTCACTGATATGTGGGAGCTAAGCTATAAGGACACAAAGGCATAAGAATGATACAGTGGACTTTGGGGACTTGGGGAGAAGAGTGGGAGAGGAGTGAGGGATAAAAGACTACAAATATGGGCCAGGCACGGTGGCTCACGCCTGTAATCTCAGCACTTTGGGAGGCCGAGGCAGGCGGATCACGAGGTCAGGAGTTAGACCATCCTGGCTAACACAGTGAAACCCCGTCTCTACTAAAAATACAAAAAAAAAATTAGCTGGGCATGGTGGGGGCACCTGTAGTCCCAGCTACTCGGGAGGCTGAGGCAGGAGAATGGCATGAACCCGGGAGGTGGAGCTTGCAGTGAGCCAAGATCGCGCCACTGCACTCCAGCCTGGACGACAGCGAGACTCTGTCTCAAAAAAAAAAAAAAAAAAAAAAAAAGACTACAAATGTAGTGCAGTGTATACATGGATGATGAGTGCACCAAAATCTTACAAATCACCACTAAAGAACTTACTAATGTAACCAAATACCACCTGTACCCCAATAATTTATGGAAAAATAAATTTTTCAAAAGCACAAAAAAAGAAAAAAACCTAATCAGTACTCTTCAGAAGTGTCAAGATAAGGACCCAGATTTTCCCAAATTAAAGGAGATGAAGGAGATACGGCAACTAAGTGCCATGTGGGATCCTGGACCAGAAAAAGGACATTAGTGAGAAAATTAGCAAAACTGGAGTAAGGTTTATAGAGTACTTGATAGCACAGTATCAGTGTTAGTTTCCTGATTTCAAGAGTTGTACCACGGAAGATGCAGGCATTACCAGCAGCTGAGGGAAGAGTACACAGAACTTTCTCTACTATTATTGCAGCTTTACTGTAAATCTCACGTTACTTAACAGTACAAATAAATGAAGAAAATTGGGCCAATGTGAATTTTGATTGTCATTGAGCCCCTCACCCCCCACAACACGTAAGGCCCCAGAGCCCAACACCAGCGTGCACTTTGCTCTTCCAGGAGTTTCACTGGCAGGAGCAGGGCAGGTGCGGCCAACATGACCTCTCATGTTTCTCACCCTGGGTGCTGTCCTGGTTCCAGAAACTCCGTGCCTCTAGCCTCCTTCCAGGACTTCTCCCCTGGCCTCTAGGCCTTTCCCTCTCTTTCCCCCCAGCCTGTAAATGCCTGTTCTTTGAGGTCCAACTCTTGGTGGCAGGCCTGGACCCCTCCTTGGCCTGGAGAGTTCAGATGGTCCCTCCTTGCTGAGGCCACCATCCACTTGTTGGGAGGAAATGCTCATGAGTCTCTTCCCGGCAGACAGGAAACCACCAGGAGGCAGTGCCCTGTCACCAGGGGCTTGCAGGACTGACATGAACCACAGGCTCAATAAAAAGAGGCAGAGTCAACCAGTACCCCAGCCACCCATGCAGCTGCTCCAAGGTGAGGGGCACACCCAGGGCCTGGCACGTAGGACTCATCAGAGCACGGTTATGTCATCAGTCTGGCAGGATGCCCACGCTGTGCTGGGGATGGTAGCCTTGGCAGAAACCTGCCTCTTAGGTGGGGTTTCAGCTGGAGCCACTCAGATCCTAGGCCCACCCTGCCTGATTCTCTTTCTGGTCGCCATCAATGGCTAACCCGTTCGCCAGTTTGCCTAAAAGTGGCTTGAGGGGGCCCAACTTTGCAAGCAGAAGACGAGAATGAGAAGGGCTGAAAAGTAGATGCACTTTCTATCTTTTCCCCCCTGCTCAGGGACAGCACTGCCAAATTCAGGGCAGGTAAGAAAATACCACCCACAAGCTAGATACTTCAGAAGGTGCTGGAAAAAGAAAACACTCCTTTGCCTTGATTGGACCCCAGGCTTGACTGTGCTCCTCCGTGAAGAGGATGTGGTACCAGCCAGTTCCGAGGGAACTTGTGCAGTGCGGAACGCTGCATACGCACAGCTCTGCAGATGGGAGCAGGCAGGATCCCCAGGGATCAGGGCCACGACTCAGTCGTAGGGCGCCCCAGAGAGTAACACAGCGACAGGTTCTCATTTGCAACCAGGGTGCCGCACACGACTGTTTTATGGCAGATGTTGCCATAGCTACCTGGTGTGGGAGACCCCACAAAAGTCAAAGTTCAAAGTCAGCGGACGTGACAATTAAGAAAACACTGGAAGACCTACTCTCAGAGGGAAACACAGTCTCCTCACTTCAAACCAGAAAGGCACAAATAGTTGGACAAAAGAAGCCGCGTAATTAAAATTCATGTGCAACATCTCCCTGGGAAGCCTGGATATTTTAGCGACGTCCCCCCAGGCCTCCACACTCAAGTGGGTTTTGTTTTGGAGGGAGGAACCCCCTTGGCGGCATAAGACGGGGCACCGAGTGGCATCTGCCTCTTGAGTACAGCTGCGCCCCGCTGTGCGCCCGGTGGGAGGCTGGCAGCCACCGCAGCCCCTGTGCTCGCTCCCCGCTCTCGGTCCGGTCTGGGTCTCTCTCGGCGCGGTCCGGTCTGGGTCCGAGGCCGGTCTCCCCCCCCCTCTCTGCAGGTGGCCCCTGTGCTTGCTGCCCCTCTCTCTTCTCGGTCCGGTCTGGGTCTCTCTCTTCTCGGTCCGGTCTGGGTCCGAGGCCGGTCTCCCCCTCCCTCTCTGCAGGTGGCCCGGGTCGGGGGTGCCGCACTCACCAGCTCGGGCAGGAAGAAGGCGAAAGGGATGGTGAGGAACAGCGCGACCCCCGAGGGCACGTCGGACGGGGCGTAGCTGGTGGCGGGCGGGTCGGGCGAGGCCATGCTGTCAGCCCCTGCCGGGTGCTCCGCGGCAGCTCGCCCGCGCGCAGCCTGTCAAATATCACCTCCTGCCCGACACACCCATCGGACGTCGCCTGGGAGGGAAAAAAAAAAAAAACGTTCCAGCCGAGCAGGTCCTTCCACTCGCTGCAGCCAGCAGATCCTCAGTGGGCGGCCCAGCGGCATCGGATGGCTCTGCCTGGCCGGCGGGGGGCACAGCGCTGGTGCAGGAGGGAGCAGAGCGGGAGTCTCCTCCTAGACCTTTCCAGCTAAGGAATCTTTGACCCCCGGAGCATGTTATTCCAGGGGATGCCAGCGACAGCCACTCCCCTGGGCCCAGAGTGTAGGCCCAAGCTGCTTGGCTACGAGGGCTGCGTACTGAGGACCAACAATGAGCCAAGCTATCTGCAGACAGCCCGGGTGCCCACCACGGCCTGCACGTGGCTGTTTTGCCCTTTTCCAAGTGAGGAGACTGAGAATCAGTGAGGTCAAGTCAAGACCACAGAGCTGGTTACTAACAATGCTGGGTCTTGCCCAGCTCCCTCCTTTTCCACTCTTGGGGACAGCTCTCAGTCCCCAGCCTCCCCTGGGAGGAGCAGCCCTCCCTTCCAGCTCATGCCCCTGGGACTTGGTGTTTCCTTCTTTTTCTGGATCCCTTTCCATGGTCCTCCACTCCTCTTTTCCTCATGGGGCAGATGAAGGCCCCCCAGTCTCTGGGAGAGGACCACACCGGCAGGCACCAGAGAAGGGCTGGGCTGGCTGGCTGCTGCCTCTAGTGGACAACCTCCTTCCTTCCCTGGCCTTCCTTCCAGCCAGTGCCTTGCCCCTAACTGGGCTTGAGACCAAGAAGTTTCTTCCTGACTCCTAGGCAAGTCAGGGAGCTGAATGCAGGGCTGTGACCCAGAGGCAAGCAACTCCTTTCACACCAAATACAAGTCCCAAAGGCTGAACCATTTTCCCCTCCACCTTTGAATTGGCGAACCTTCATTTTCCCGACCCGCCCTGAAACAGTCTGCTCAGGATGCTCCAGGTTAGGGTCCCTTCTTCCTGCCCCCTGCTGCTCCCTGGTGTGGAGAGCATGTGGGGAAGATTGTGTGAGGGCTGGAGTAATTAGAAGAGGCCATGTCTTGATCTCATTAGCAGAAACGGTGAATGCCAGGTCCTGCCCTCAGGGCCACAGGTGGGGAGACCAGCCAGCTTGGCCTTTGCCTGGTCTGGGGAGAGCCAAGGGAGAGAGGAGTTTGGACAAATGAAGCTAAGACCAAAGGCATTGCAAAGAAAGGCAATGAACCCCCCAGTGGATCTCAAACCAGACTGATCATCCCTTTTTCCCAGGCTACGGAAACTAGGAAGTAAGGGAGACCCTAATCCCACCTGCCAACCCCAGTCTCACCTACACCACCTTGTTTACAGGATTAATCCAAGCAAAGGAGAGATTTCTCCATGAATCCCACATCTTGCCACCTCTCTTAAAGGTTGCAAATAAGCACTGTGCCACTCTTACAGGCTGTAGGATACCTTTGACTTGCCCATGGACAACATGGCATAGTAGGAAAAGTTTAAGTAAGAAGAAAAACAACCTTCTTAGGCTCATATCTATGAAATGGAGAAAATAATACAACCCATAACCCCTTAGTCTCTTAAGCTGAGAGGCCCTGAGCCATTTCCACCTTCTGAAGCAATTAGTATATTAAGAAATGAAGATATGCCTTGGTCTTCTGGCTAAAGACCAGGGTTTTCATTTTCCTTCTCTGCTGTGCATCTCTTCTGACTGGGTCTATCTTCAGGACCAAAGCAATGTGTGTGTGTGTGTGTGTGTGTGTGTGTGTGTGTGTGAGAGAGAGAGAGAGAGAGAGAGAGAGAGAGAAACACAAATGTGAAAATTATTCCCCCCATGCTTTTAGGATCATGGTTCCTCTGATCAGAGACAAAGGTTCCCCTTTCTCAGAGTTCCAGGTACCTGCCTGGCTGCTACTTCCATTGCCACCACCACTGTCACGAGATTGCACAGGGGCTAAGGAAGGAAAGAATAAACAAACAAACAAACAAAAAACAGAGATTTTCTACACTCTCTCTGACTGTTTGGGGCTCTCTTTCCCATTCCTCAGACCAGAAACATGGATTCTTTTGGAGATGTCTTTGTCTGCATCCTGTGTACAGTTCTGGGTTTCAGGTGGTCTCTGACGCTGGCTGACAGGTACCAGAGGAAAGAAAATGGGAAACTCACCAACAGCTTAGTAGTGTTTTGAATTCTGGTTTCCTTCCCAAATATTCCTGCTCCTTTTTTTTTTTTTCTAGAATCCTCAGTTAGCTTCTCCATGCATTCTGTCCAGGGCTGTTAATTGCATTTCATGAAAGGAAGAGGAGGAGTATCCTTCTCTACTTGACCAGAGCCCAAATAGCAACATCCTGCTTAACTCTGCAAGCACTTTTCACTACCCAAGATTTCCCTGATTGATTAATTTGCCTATTGTTTGTCTCCCTGCCCCTGTCCCTCTCTAGGATGTGGGCTTAAGGAGAGCCAAAACTTTGTTCATGTGGTGAACCACAGCCATGTCCACCATCTTGAATACTGTCTGATACACAAAAGGTACTCAATAAATGTTTTTAAATGATTGAAACAGTCATGAAAACAGTCATAAAGACTTTGGAGACAACTGCTTCTCTCTTTTTTTGATTCCTATTTATTAAACTCTTTTCCCACTAAGAAATTGCTTTATCTATATTTCAGAAACAATTTACTAGTTGCATGAAAAAGAAGAGAGAAGCCAGAAGAAATCCAGAGATACTTGGGGGGAAAGAATAGACAGTTGTATCCATTGGGATTCTTTCAATAACAAAAGTTAGAAAAACCCATTCCAAATGGCTTTAGTGATGAAAGGAACGTATTACTTTAGGAAGTGAGAAGCTAAGAGGTAATAATGGCTTCGGGTGAGACTTCATCCAGTGACTTGAACAATGCCACTCAAGGTGGAGGTGACGTTACCAAGAGAGAAGTATATGGAGGCTGAGCAGCAGAAACACCAGATGTCCACTATAGTAGCCTCCCACTGTAGAAATAGGAGCAGAGCTCTCCCCTTTTCTGCTGCAAGAACACACATGTCCCACTGGCTCTCGCCTGCTAGACACAACTAGATTGCAACTATTATTTCTACAAATCAAGGTCTCTTTAACTCTCAAATGGGGTAGATAGAATGCACACACTGATAGACTCAGGAAGATGCTGTGATTAATGTTCGTAGCCATGAGGCAGAATTGAGTCTGGCTTCTTGTGTCTCTGGAGTTGGGCAAGTACAGAACAGTTGCCCGGAAAGAGGAAGGACTCAATGGGATAATGTCTGGGTCATCCAGAGATTCCTACCTGGAGAAGAGCTCAGAAAGCATGGAGACCTTTTTATTCCCCAAAATGGCCTCTTCGAAAGGACACAGTTCTGCAAAGTTAATCTTTGCTGGCAAAGTCAGATACAAATGAGCAGGTTAAGGTCCAGTCTGTCTTACAGAGTATCAGAAAAGGGCTAAATGACAGGCACACTATCAAAGTCCCAAATGTGAGCTGTATTCCATTAATGAGTTCTGTTTTATATTGCTGCACACAGACCTGCACGCCTCATTCAGTATCAGTCATCACTGAGCAGAACATCCTCGACCTCCATTTTCCTGCCTATGAGACAGTATAACCTATAGACTTTCACTTGCCATTCACTTACTATTTTTCTGAGACAAGGTTTCCCTGTTGCCCAGGCTGGAGTGCAGTGGCATGATCACAGCTCACTGCAGGCTTAACCTCCTGGGCTCAAGTAATCCTCCAACTCAGCCTCCTGAGTAGCTGGAACTACAGACCTGCACCACCATACCCGGCTAATTTTTGTATAGATGGGGTCTCATCATGTTGCCTAGGCTAGTCTCGCATGCCAGGGCTCAAGCACCCTGCCTGCCTTGGCCTCCCAAAGGTGTGAGCAACTGTGCCTGGCCCATTCACTTATCTTTATACCCATCCCTCTTTATCCAAATTGACTTGGTTACTGCATTCAAATATCAGAATTCAGAGAGCAAGTTTGAGTTTTGAGGGATACAGTATTACCAAATCCACGTGTCCTTGAGTTTCAGAGAGTAAATGTGGGAGTTCAAATAGTGAGGGATTCATTTGAAAAGGTATTTGAATCTAACTGGTCCCCAACAACAGACAGTGGGGTTGGGAGAGGGAGAGTGAGGATAGGAAGGAATGCCTGTACACTTACCATTGACTTCATGCCTGCCACGGGGCCACTAACAGCCCCAACCATAGTACTGTTGGAATTAGTTTTTGTGTTTGGCTGATTACTGTCCACCTCATGCATTGTAAGGACAGAGATCTTGCCAGGACTGTTCTCACTGTATCTTCAAAGCTCAGTGCTGTGCCTGGAACATGGCAGGTGCTCAACACTTGTTGAGTAAATGATGAATGGATAATTGTAACACTTAGATGCAAAGTGCCCTAAGTAAGGTTCTTTCTCTGCCTCTTTGTTTTGAGGAAACAGATCACAGCAGCTAGGTGACAGCTGTCTTTGATCACCTCCACACCCCAAGAAAGCCTCCCAACTTAGAATGCTTCACGCAAGAGGAAGCTGAGGCAGTTCACAGCAAAGGATATCCTATAATGCTGTAAATTGACAAAGCCCTCAACTGGCAGAGGACACTGCTGGCTTCCTCTGTTAAACTGATAGTTTCCCAACTGCTACTGGGTTGGCAAGTCAAACTTGCTCCATTTGTACACAGGGTTATGTATGTCAACTGGTTTTATGTGAGTTGCTCTGGCCTTGCGCATTAGATCACAAACACTGAAGACAGAGACTATACCTGCTCTTTAATATCTGCCTCTGCCCCTAGACTTTCATTCCAAGCACCCAGGCAAGCGAGTTGCAACATTTTTCACCTCTGCAGACCTGATGGATATGACACTCAACCAATTAAGAGGTTGGGAGGGTGGGGAGGAGTGAGCCATGTAGTTCACAGTTCAGACTCCCCGCCCTGGCCGCCCTCCCATGGTTCGGGTGTGGTGAGTCCCCCTGGCCTTGGAGGTAGGCACCACACGTGTGGTCACTCGGCAAAGACCTGCTGTTCACCCTGCTGCTGCCCGCCCCCCACCACCATGACTCTTACAATTAATTCAGTGAGTTGCTAAAGTCACACTCCTTGAGACAGACCCACGAGGACTCATTTCCAGGATGTTTTTGGCTCCTTGACAACCTTTTCCGTTGTGGAAGCCAGTAAGTGGCATTTAAAGTCACAGAGATTTTGTTGTTTGAAAAAAAAAAAAAGATTCCACTGATTGAAGAGAAGGTGGAGTCTCTTAATAGCAGAAATGCCCACACCCCTGGGTCTCTCCCTTCCGTTATGTACCTCACTTTCTGGCCTAAGCTTCACTTAAGCTTTTTCTCTGGTGTCCCTATGATTTCCTAATGTGTCAGAAACTATGAAGTTGTCCATATTTGTCAGCTCATGACACATTCTCAAATGAACGTGGAAGACAGTCTTGGAAAATGCATTCTAATAAAAAGCCTTCTCTTCCTTCATGTTGTACATGCACTGAAAGAAATTCACTAGCATTTTCTTTCACTCAAAATGCCCCACCCCTGGCTTAACGCTAAGAATAAGCCAAATGCTTAAAAAAAATAAATAAAAAGATGGCCAAGCATGGTGGCTCTGAAATCCTAGCACTTTGGGAGACTGAGGCAGGAGAATTGCTTGAGTCCAAGAGTTCGAGACCACCCTGGGCAACATAGTGAGACCCTGTTTCTACAATAAAAAACACAAAAATTAGCCAAGCATGATGGCACGTGTGTGTGCTCTCAGCTACTCAGGAGGCTGAGGTAGGAGATCACCTAAGCCCGCGGAAGTTGAGGCTGTAGTGAACTGTGACTGCACCACTGCACTACAGCCTAGGTGACAGAAATAAATAAATAAATAAAAATAAATAAATAATAATAAATAATAAATGCCTCAAAAATAAATAAATAAAAATAAAAAGGTGGAGCTTAGAAATTATAAATCAATAATAAATAAATAAATGCCCAAAAAATAAATAAAAATAAAAAATAAAAAGGTGGAGCTTAGAAATTAAAAGTCATTTCTACAGAGAAATGACTTTCACAGTGAGGAGTGATATGGGCTCATGTTCTTTCAAAAACAGGACTGCAGGGGACTAAGAGTAAGAGGAGGCAACTCAGTAACAGAGTAGCAAAAAGTCTCTGTGCACACTTACCACCTCCATTTGAAAGGCAAAGCCCTCTCCCTGGGAGCAGGAGCTGGGGAGGGCCGCGGTGCTAGAGAAGTGGGGGCACCACTTTGTAAGTGTGCCCAGGCAGCTGATGGGCAAAAGGAAGGTGTTTGCCACACTCAGCCTTGTATTGTGTGGTTGAGGGCAGAAGGGCACGCACAGGGAGAGATCTCCTGAAATGAGTTCCTGGAGAATGAAATCTCTTTTCCAAGGCCCAGTTCTCACTTGTCACATTTGTGGCTGGGAACACTTTCTTTCTTTTTTTTTTTTTTTTTTTTTTTTTGAGATGGAGTTTCACTCTTGTTGCCTAGGCTGGAGTGCAATGGCACGATCTTGGCTCACTGCAACCTCCACCTCCCAGGTTCAAACAATTCTTCTACCTCAGCCTCCCAAGTAGCTGGGATTACAGGCACGCACTACCACGCCCAGCTAATTTTGTGTTTTTAGTACAGATAGTGTTGGCCAGGCTGGTCTCAAACTCCTGACCTCAGGTGATCCACCCACCTCGGCCTCCCAAAGTGTTGGGATTACAGGCGTGAGCCACCGCGCCTGGCCTGGAAACACCTTCATACCATGTTAATTTCTGAGACTGGGGCTCAAGTTAAATTTAGGTTAAGGGTTTAGGATAAGTTAGCTAAGATAGCCCAGAACTTTCATAATATGACAGATCTCTAAAAATAAATGGCTCTTTTAAGGCAGCATGCCATCAAAAAAAAGTACCTCTAATGGGATTCTAATTATTTAGGTTAAACTTTTCCTCATATTTTATTTTCACATGGAATCCTAAAAGGTTCGCCCCGATAAGGCAGAACATCTTAGGTTGTAGAAAATTATACATGGTATCTTTACTGGGAATATTAGCTGTGCCACTTATTAGCTGTGACCTTAGGCAAATTACTTCACTTATCTGGCCTGTTTCTTCGGCGGTAATAAAAAACAACAGTACCTATCTCCTACAGTAGGTGTGAGGATTAACTGGGCTAATGAGAAATGCTCAGACACACAGTAGGTGCTCAATTAACGCAGGCTGCTACTGTTTATCACTAAAAGGAAAGGCTTGGGACATTATTTTACCAGCAGTCACAGGTTTATCTGAGATGCAACAAGGCCTGAAAGGGTGAGTCGACTCCACTCTCCAGTGCCTGAAAGTTTCTTTTTGTGCTTTTGACAGAGCACTTATTTTCTTGATTTGAAAAGGCAAAAGCGACTCTGTTTTTGTACTTAATTAGGGGTAAATCACATTCAAGTATCAGACTGAATTAAGTGATACAACTTTCTCAAATGGATCACTTTAACTTCCTCTTCATTGAACAAGATAAATTTTATTAACACTCATAAATTTAAATATTTTGGATACTAGACCTTTATCAGTTAGATGATTTGCAAATATGTTTTCCCATTCTGTAGGTTGTTTTTTTCACTTTCTTGAATAATCATAAATTTAGTTTTTGACAAAATCTTGCTTTTATAGAAATCTATACCATTAACTTAAGTAGCTGTTTTTGAAAAAATAAATACTGTTTAAATTTAGATATAACAGTATTCCTTATAAAAATTTATTTTATGGTTTTAAAAAATATTTAAATTATTGTATAAACATTTCTTTAAAAATATGGTCTGTAGAAAGAAAAGAGTAAAACCTAAGTTGTAAAGTGACAGTGATTTTTGGTTCCATCATTTTATTCACGTAATCGTGGAGGATCCATCTGATTCCGTGGGAAGCTGAGGGCTAGAGGCTGCCACTGTCACACTGCATTCTTTCTCATTTCACCCAAGAAGTCATAGGTCTGCTCTGAAAGGTCAAAAGGTTCATGAACTCCGTCTGGTGACAGCAGAGCTTGGAGGGCGCCCTGGTTTTCTTGGTTTTGCTTAAGGAAGTCAGTGATAACTTTCCACCGTGCAGTCTCAGTCTCTTCTTCTGCCCACCTGAATGGGGGTAGGCGTGTGGAGTGGAGAAGTGGGAGCACGCAGTCATGGTAAACCAGGAGAAACGTGGACTTCAGGAACTCTTTGTCTCTCTGGGAAAACACCACCCCCACAAATAACATTGTTATTTTTAAAGTGTTAAATTCTGTGAACTCTATTAACTAAAAGCCACCTAAGAGGTAGGATGGAGGGTGCCATTAGTGCCTGGCAGGTATCGGCTCTGAGCCAGCTGCTCAGGCAGGACATGGCACTTCAGAAGTGGAAGTGAGCAGAGTTACACAGAGTACAGTGGAGCAGTTCTCCCTGAGAGCCTCTACGTGGCTCCATGAGACCAGGGTGTCTCCTAAGCTCCATGGAGGGTGTCTCACACATTCTGTCAAGGTATTGCAGTCTAATTTTGGTGACACCAGTGTGGTTAGGGGTAAATATAACTAAAACAATGCCAAGTCAGCTGAACCTACTTACTGACAGCATATCAGAGGTAACTGTCATGTTATCTAAGATAATTGTAGCAGGTGTTCTGCATAGGATCCAGAGTTGTTGGCTTATTTCCAGCAATGCCTGGGATGGAGGTCGAGGGGTCCTTTGGTGATGAGGATGTCAGACCCTTCACAGATAAGAATGGTGCAGCATCAGCTGTACCCATGTCAAGCCCCGATGCCCACAGGCCATGGTGGGAATCTCAGAGAGCACAGCAAGTTGAGGGCAGAGCTGTCCACAGGCAGCAGAGTCTACACAGAGATATCACCCATCCCACCACACATGTCCACATAAGGGCAATGTCTACAGGCCCAAGGCTGCTGTACTAGAATAGCACTAAGCCTGGCAGTTTTGGCAAAGTCACATGTATGTAGATGGTACTGATCAAATGGAGGCTGAAATAAGGATACAATGTATAAATTGTTTCCTAATTTTTAGGGTTTTCAGCTCATTTGTTACTTCATTTTCCTTGTAGATAATGAATACTTTAGATCAGGACTGGTAAAGTATGGACTGTGGGCCAAATGTGGACTCTCACCTCTTTTCATAAATAAAGTTTTATAGGAAAACAGTCACATTTGGTCATTTACATATTGTCTGTGGCTGCTTTTGTGTTACAACACCAGAGCTGAGTAGTGTGACAGAGACCACAAGACCTGAAAAGCCAAGAAGATTTTCCATCTATAGCCCTTCCCATTTGCCAAATCCTGGATGAGAGCAGTCAAACCACGACTCACCGATTAAAGCAAGTTCGGATTGGTAATTACCATGATTTTATAGCAAGGTAAGCAGGAGCAATGCATTGTTTTCAATATATGGTACAGCTCAGGCCATTTTTTTTTCCCTTCTCTTGGTGATACAGGCTTTGAGAGCTAGAGAAGTTTTTTAAAAATAAAAGAAATTTGATACACAACTGAGAGACTTTGGCTTAGAAACTTCCCCTTTATTTAAATAAAACTCAGTAATCTGAAATGGCTGTCTTGAACAAGTATTCCTTCTCACATTAGCTAACGATCATGCGTAACCCTCTTGGAATGTGTTTTTGCAGCCATAATGAAACAGTTTCCCTGGTTAAGAGGGATTATGACTATGGCTACTTTTGCTAAAAAAGAGACATGATTAGAATAGGCAAGCAAACACCAGGTACTGCAAATATGGAGTTCAGTGTGGAGACTCATATTTTACCTTCTCTGATCTTTTTAATGTGCTTTCTTTTCCAGCCCACGAACTCTAAAGAGCAAACAGAAATATTATGTTAGTCCAAGTAGTAACAAGTCCTTGCAACACTTATGCAAATTTACTCTGTAAATAAACTTATGGACAGGGTTAAAAATGCTGTACAGATTCTATACAAGCAAGAAGTGAATCTGTAATTAGGAATCTATTGCAAATGACCCAGCACCAGAATGACCAGGCAGATGTATCTGTGAAAAATGCCGTAGAAGCCCATGATAATTATAAATCAAAACTAACTTAAGAATAGAATCAGCGAAACACTAACACATCCATGAAAACTATACAACCACAGCACCTGAATAATAAAATAGTATTAAGCTTTCCAAGTAAGACAGTAATGAAAATAGAAAACACTGCCAAATACCAAACTTTTCTACAATTCTCTCTGTCATGATGATGACAATGGTCAGAATGAGACAGACTGAAGTACAATTTTGTGAGTAAATATTTCTAATCTGTCCACAGGGCTTCACAGAAATTTCCTCAAATAAATAAAAACCCCAGAGTTCAATTAGTCCCACAGAAGTATGAATTTAAGACTTTCACTGTGCCATTTCCTGGCAAACTGAATGCGTGGGTGGAATATGACCAGTCTCACGGCTGCCTGTTCCAGGGTCTGGGTTCTGTGCATGTCAGTAGATATCCTCCTGTTGGCACCTGATATCATGAGTAACCTGAAAGCATCAGACCTTTCTCAGCAGGGAGGCCCTGGGATGAACATAACATATGGCACCAATAAAGAGATTCTCCATAAAATAAATGATGCATTGATAGAGCGTTTCTCAGCAGGAGATAACAGACTATGCCACTCATGAGAACATTTTGGAATGTTCATACCTATTACCACGTGAGGGGACTATGGTCCTCCACCCTATTAACTGCTGTGCTATGGGTCCTTAGGAGTTTGAAGAGGACCCTTACAGAACCAGAGTGTTTTACTAAACAGGCCAAGTGCCATTCTTCTTATTATTAAAATGTCATCCACAAACTGAACTGTGCTAGGTAAGTAAACTCTAGGAGGCTCACATGCTGTACATTTTAAATTTTATTCAGTTGGTGCAAAAGTAATTGTGGTTTTTGCTACTACTTTTATGGCAAAAACCACAGTTCTCTTGCACCAACCTAATAATATGGTTTAACGTGAGTATCACTTAGCAAATGTAGACTTAGTGTCTGGTAAAATTTGTCTATTTTTGTTAGTTACATGTCAATGTCCCACCTTATTTTTCATTCAGCCACCAGCAAATAGTAGGATGTTTCACTTAGAGTAACTCATTTGGGAATAGCAAACGTGTTAAAGGTCACTATTACCTCACCAAGATCCACTTCCTTTCTTCTGGAACAAAAAGAAGACTATACCTCCTTTGAAGTTAAATGGACCGTGTGACTGGTTTTGGCCAATGCAATGTGAGCAGAAGTGGCCCAGGCCCCTTTGAAGCAAAGGCAGTGAAAGCCCAAGAACAATTCTCCATTCTCCCTCTTCTGCAGGGAAACTGGCAACAGAGGCAGCTACTTGTTCCAGATGGTGCTGTGAGACAGTAGAGGCTCCACCAGCCTGTACCCTTGGGTGACTGTGGAGCAGCATCTTCCACTGATCCATGCTGGATACATACCATGGGTAAGAAATAAACCTGTGCTAACCACCACAGCACAGCCAAGCTTCTCCTAAGTAATACACTATGCCACGGAGAGAAGAAGGCTCATGGGTGTAGAAACAACCACCACTTTCTTTTTTAAAATTATCATAACACAAATAATTCAATGTGAAAAAATTAAGAAAATGTAGATAAAATAATCCAAGATCCAGAGATATTCACCAATACCTCTCTGGAATATATTCTTCCAGATCTTTTCACAGGCAGGTATATAAATGTATATATATTTATACTTATTATGGCTCAAATGGGGTCTTTTTGCTAAATAACATATGTGCACAACTTTACCCTCATGCTTTCAAGCAGCCCGTGGCACATTCTGGGTGCACCCAGAGCTGACCCGCAGGGACAGCCCCGGCTGGGTCATGGCTGAGCTCCATGGCCGGCCAAGTCACTGCACATCTCCAAGCTGTCTGCTCATCAGGGAAATGCAGATTTTAGACTAGATTAGGGATCCTAAGTTTCCTCCTAAGAACAAGGTGCAGATTCCTGTTACACACCTAGGGAAATATTCCTGTGGCCAGCACAGTGCCTTATATTAATACATAGTAGGCTCTTGTGAAATCTTTGTTGAAGAATCAGTGTATATATGTTCTGTGTAATGAATAATTATTATGATACTAGTGACTTTATAGGAGAAGAAAGAGAAATTCTGCATTATCTAGCTATAGTGCCAGACGAACTTATCTAAAATTACAGGAGATCATATGTACCATGAACATTTTCTTAAACATCTCTGTTGAAAATGTCATTATTACTATTGACACCCCCCAACCCAGCCAAGCTAGCATATGAATTGGTTTCAAAGTCTAATAAGAATCTTTGTAGATGACTGAGTCCTCCTTCTGTTTCTGCTGTCAGGTGCATATGGCCTAGTTTTTATCAGCAGGAGTCACCCCCTAATATGCTCACCTCCCTCCTGCACATGTTCTGCCTCTTTGCACTTGGCAGAGTTTGCCTAAAGAAGAAACCTTCCTGGGTTACCCACCACCTACCACCGCCCTCAGCCCCACACCGAGACTCAGGCTTACCTTGCCCATCTACCAACCACTCCCTTACTTGCATCTGACATGCCAAGCTGGACTGTCAGCTCTATTCCTTCCTGCCTCAAACGTCTGCTCATGCTAAGCCTTCTACCTGCAACGTCTTCACCCCCATCTCAGCAGGTCAAAATCCTCTTGGCCCTGGCCTTTATTAGGCTCTCTCATGCAGGACCTCTCTAGTGAAACAGAATTTGGATCCTTCTTTGCTGCCTTCTTTAAATCTTCAAGGTCCTGGGTTATACCTCCCCCATGGCACTTGTGATGTTACCTGTGTATCTGCCTTGCATGCATGCAGCTCTTCTACTTATTGACCCTGATGTATTAGGCTAAACCATATGAAACTGCCACTTAGGCCAAAAATGGCTGAAAATTGGAGATTTCATACGATTTAACATAACACTCAACAGTTATTTCAGACAGCAAACAGCACACATGGAATTAAAGATGATGTGCATGCCCTGATTCTCCCCTGCAAATTCAATTGATTTATCTTACAGACCATTTTGGATTTTTGCTCTTAGGACACAATCAGTGGCCATCCTAAGTCAAGGAAAAAATGGGCAAAGATTGCAATAGTGTACATAGCAGGCACTCCACCTGCTCCCTGGGTCAGGGAAGGCAGCCCTTGGGAATTTATGCTAAGATGGGAAAGATGAGGACTGAGTTACCTAGACAATGGATAGGGATTGGGAGACATCATCCTAGTAACAAAAAAAAAGGCCTAGACAGAACTCATTAACACAGAGTGTATAACTGCTTCCATAAGCCAGCAGGTTTCCATTGCAATGCATGCTACCCACCCTGAGAGCATCCATCACATCAGGCTGCTCCAAGAGCATGGGGAAGGTGGCCAGCATGGGATGGCTAATTAAATCTGAAATGCAAAACAACAGAAAGAATTTTATGCAAACTTCACTCAATGGATTTTATTGCAATAGACACAAAAATATTCAGATGAAAATTATTGTGCCAAATGATTTGTTGATAACACATTCTACACACTTTGACTTCTAGGAGAGCTCAAAGCTGTCCCTTCAACCTTCATTTGCCCCTATACCCATATCCTGGTGAGTTCCTGTACCAAATTAATGGAGCTTTTAGAGTAAGGGCAAGGAGGCTCTGAACAGAATAAGACTAGAAAATTTTGTTCTGTGTTTTTCTTCAACTTCTCTTTCTTCCTTATGGCTGTGGCATGGTAAAAGGAATCTTCCCCTTAGAGGTAGCCCTGCTCTTGGGAGACTGAGCAGAAACTAGGAAGCATTGGGGGGAAAGGAGACAGAGGACCTGCTGCTCAGGTCTGATTCCAGGCCACCAGCGCTCAGGGAAGGACCCAAACTTGTGTCTGGAGCCAGCAGACAGTGGTAGGTGAAACTGGAAGAATTAGGAATTGAGGATTCTGGCCATATGACCAAACACAGTGAGGGAGAATATTGACATTTCACAATAGATAACAGCACATGAAAAATCTGTGCAAAGAAGCACATCAGGAAAGACATGTCTTAGTCTGTTTGCGCTGCTGTAGTGGAATACCTGAGACTGGGTAACATAAACAAAATAAAATTATTTCTCCAAGTTCTGGAGGCTGGGAAATCCAAGATCAAGGTAATGGCATTTGGTGTCTGGTAAGGGCCTTCTTACAACATCCTCCAGAGGGGAGGAACACTGTGCCATCACGTGGCTGAAGGCAAAAGGGTGAGACGAATTCCCTTGTCAAGCCCTTCTGTAAGGGTCTCTAATCCCATTCATAAGGCAACAGCCCTCATGGCCTAATCGCCACTCAAAGGCCCCACTTTTCAATACCATTACATTGGTAACATGAATTTTAGATGGGACACACTGAAACCATAGCAGACACTTTTGAAATGGCAAGGGCAAGGTATTCTATAATCTGGTGTCCTCAGTAGAGAAAAATTCATTCTTTAGATATTATTAGGATATTTTATTCTAATGATTAAATTCAAATGAAGTCAACAATTCTGAGTAAACTTCTTACCTATTGGGAAAACTAACAAGCCTTATCCTCTTTAAGAGGTCACATCATTCATGAAGTTTCTCAAGAGTCATGAAAATGAATTCAAAGGCAATGGTGATTAAAAGGCTTACCCGTCCTCCCCCTTAGAGTTATAATGATTCCTTGAGAACTTTCTGCGCTTCTCTGCCTTTGAGTTCCACTTCTACCTATCTATCCAGGTGATAAGTCCCTGGGAGAGGACTCCTGCCTATGAATGTTATTTGTCCACAAGTGCTAAGCCTCTCACTCACTCTGCTCCATCCATACTGGCCTGCCTCAATTTCAAGCCCTCCAACACATGCATGTCTTCTTTCCTTGGGTCTTCAGACATGCTGGCCCCTCTACCCAGAAAGAATCCTTCCCCACACACTTCCCTCATAGGTCTAATTCCTCTCTCACATCTTTTGTTAAATATTACTCACTCAAAGAAGCCTTTCCTTACCCTACACATTAATCAAGTCTTCCCAGTGCATGTTCTCGTTGTGTATTTTCCTTCACAGCACTTATTTCAAAAGGGTGGAGAGGATTATTCATGAAATTATGTGTTTGAGGCCTGGGACGCCTATGCCTGTCTCATTCATCACTGGGCCTAGCATAATATCTGGCACATACCAGGTACTCAGTACATATCTGGTTACTGATTTATTGAACTGAAAGAAGAGCCAATACAATTAAACTGCTTTTCTTTTTGAAGGCAATTACTATAACACATGCATTTATCTTTGCAGGTTCAATCATGTATGGTGACTCATTGATTTTTAAACTTATTTTTTAACATTTTACTTGGTAAAAATTTCAAACGTACAAAAAAGTTGCAAGAATAAAGACAGTACATAGGACACCCAAATACTCCATATCTGGATTCACCAATTTAAACTAATCCATTTGATACTTATACTTCATGCACTAAGAACCAGCTATTTTGGTTGATTTTGGTTTCTCTTCAAAATGATTATGTGCATACCAAACACATGGGAAAAAACAGATTACTCAGAGACATTAAGGGAAAATATGACTATATCTGACTCTTGGGATCTCAAAACTCTAGAATTTGAAATGTGAAAATACATATGTTTGAAAGAACTGAATATGTGTCGAGTTCACAAAGCTCAATGCTTTGGATCTGAAGATGTCCCATAAGTAATGTATTAACATCAATGCTGTTCTAAATATTTTATTCCAAAAGTCACAACCAGAAACAGAAGATACAAGATGGTATAGGTTACCTTTACTCAGAGTATGAAGCATTACTGCACATAAGGAAGTGGCAAAGCCCACTTACCAGTACTTTGCAAGCTCATCCTGTCTTTCAGGAGCACATCTCCAAGAATTTGTCGATAAAATATCAACAAGTGAATAGAACACATATTTCCAATTAATGTTTCTGGCAGTAGACTATTAAAGAAGAAAAAAATGTATTCATTAGACAATCCCCTACAATCCAACTTATAATGTTTTGATGTATATTACTTTAATAAACAGTCCCAAATTTTGCTTCATTACTGGAACACATTTTTAACTATTTAAAGAAAAATTTCTACTACAAGTAGGCCACATTAAATTTCAGATAACTTTTTATATTTGTTTACACTTTCGAGTCTCAACCCTGTGTTGCCATTTTTGTGCTTCCATGTTAGCATATATACCTATGTTAAATGTCAAATAAAAACGGGAAGCCACTAATTATGTTTTGGAAAGAAGGGGACTAGTCAGCTACAAGCTTTAACAAAGGCATGTGGCTGCCATGCCTGATTTGGTGAATGCAGAAGAAATAATTCAGGCTGTTCACAGTACTGGGTGGAACATGGGAGGGTGTGACAGACCTGGAATAAGTCCTGACTTTGTCACTTCTTAGCTATGTGACTTTAAATTAATTAATTCATCTCCTTGTGCTTTGGTTTCCTCATTTATTGGATACCAATAGTAATACTTGCATTTCAGAAGGTTACTAAAAGGATTAAAATGAAGTAAGTGTGGGCTGGGCATGGTGGCTCACACCTGTAATCCTAACACTTTGGGAGGCCGAGACAGGTGAATCACTTGAGGTCAGGAGTTTGAGACCAGCCTGGCCAACATGGTGAAACCATATCTCTGCTGAAAATACAAAAATTAGCCAGGTTTGGTGGCGGGCACCTGTAATCCCAGCTACTCAGAGGCCAAGGCAGAAGAATCCCTTGAGCCTGGGCGGTGGATGTTGCCATGAGCCAAGATTGTGCCACTGCACTCCAACCTGGGTGACACAGCAAGACTCTGTCTCAAAACAAAACAACAACAACAAATGAAATAAGTATGGAGTGCTTAATGTAGTGTCTGGTATACAGTAAGGGCTAAAAAATAGAAAATAATTCAACATCGAAGTTAAATTGGTATCAGTTTAAGATAGACTGCTATAACCTAAGGATGTTGTATGCAATACCAAGTTAAGTTGGTATTAGTTTAAAATAGATTGTTATAACTTTAGGATGTTATATGTAATACCATGGTAACCACAAAGAAAATAACTATAGAATATTTTCAAATGGAAAGTAAAAGGGAATCAAAATTTGTCACTATGAAAAATCAAACACAAAGAAAATCAGTGAGGGAGGAAATTAAGAACAAAAAAAGCTATAAGATAAGCAGCAAATGAGTAATAAAATGGCAAAAGTAAGTCCTTCTCTATTAGTAATCACTTTAAATGTAAATAAATTAGACTCCTCAATCAAAAGATACAGATTGGCAGGATGCACTAAAAAAACACGATTTAATTATATGTTATCTATAAGAGACTCACGGTAGACTTAGGACACTCATGGGTAGAAAGTGAAAGAACAGAAAAAAAATTTCATGCAAATAGCAACTAAAAGAGAACATGTTTAGCCATATTAATATCAGACAAAATAGACTTCAAGCCCCCCAAAAGTTACAAGAGACAAAGGATATTGTACAATCATAAAACAGTCAATTCAGAATATATAACAATTATAAACATATATGCACCAAACATCAGTGCTCCTAAATATATGAAGCAAACACTGACAGAATTGAAGGGAGCAATACATAGATCTATAATAATAGAGAAGATTTCAATATCCTACTTTCGATAAGGTATAGAACAATGAAACAGAAGATCAATAACACTGTAGACTAATTGGATCTAGCTGACATTTACAAAACACTCTACCCGGCAACAGCAGAATACACATTTTTCTCAAGTGCACATGACATATTCTCCAGGAAAGACCATATGTTGAGTCACAAAGTAAGTCTTAATAAATTTAAAAATATTGAAATCATACAAAATATCTTTTTTCAATCATAATGAAATGAAACTAGAAATCAAAAGCAGAAGGAAAACTGGAAAACACATAAATATGTGGAAATTAAACAACATACTTAAACAACAATGGCTCAAAGAAGAAATCTCAAGAGAAACTAGAAAATATCTTGAGAAATGAAATGAAAACACAACATACCAAAATTTACAAGATACAGTGAAAACAGTCCTAAGAGGGAAATTTATAGCTATAAATACTTAACATTAAAAAAGAAGGAAGAGCTCAAGTCAACAACCTAACTTTATGCCCTAAGGAACTAGAAGAACAAAACTAGCAGAAGGAAGAAATAATAAAGATTAGGTCAGATATAGACAAAATAAAGAATAGAAAAACAATAGAGAAAATCAATGAAAGCAAGACTCTGTTCTTTGAAAAGATGAACAAAATTGACAAACCTTTAGTGAGAATGACTAAGGAACACTCAACTAAAATCAGAAATGAAAGAGGGGATATTACTATTGATTTTACAGAAATAAAAAATGTGTAAGAGAGTACTATAAATAGTTGTATGCCAACAAGTTGGATGACCTAAATGAAACAGGCACATTTCTAGAAATACACAACCTACTAAGGCTGAATCACAAAGAAATAGAAAATCTCAATAACAAGTAAGGAGATTGAATCAGTAATTTAAAAAATCTCCTGATAAAGAAAAGCCCAGCATCAGATGGCTTCACTGGAGAATTCTACCAAACCTTTAAAGAAGAATTAACACCAATTTTCCTCAAACTTTTCCAAAAAATGAAGAGGAAAAAACACTATCAAACTCATTATGAGGTCAGAATTACCCTAGTAAAAAAGCCAACAATACTACAAGAAAAAAAAAAAAAAACTACAGGCCAATATTCCTGAATATTGATGCAAAATCCTCAACAAAATACTAGCAAAGTGAATTCAACAGCACATTAAAAAGCTTGTACACCATGACCAAGTCAAATTTATTAATGAAATTCAAGGATGGCTCAACATCCAAAAATCAATCAACATAATGTGCTACATTAACAGAATTAAGGGGAAAAACCCACATTATTTTCTCAATTGATGCTGAGAAAGCCTAAAATTTGACACCCTTTCATGATAAAAACACTCAACAAACTAGGAATAGAAAGAAACTACTGCAACATAATAAAGGCCATATATGAAAAGCCCACAGCTAACATCATACTCAGTGGTGAAACACTGAAAGCTTTTCCTCTAAGATAAGGAACAAGACAAGGATCCTGCTCCTGCCACTTTTACTCAACACAATAATGGAAATATTTTTCTAAAAAAAGAAAAGTGTCTTTGTTTGCAGACAAAATGATGTAGAAATATGTAGAATATATGTAGAAAACCCTAAATACTCCATGAAAAATACCTTCAGAATAAATGACTAGCAAAGTTGCAGAATACAAAATCAACACGTAAAAATCGTACTTTATACACTAACAATGCACAATTTGAGAAGGAAACCAACAAAACAATTTACAATAGCATCAAAAAATAGTCAGAAATTTAAAAATATAAAAAATTTCAATATTTAGATTTCAAAATAATAATCTGGAAACATGAAAAGTGAGTTCTTCCATCTTGGCTAACACGGTGAAACCCCGTTTCTACTAAAAATACAAAAAATTAGCTGGGCGTGTTGGCAGGCGCCTGTAGTCCCAGCTACTTGGGAGGCTGAGGCAGGAGAATGGCGTGAACCCGGGAGGCGGAGCTTGCAGTGAGCCGAGATTGCGCCACCGCACTCCAACCTGGGAGACACAGCGAGACCCCGTCTCAAAAAAAAAAAAAAAAAAAAAAAAAAAAGTGAGTTCTTTAAGACCCTCACACATGATGTATAGTAAATACTGGGAATGTATCATGCACAAGATTTAACCTTTGAAAGTACTCAAGAAAATATCTTAGATCATTCTAATATATATTTCTAATACTATTTTTAGAAATATATAAACTCTGTCATTAAGCATGAGGAAGGACCATATAGAAAATCTCAAAAACCTTACAAATGATATGTTGTCTTCTATCAAAAGGAAGATGTCTTTGGGCTGAGAAAAATCACCAAAGATTTAAAAAGAGATCTTACTTTTTGTAAATTAATCCTTTATCTTAATTCCTAAGATTAGATTTTTAGAAGGGAAAATTATCACAGAGGTAATATTCAGGCTTCCAGCCTGTTGGAAGAGAACAGGATGAATGTGACCACTGTGATGAGGTGACAGCAATGGATTCCACGAGTAATTAAGCTTCATGGAATGCATCAAAAAGCTTATCCACCATGATCAAGTGGGCTTCATCCCTGGGATGCAAGACTGGTTCAACATATGCAAATCAATAAATGTAATCCAGCATATAAACAGAACCAATGACAAAAACCACATGATTATCTCAATAGATGCAGAAAAGGCCTTTGACAAAATTCAACATCCCTTCATGCTAAAAACTCTCAATAAATTAGGTATTGATGGGACGTATCTCAAAATAATAAGAGCTATCTATGACAAACGCACAGCCAATATCATAATGAATGGACAAAAACTGGAAGCATTCCCTTTGAAAACTGGCACAAGACAGGGATGTCCTCTCTCACCACTCCTATTCAACATAGTGTTGGAAGTTCCGACCAGGGCAATCAGGCAGGAGAAGGAAATAAAGGGTATTCAATTAGGAAAAGAGGAAGTCAAATTGTCCCTGTTTGCAGATGACATGATTGTATATCTAGAAAACCCCATTGTCTCAGCCCAAAATCTCCTTAAGCTGATAGGCAACTTCAGCAAAGTCTTAGGGTACAAAATCCACGTGCAAAAATCACAAGCATTCTTATACACCAATAACAGACAAACAGAGAGCCAAATCATGAGTGAACTCCCATTCACAATTGCTACAAAGAGAATAAAATACCTAGGAATCCAACTTACAAGGGATGTGAAGGACCTCTTCAAGGAGAAATACAAACCACTGCTCAATGAAATAAAAGAGGATACAAACAAATGGAAGAACATTCCATGCTCATGGACAGGAAGAATCAATATTGTGAAAATGGCTATACCGCCCAAGGTAATTTATAGATTCAATGCCATCCCCATCAAGCTACCAATGACTTTCTTCACAGAATTAGAAAAAACTACTTTAAAGTTCACATGGAACCAAAAAAGAGCCCGCATTGCCAAGTCAATCCTAAGCCAAAAGAACAAAGCTGGAGGCATCACGCTACCTGACTTCAAACTATACTACAAGGCTACAGTAACCAAAACAGCACAGTACTGGTACCAAAACAGAGATATAGACCTATGGAACAGAACAGAGCCCTCAGAAATAATGCCGCATATCTACAACCATCTGATCTTTGACAAACCTGACAAAAACAAGCAATGGGGAAAGGATTCCCTATTTAATAAATGGTGCTGGGAAAACTGGCTAGCCATATGTAGAAAGCTGAAACTGGATCCCTTCCTTACACCTTATACAAAAATTAATTCAAGATGGATTAAAGACTTAAATGTTAGACCTAAAACCATAAAAACCCTAGAAGAAAACCTAGGCAATCTCATTCAGGACATAGGCATGGGCAAGGACTTCATGTCTAAAACACCAAAAGCAATGGCAACCAAAGCCAAAATTAACAAATGGGATCTAATTAAACTAAAGAGCTCCTGCACAGCAAAAGAAACTACCATCAGAGTGAACAGGCAACCTACAGAATGGGAGAAAATTGTTGCAATCTACTCATCTGACAAAGGGCTAATATACAGAATCTACAGTGAACTCAGACAAATTTACAAGAAAAAAACAAACAACCCCATCAAAAAGTGGGCGAAGGATATGAACAGACACTTCTCAAAAGAAGACATTTATGCAGCCAAAAAACACATGAAAAAATGCTCATGATCACTGGCCATCAGAGAAATGCAAATCAAAACCACAATGAGATACCATCTCACACCAGGTAGAACAGTCATCATTAAAAAGTCAGGAAACAACAGGTGCTGGAGAGGATGTGGAGAAATAGGAACACTTTTACACTGTTGGTGGGACTGTAAACTAGTTCAACCATTGTGGAAGTCAGTGTGGTGATTCCTCAGGGATCTAGAACTAGAAATACCATTTGACCCAGCCATCCCATTACTGGGTATATACCCAAAGGATTATAAATCATGCTGCTATAAAGACACATGCACACGTATGTTTATTGCGGCACTATTCACAATAGCAAAGACTTGGAACCAACCCAAATGTCCAACAATGATAGACTGGATTAAGAAAATGTGGCACATATACACCATGGAATACTATGCAGCCATAAAAAATGATGAGTTCATGTCCTTTGTAGGGACATGGATGAAGCTGGAAACCATCATTCTCAGCAAACTATCGCAAGACAAAAAACCAAACACCGCATGTTCTCACTTATAGGTGGGAATTGAACAATGAGAACACACGGACACAGGAAGGGGAACATCATACACCGGGGCCTGTTGTGGGGTGGGGTGGGGGAGGGATAGCATTAGGAGATATACCTAATGTTAAATGATGAGTTAATGGGTGCAGCACACCAACATGGCACATGTATACATATGTAACTAACCTGCACGTTCTGCACATGTACCCTAAAACTTATAATAAAAAAAAAAGTTTCATGGAATTAAAGAAGTATCCTTGACCACTCTTTAAATCCTGAATTTCTAGAAACATCTAAAAATATAATACAGGTTCTCTTAGCACAGTTATCTTGATATACAGCATGTGATACATAAGGTCAGAAACTGTCTTTTTTAAACTGTCTTTTTTCAACCTGGCTAAATTCTGATCTTGTATACATTTGACCTACATTTTAAAGACGGGATGCAGGGGACCATTTCAGCTGCCTCAGTGTCACCACATGCTTTCTCAGGGATCAGGCTCTGATTCTGGGTTGTTCTGGGACCATGGACATGTTCATGAGCAAGGGGCAGAACGACCTGAGCATGAACAACATGCTCATGTTCTGCCCTTTGGTCCACGGTCCCATTGCACAGTGTTTCAGCTGCATGCCCAAACTCAGGGCTCATGATGAAGAACAGCCAAGGTTTTGCCAGGGAAAGGGGTGGGAACTTCCTTCCTTCTGCTTGGCCCTCTCCTTTTCTCGTAGACCTGCCTGCTTTGCCTGGCAGGCATTGGTCCACCCAGTGTGGGCACTCCTTTCCTTCTGGCACTTTCTCACAACATGAAGCAATGCTGCTTGCCCTTTATTAGATATTCTTTAGAGAAAGCATCTGATTTTCCCAAACTTAAGACGAATAGAAAGTTCTGGGCTGCTAAAGGTTAGCTGAATTAAGTAAGTAAAAATATACTTCCTCCTGAATTCACATGTAGACCAGCAAACTCTGGCAATGAACACAATGAATGGGTCTCAAGCATTCAAGCAACTAACATTATTACCTTATTTATTTTTAGCAACGATATAATGAAAGTAAAGGAGAAAAAAGATGGAATGCATCAAAAAAAAGGATAATGAATTTATAGCAAATTTACACACACACACACACACACACACACACGCAACCTACTTCTCCAGATCAGGGTTTCTTGATATTTAGAACTCATGCACTGAAAATCTGAAGTCAAATTCAGGGCTTTCCCTCCTCAGGGGTTTATACACATGCTTTTGGTCAAATCACATCAAGTTAAACCCTTTTGAAAAATAGCTCCAAAAGACAAATCTTGGTGAAACTGAAGCATCTATTTGCTCTCTTTTTCTTATGTTGACAAGGTCGCCATGATCACAACCTACTCCACAAAAGAAGACTGCCAAGCCCCGTGAGCAGGACTCTGGTGCCAGTGGTCTACACCGAATAATTCACATTTTCACAGGATTCCTGATATCCAAAAGATATACATGTGTAGGACTGCTGGCTGAGTCAGAGAGGGCAGTGTAAAGCCAAACAGCAAGGGCACTGGGTAAAAATGGGCACTAATGCAAACTCTAACTAGGCTTTCTGCCCTTGGCCTTGTCTCCACTGTCTCATGTCCTTTGGCATAATGGAAAGAGCCCCTGTCCTTTCTCCTTTGAGCAGAGAAGTTTGCATAAACAAAGGTGAAGTTTGTAAAGAAGGGAGGGTGAGGATAGAGGCGGGGCGTGCCTTTGAAGGAGAGGAGGAGAAGGACTATTGGTGTCATTACCCGTCTTGTTCTCCCACCTACCGAAGGTTTCGGGTCAGGGGAGGAGAGAGGATGTTGAAATGGATCAGTCCTGCTTCAGTCTCCACCTCCAGGATGCACAGGCTCAGTGATGTCCAAAAGGGCCCAGGCTGGTGCCTAGTCTCTTACCTTGAACCCACAGCACAGCCCCACCCCGCCCCCTGACTACAGCCCCCAGCCCTGCTGCAAGGCCCAGGTTTCACTGCCCATAAGCTGGTTTCTGTGCGAGCCAGCCTGGAGTTGCACCAGCAGTGTGTCCCAACTCACGTTTGAAATTCCCAGGAATGTATATTTTGGGGTCATGCAAAGTGGAGAGGCAATTTCAAGCCAGCACTCAAGTCTCTCTGTGGAAGAGCACACACCAAGACAAGGCAGAGGGAGGCCAGGGACAGGTGGAAGCTGAGCGGAAGTCCTGAGGAGTATATTTTCACACTAGCAGGGAGAGCTCTGCTTTGAAATTATTTCACAAACATTTTTCGGGTGCCTATTCTGTACTGTAATGAAACAAATGACGCAGTCCTGAGGTATGGAGCACAAGGACACAGGACCTTTAAGAACCCAGCATACAGTAGAGCATTCACTGCTTAAGAAGAAGGGGCTGCCTTGCTAACTTCTGCACCACACAGTCCAATTTGATCTTGAGGTCATACAAAGTGTCTGAAAACCAGTATTTGGGGGCCAAAGAAACACTATTAAGAGCTGTACTTGAAATATACACATGGGAGTGCTTCCGGACTCTTGGAAGCTTATCAACAAGATGAGGAGTGGGGAGGCCAAAGATGTAGGAAGAATGAGGCCAAACAAGATTTGGGTTTTCTTTCACAAAGACTACTACTGTGCTGCTTTCTTTCTAATCTTGAAAAATAACAATTTTCCAAGGAAAGGCTGGCCAAAAAAGAGGATTTACAGGCTCTATGAACATCCAAGGGGGAAAAAAGCTAAGAGAGTAAATAATACCCATGAACACATTATTAATGGCTATTGAAAGATTGAACTGTTAACACTATAATTATAAAATAAATTTCAGTAGTAGTGGTAAGAACAAGGGATATTTAAGCTAAGACTATGATCTGGAATGAGAAAAACCATTCACAGGAGCATGCCAAGTCTTCACTGACTTCCCTACTTCTTAATAATCTGTGAGCAATGAGCAGGTCATGGTGGGACAGTTCAGCTGCAACAGTCTCTGTCCCATGCCATGCTCTTCCTTCCCCCTCTTGGCCTTGTGCCTCCTCTGTGGAGCTCCTTTCCTCTGCATCTTCCCAATCCTTCAAAGGTGATTTCAAATGCCCCCTGATTTTACCAGCTACACATCTTCATTTGAACAAATTTTATGATATAGCACCATCTACCTGGCTTTATGTTTACATTTATCTATATATAAGATAATTATAGTAGTAAATAATTATAGCTAACACTATTGTGTTAGTTACCATGTGCCACACACTGTAAATACTGGCTGTTTTATGTATTTTCTTTCCATTAAACCTCATTACACCTTTATGGGGTTGATATTATTATTATTATGTCCATTTTAAAGATGTAGACATTAAGACCCTGATAGAGATGTTAAATGACTAGTCTAGGAGGGTACTGAGTGAGAAACTGATAGATCTGAGATTTTATTAGTTTACAAACTCCCTGAGGAAAATGTATATTTAAAACACCATGAGAAACCACTATTCTCATTTATTAGAATGGCCAAAACAGAAAAACTGATCATATCAAGTGCTGTCAAGAATATAGAGTAACTGGAACTCTCATACATTGCTAATGAGAGTGCAAAGTGCTACAGTCATTTTGAAAACAGTTTGGTAGGGCCGGATGCGGTGGCTCAAGCCTGTAATCCTAGCACTTTGGGAGGCCGAGGTGGGCGGATCACGAGGTCAGGAGTTCGAGACCATCCTGGCCAACATGGTGAAACCCTGTCTCTACTAAAAATACAAAAAAATTAGCAGGGCGTGGTGGCGGGCGCCTGTAGTCCCAGCTACTCGGTAGGCTGAGGCAGGAAAATGGCGTGAACCCGGGAGGCGGAGCTTGCAGTGAGCCGAGATGGTGCCACTGCACTCCAGCCTGGGGGACAGAGCCAGACTCTGTCTCAAAAAAAAAAAAAAAAAGAAAGAAAAAGAAAAATGAAAACAGTTTGGCAGTTTCTTATAAAGTTAAACTCCATATGTCCCAGTAATCTCACTCCTAGGTATTTATACCCATGAGAGATGAAGACATATATCCACATGCAGAAAATTTGTACACAAATGTTTAAAGCAGCTTTATTTATAATTGCCCAAACCTAGAAACAACCCAAATGCCCTTCAATTTGTGAATGAATAAACACATTGTAGTATATCTATCAAAGGGAATTCAGATGCTCCTCAACTTATGGTGGGTTATAGCCCCAGAAACCCATCATAAATTGAAAATATCATAAGTTGAAGATAATATCATAAGTTGAAAATGCATTTAATACACTTAGACTTTTTTTTTTTTTAATCAGGGTCTCACTCTGCTGCCCAGGCTGGGGTGCAGTGGCACCATCACAGCTCACTGCAGCCTCAACCTCTTGGGCTCAAGCAATCCTCAAGCAATCCTCCCACCTAAGCCTCCCAAGTAGCTGGGACTACAGGTGTGCATCACCATACCCAGCTAATTTTTTTTTTTTGGTAGAGATGGGGTCTTGCCATGTTGCCCAGGCTGGTCTTGAACTCCTGGCCTCAAGCGATTCTACCACCTCCACCTCCCAAAGTGCTGCAATTATAGGTGTGAGCCACCATGCCCAGCCTACAACTAGTCTACTGAACATCAGAGCTTAGACAGGCCTACCTTAAACATGCTCATAACACATTAACCTACAGTTGGGCAAAATCATCTAATACAAAGCCTATTTTGTAATAAAGTATAAATATCTCATGTAATTCATTGAATCTGTACTGAAGTATAGTGTCTACTGAACAGGTTTTGCTTTTGCACCATGGTAAAGTTGAAAAATCTTGAGTAAGTCAGGGACAGTCTGTACTATTTAGAACAAAAAGGAACAAATTACTGGCACATGCAATGGCATGGGTAAGTCTCAAATGCACTAGGCTAAGTGAAAGAAGCCAGACTCAAAAGGCTCCTGAGTGTTATGATTCCATTTGTATGACATTTTGGACAAAGCAAAACTGCTGAGAAAGAAAATAGGTGTGCCTGCCTGAGGCTGGGGATACAGAGCTGACTACAAAGGGGCATGAGATAACTTTTTAGAGTGAGGGAAAGTTCTCTATCTTGATTGTAGTGGTAATTACATGACAGTATACATTTGTCAAAACACAAAGAATTATAAACTAAAAAGAGTAAATTTTACTGCATGTAAATTATATCTCAATAAACTTGACATTTAAAAAAGTTCCCTGAGGGTAGAATCATGCATTGGTAAGCCCCATTTAGTCAAGTCTTCTATTTACTAGATGGCTCAAATAACAGATTTGGTTAGAAGAGCTAACTAGTAAATAGAAGAGTAAGCTAATTTCAGCTTTGTTACCCATTTCCCTACTGACCTTTGGGGGAAGAATTAAAGAGGACAAAAATATTATAACAAAAGATGACTAAATATGAGGAAAAGCCAAAAGCAGAGATGGTCTCCAAGTGCTGAATGATCCCAAATTCACTGGACAGGTAAAAGCAGGTACCCACCTTAGTACATTTCTTGATCTTCTGTTCAAGGATCTCAGTTTCACTAGAAGTTGAGGCTGCCTTCTCATTGTCATAATCTGGTAGAAAACACTGCCGTGTGCTTTTAAGAAAAATCAAAAGTAACTCACGAAACTTTAAGTACTTGAGACAGTGAGTATAATAAAACAAGTATTTCATGAAAATATACCACCCAGTAGTGCTGAATTGAATGAAAGGCAAGAGTCATCCATATACCCTAAATGAGCTGAGAGACCTCCCTAAGGGCACAGGATTGTTTGCTAAATCACATGAGTTACAGCATTATTGCTGCCAGATTACAAAGGAAAACAGCATGTCTGACTCCAGGTAGAACCAACTGCATCCCAGACCCCAAACTCCTTTCTGTTCCAAGAAGGCAGGACTGGCGTTGTGGGGTCAGCAGAGGTGGCATGTCTTGAATCACCAAACAAATAGAGGGGTGGCTGAGGAGTGGAAATGGAATTCCAAATCTGTCAGGCTCTGAGCCCCATGAGGCAATGACCATATCTGTCTTGCTCTTCATTCTCCCATTATCTAGCACAGTGCCTGGTTAATGAACATAGTAAAAGATGCTCAATATTTCTAGAGGGCAATTTGGCATGCATATTACTGTTTCAAATGTCTGCATCCTTTGACCCAGCAATAGGCAGTCTCTGTATTAGTCACAAGTATCAGTTCAGTGGTCAATGAAAAGGAACTAATGCATTAGTTCTCATTCTTCATGATTTCATTCTTCATGATGTCTTAGAGTCTCATATGTGTTACCAAGAAAATAAGTACTTAAAAATGATTAAAATTTTTATATCAAATGACATATTTTTAAAAGTGTGAATTCAAGTAAAAAACGCTATGCTTATTAGAATGTAGCTACCTCTCAGATGCTTCTATTTGTTTAATCTTTAAGGAAAGGAAGACAACACATGAGAGCCATACCTCTTCTGGATATTGAAGGGTCCACTTCAATACCTTTTTCATAAGGAGTACCACCATTCAAGAAAAGCTCATAAGTTCTATAAAAGAATAACATACAATGACAGATATAAGCTGTGGGCATGTAGAAAACACTGGAGTCAGTAGTTAAATATTTTTTAGCACTAATATACTCAGACATTTCATTTATGCCTCGTTGGTAAATGAAAAGAATAATTGTTGATCCCTCCATGAGGTACTATCTGGGCAAATAAACAGTCTTTCTTTCCTAATTATAAGCTGCAGAAAATTATCTTTCCTAACTATACACTGTAGAAAATACATTTTTCCTTGAAAATGAGAAAAATTAATTCAAGTCATTAACGTGTTCAGACCTTAATGACTTACATTAATGACAAGTGATTTTTTTTAATGTATTTTTCAAATGTGTTAAATCATTATTTGAAATGAGGCCACTATGAACTTATATTATTTTTAAAATATAAAAGTAACGTGTAGATTATTATAAAAAGTTTGAATGGCAGAGGAATGATAAGTAAAAAGTGAAAAATCCCTCCCCATGCCGCCTTCTCTAGTGTGGTTAATCTCCTGCCCTATCTTTTCTATGCAAATGCAAACAAATGTATAAACACGGTGAATTTCAAAACTAACACATGCTTCAAAACTAACACTCTACATGCTTTTCTTTTGAAGTCACATACTAAGTGTAGAAAGAAGAAGGTAAAAGAGCCCTTTAATTGTAATGCACCACCTCCTCAATTCTGCTCCTCAGAGGCAACTTCTGGGAACAGTTTTGCTTTGTTTTGTTTTTGCTTTTTGGAGGCAGAATCTCGCTCTGTCACCCAGGCTAGAGCGCAGTGGCATGAAAACTGCTCACTGCAGTCTCGACCTCTCAGCCTCAAGCAATCCTCCCAGCTCAGCCTCCTGAGTAGCTGGGATTACAGGCGTGTGCCACCATGCTTGGCTAATTTTTTTATTTTTGTAGAGACAGGGTCTCACCATGTTGCCCAGGCTGGTCTATAACTCCCAGGCTCAGGTGATCCTCCCGCCAAGGCCTCCCAAAGTGCTGAGATTACAGGCATTGTGAGCCACCTCACCTGGCCCACAAATAGTTTTTAATGAACAAAAGTGGAGTCACAGTATTCAAAATATTCTGCAACTTTTTCCATATACTAATACACTGAAAATGTGTCTATATTAATACACAGAGCTCTACCTCATTTAAAAAAATAGCTGTGACTTCACTTTCAGAAAGATGGAATAGATATACAATTCCTTATTTCTTCCACTAAGCACAACTAAAAACCCTGAGCATATTAAAAGACAAAAACAAAAAAGCAAATAACAATCACAAGAAACCTGGCACCCCAGGTAATGCACCCTCTAGGATGATGTCAAAGGACTTGTACAGTCAGGACTTCTACCTCTGCCAATGTGGCAGGAGGCCACATAAGGCGCATTATCTAAATTAATCCTCACAACAAGCCTTTGGAGTAGGAATTATTACAATCTTCCAGATTAAAGATAGGTGAAATTCAGACTTGGAGATGTTAAGAAATCCACCTACAGTTACATGGGTAGAGCTGGGACTGGAGCCCAAAATTTTATAATCCAAATTTGGGATCTTAATCACCATCCTACTGCCTGCCCATTTGTGTCCCTTCTTGAATTTCTTGTTTATATCCTAGATTTAGATCTTTCTTTTCCTCCATTTTAAAATTTAGATGATCTTTTTCTTATTAATTTTTGAGAGTTCCTTTTATATTAGGGATAATGATCTTCTAACTCTTCTGTACATATTGCAGTATTTGCTTCCAGTCTGCCTTTTGATCTTAAAGTTTAAATCATTTACCGTGGTTGCCACTGTGATTTCAATGTCCCACCTACAGAGGAAGGGTAGAGACTCACAGAGGACCTCTGGACTCTGGACTTAACTTTCCCACTCTTTGAAGACAACTAGGCTCTGTTTTCAGCATGGTGAAATGTGTTAATACCATAGGAAATTACTGAAAGAATATTCTCAGCAGATGGCTAGTGCAAACATCTTTTAAAATACCTCTTCTCTAGGAGTCATTTCTTCCTCCTTAGGATGAGACTGTGCATGCTGTTTTCATACACTGCCTAAACAACACTAAAGTCAACATAAAAAGTCCTCTCCCCAAAAGTTATTGGCATGCTCATAGAACAAACCTGAGGTATCAAGAGTCTAAAAAATGAATTTTTACAGAAGTATTCATTCGTTAGGAATATATAGCCAACTTACTTTGCTGGAATAGGAACTCCACTGGCATCAAAAAGTTTAAGAAACACCCAGCCACAGCTTAACTCTCCTCTTTCACCAGTTGACTAGGAAATAAGACAAGTATATGAAACTTAAGGTCTGAACTAGTCAAATTTATAAGCACATACCAAGTCCTTTTAAAGGAACAAAATTAGTATTCACCTTTAGAACTAAAAAGTTCTTCACAAGAAAATAAAATGAAACACAGTAGAATCTCATTTTGCCTGCGGGTCAGATATTAAAGGTAGTATATCAAGTGATAATCATATTTTGTCAAAATTGCTCTCGAAAATCCCTTAAACCAATGATGTGGCAACTGCTGCCATTGTCTCTTGACTGATATAAGCATTCTGTGGAGTGATCTCAAATCATATCAGTACTACATGGGATGATGAACCTTTGTTTCACTGACAGATAGAATGCAGATATTAATCATTCAAGGGCTTTTCTGCTTGGAATTTTACCCCCACTGTCAGTTGCTAGAGGCCCCTAAGGCTTCCTTTGGGGGGCCTGCTCCTTTCCCCAGTCCTACCCCCTCCACAATACATATGGATGAATTTGCCTTAAACAAATGAATGGACAGTGTAATACCATTAATGTAACATCTCTGTAACGCTCTCTGGGTTACCATGAGGTCAACTATATATACTATACCTATCAAGCTATTATTAGTATGTGGAAACATTTAATTACTAGCACAGAGCCCCACCCACTGGTTCAGTAGTTTATATGACATAAGTTAAACTCACTTTATAAAAGTCACTACTCTGCTAAGTCCCTTAATTAGAAACCTCAGTTACAAGGCTAAGTATACTCTGCCCCTGGAAGACAGAGGTGAACCATGGCGCTGGGATGCCAGTGAGCATCTTTTCTCACTTTCTGCAAAGTCCCATCCTTTTTGAATTTTTATTCTTTAAAAGCACTGGAGTTCACTCAAGCTATAAATGTGAATAAGTACTATTATTTTAAATGCTACGAAAACAAATCAGCACACATAAAATTAGAATCACTGGCATTCTCATTCCTCAAGGGATTAAAATTCAATTACACATAAAGACTTCAAGGATTTCCTTGTCAATAGACACATTTTTTAACCTTCCCTTTTAACTGATACATTAGAAAGCCTTATCTTTCAACGGACATACATTGCGAATATAAGAAATTCCAAGTTCAAATAATATTCCAAGATCTGGAGATGCAGAATTAGACCTGATAAAGCAATCACCATCAAGCAAACATGGTAAGATGCGAGTAACCTGAAATGATAAAGAAATTAAAGTTATTGATAAAAATAAAAAATGGGAAGGGGGTTTGATGTGGTTTGAATAAATGTCCCCACCAAATTTCATGTTGAATTGTAATCCCAATGTTGAAGGTGAGGCCTGGTGGGAGGTGTTTGGGTCATGAGGGCAGATCCCTCATGGTTTGGTACTGTCCTCACCACAGAGAGTTCGTTCTCAGGAGATCAGTTTTTTTAAAAGTGTGTGGCACCTCCTTCCTCCTTCTTGCTCCTGCACTGTCACGTGAGATGCCTGCTCTCCCTTCACCTTCTGCCATGACTGGAAGCTTCCTGAGGCCTCCCTAGAAGCTGAGCAGATGCCTGTGCCATGCTTCCTGTACAGTCTGCAGAACCAGGGGCCAATTAAACCTCTTTTCTTTATAAATTAACCAGCCTCATGCATTTCTTTATAGCAATGCAAGAACGGCCTCACACAGGGTTTCAGCCCTATTTGTTAGTAAATAGTTTATGCCTTTGCATTATAATAAAAGCCTTTTAAGAAAAACAAAAAGCAGATGGACTGAATTCATCAATGCCAATGATTACAAATTTTAAAAATTTAACTTCACTTTTAAAGGGAAAATACCTTTACCTTTGCTTATTTTTTGCTTAGAGTAGAGGCTAATAGTACTGTGCCTAGGTCTCCAGAGGTGTTACAAATAATAGTTTATAGACATTATAAGATATTTATATTAACCACTGTTCTTCATAAACAGAACAAAAATTAAAGACTGAATACACATATTTGCTCAACTTTCCTAATGTGTGCCTTGTGAATTTTCATTTATTTTCTCTTTTGCTCATTCAATTCACTCTCCCTCGACAACTGTATCCCTCCCTTCTTGACTGTAAAATCTATCCAACCTTCAAGATCTAGTTTCTCTTCTAGAAAACTTTCCCTGAGCCAAAGGACTAGAATTAACTTTACCCTCCTGTGTGCTTCCAAAGCACTTGGAGCTCCAAAGCCATTACAATCTGCCTGAGTGGTAGTTACCAACAGTACTTGCCCCACATGGCTACTCTGATTAAATAAGGTAATGTACGTAAGAGCCTGGCACAGGGCCTAGCACACAGTTAGGGTTCCATAAGTAGATGATATTGTTATTCTTCATGTATGTATTTTCCCCTACTAATTTTGCTGGAATAGGAACTTCACTGGCATGAAAAAGTTTCCACGTGCCTAGGAAAAAATGCTTGCACATAACTGATGTTTAATTTCATTCAACAGAATAACACATACTCCCAACAGTTCTTCCTTCTACCCCAGGAAAAACATTAAAAAATTCTACCCTAAACTCTTCACATACACAGAGACGCAATAACAGAATTGTGAAGTACTGTGCCAAAAGAGAGGCCATGCTTCTCACCAGAGGAAGGGTGCTAAGAAGATCAAGATGGACTTTTAGGAGGTGTGCTCTCGACAAGTCTGGACAGGCACAGCACACAGTTGAGGTGGCTGGCCTCATCCACACCCTGAGCCCTCTCACTGAACCTCCATCTTGCCTTAAGATCTTTTGATGCAATAAGAGGAAAGGTAACTAAGGGTTTTCAGGATGCAGTTATACAAGGGAGTTAGCTGTGGGAAGGAAGTAAATACTAAATTAATGAGACCTTGGAGGTAGACGAAAGTAATGTAAAATAAAATATGGACAATTGATACTATAAAAACAACACGAAGACATCTTTGTCCTCCCTACGTCTATGCAATGCTGACTCAGTGGTTTAAACCCACCTAATGCCATTCCAGTCTTGACAGTGTGTGGGTGTAATGTAGCAGTCCCTCAGGCGTCATCCCTGACTTTATCTGAAGAAAGCACAGCTTTTATTAGCACAGTTGGAAGATTTCATCTTTGAAAAACACCCCACTTCCTAAATGTTATCTTTATGTTTTCATTTTTCATCAAATGAGAATTTTCTAAAAATGAACCCTGAAACTGATTGAATGGGATGATTCATAGGAATTACTAACATTGGTGAGTCAGAAACATGAGTAATTTTTATCAATGTCCTCAAAGAACACCAAAGAATCTAAAGATTTATATCTGTTCCCACATACTCTGTGCTATTTATAGAAATATGAATATGTTCTACTTTGAAATTCACTCACTCCACTCATTCAGCAGATTACTTACCTGGGGAGAAAAGGTCCATGTTTTGGGCTTTTTAGGTTGCCATGTGGCTCTGACTGTATGAATGTTGCTCAGAACCTGAAATGAGATTTTCCCTTTTGAAATCATGTAAAAAGCTCTTTGAAATGTCACCATTTCCATGTCCCAAAGAGTTAACAGTGGCTACACTAAGTGAGGAAGATGGCAAGGGGAGAACTTTCACTTTTTACTTCATGTAATTCTGTAATGTTTTTCTTTTTATATCAGGTATGACATAAATGAATTCAGAGTTGGACTCCTATGCTAGTAATAAATTATATTAAGTGAATTCCTTAATATCTGAGATAGGTTTGCCAGAAAAGTAATTGAAATTTTAGGTAAAAATGGCCTTTTATTTATTTATTTGTTTAGAGAAGGAGTCTCGCTCTGTCGCCCAGGCTGGAATGCAGTGGCATGATCTAGGCTCACTGCAACCTCCGCCTCCCAGGTACAAGTGATTCTCCTGCCTCAGCCTCCCAAGTAGCTGAGATTACAGGTCCCTGTCACCACGCCCAGCTAATTTTTGTATTTTTAGTAGAGACGGGGTTTCACCATGTTGGCCAGGCTGGTCTCGAACTCCTGACCTGAGGTGATCTGCCTGCCTCGGCCTCCCAAAGTGCTGGGATTACAGGTGTGAGCCATTGCACCCAGCAAAAAAATGGTCTTTTAAAAGAAAAGATGTGACCCAGTTGAGCACAGTGGCTCACGACTGTAATCCCAGCACTTTGGGAGGTTGAGGCAGGTGGATTACATGAATTTGGGAGTTTGAGACCAGCCTGGCCAACATGATGAAACCCTGTCTCTACTAAAAACACAAAAATCAGCTGGGTGTGGTGGTGTGTGCCTGTAATTCCAGCTACTCAGGAGGCTGAGGCAGGAGAATCGCTGGAACCTGGGAGACAGAGGTTGCAGTGAGCTGATACCACACCACTGCACTCCAGCCTGAGCGATGGAGCAAGATTCAGTCTCAAGAAAAAAAAAAAAAAAAAAAAGATGTGACCCATACAAGCATTTCACATGCAGTTCATTACTCTGTCACTAAGACAGACAGTCCTAATAGTTCAGATACAGTTATATTTTTCCTCAAGATCTCTAGGCCCATAAATTATATTTTTATTGAAATTCAATCTCTTATAAAATGCTCTATGCAAGAAGTTCATCATAAAACTTACATAAAACAATGAAACACAAAGGGATTTATGGAATGAAGAATTCAAATTCTAAAATGTTATGGCCAAAATTGACATCTTCCAAAGGAATGGATAATAGTTAATTTTTATTTTAGATGAAAATATTTTATTATAACACTTCCAAAACAAAGCTTTAAAATGATAATTTAAAATAATCCCAAATGTGTTATATTAGGTCAAATTCCACTCACTGTATTCCACATCCCTAGTAGTAGGAATATAGGAGTATTTTATGGGCAGCTGGATTGTTTTCCACATTAACAAAATCCCACTTCCTTCGATTGCTAATATATATATGTTTAAACTTTTCCTGAAATTATGTATATTTACCACCTGGACTCTTGGAATACAAACTCCTTATAATTACTACCTTGTGATTACTGTAAGACTGCATGTTATTCTAAGGTTCTTCTTCGTTTTTCAAGAAATGTTTTCTACTTCTAATGGCCAAGAAGTCCTTTGCTATAATCAAAATTGAAATCCTATACTACCTCTGCTTTTATCTTTTCAATTTGGAGAATCCTAATTTTGAAGTTTGGAATCAAGAGTAACTTCTTCTGTTTGATAATTTTATATCTTTCTTGACATATTGACTCTAAGAACTAAAAAGGACTTAGTCCAACCATCTCACTATGCATTTCAGAAAACTGCAGCCACAGAGGGTGAATGACTGGCTTAGAATCACACTGCTTTCTGTGCAAAACCAGACCCAAAGAATGAAGAACTGAAGAGTCAAAATAATTTACAGAGATTTCGTTCAGCAAACTGCATTAAAAACGCAAGAGGGGCTGGGTGCAGTGGCTCGTGCCTGTAGTCTAACTACTTGGGAGGCTACGGCAGGGAGATTGCTTGAGCTCAGGAGTTCGGGACCAGCTTGGGCAGCATAGTGAAACCTTGGCTCTATTTTTTTTTTTCTAAGAATGTACAAGAACTTCTCAACCAGTTTATGCTTCAACACAACCATTCTGCTCCACATATGAAGCAATGAAGCAGTGATAGTTAAAAAGACAGAGTAATACCCAAAAGTAAGATAAATATGTCAATGGACCACAAATAGAAGATAGAAGAGTAAAGTGAGACAAAAACTAGAGGTTTCCTGGGCTCTGAGTCCAGAAGGAGCATGGGGTAGCAAGGGGCTGGATTTGTATGCTATATATCACCCCATGATAGAGAAATAGATATTGCTTTATTGTTGCTGGAAGCCAGTAGGGTTAAAAAAAAAAAAAAAAAAGGTTGCCCCTGCTTCTCATAAAAAGTAGTGAGCCTAAGCAAGTAGGAGGACAAAGACATAGCCATGACACCAGAAGCAGAACCATGTCAACAAGTGGGCCTTTTAATGGATCAGTGACATATCTGACATCATCTTAGATCAAGAACTCTAAACTCTACGTCAAGATCTGGTTCTGAACTGGGGTTGGGAGAGGAGGGTGATGTACTGTTAATAAAAACCACAACACTACTAGATAGAGGGAAACGGCACTGGAAGAAATAATTGGAGTTGCAAAGGTATTTGAGAAAATAATGGCTGAAAAAAATCCCCAAATTTGACAAAAGACATAAACCTATAGATTGAAGAAGCTGAGCAAACCCCAAGCAGGGTAAACCAAAGAAATTCATGCCAGATACACCGTAAACTTCTGAAAACTGAAACACAACGAAAATACCTTGAAAACAGTAAGAAACAGCATTTAGGTTAGCCAACAGGAAAAAAACAATTTGAATGATGATGAATTTCTCATTAGAAGCCACGGAGAACAGAAGGAAATGACACAATAGTTTTCAAGTGTCAAACAAAAATAACTGTCAACTCAGAATTCTCTATCTAATTAAAATATCCTTTTGGAATGAAGAGGAAACAGGGACAATCTCAGATAAAGTCTAAAAATCTGTCACCAGCAGACCTACCCTAAAAGAATGGTTAAAGGAGATTCTCTAAATAGGACATGATAAAAAGAAGACTCTTAGAGCATCAGGAAGAAAGAATAAACAATGGAAATAGTAAAAATATAGGTAAATACTATGGATCTTCTTTCAGGTTTTCCAAATTATGTTTGGTGCTGTGTGATAAGATTCTTAATGTATGTAGAGGAAATATTTAAGACAACTATATTACAAGCTAGGGAAAGTAAAGAACTAAAGGAAGGTAAGGTTTTATACATCACTCCAACTGGAATGTTAACACTAGTAGACTGTGGTAAGCTATGCATGTATAAACTTAATACCTAGAAGCAACCACTAAGGAAACTAGCCAAAAAGATACACTCATCAACACTACAGATAACTCAGAATGGAGTTCTAAAAAATGTTCAAGTGGGGCGGGTGCGGTAGCTCACAACTGTAATCTCAGCACTTTGGGAGGCCAAGGCAGGTGGATCACCTGAGGTCAGTAGTTCAAGACTAGCCTGGCCAACATGGTGAAACCCCATCTCTACTAAAAATACAAAAAATTAGCTGGGTGTGGTAGTGAGCACCTGTAATCTCAGCTACTAGAGAGGGTGAGGCAGGAGAAGTGCTTAAACACAGGAGGCAGAGGTTGCAGTGAACTGAGATTGCGCCATTGCACTCCAGCCTGGGTGACAAAAGCAAAACTCCATCTCAAAAAAAAAAAAATGCTCAAGTGACACACAGGAAGTGATAGGTTTCACTGTATCCCCACCCAAATCTCATCTTGAATTGTAACTCCCACAATTCTCACATGTCATGGGAGAATCCAGTGGGTGGTGATTGAATTATGGGGATGGGTCTTTCCTGCGCTGTTCTTGTGATAGTGAATGAGTCTCATGAGATCTGATGATTTTAAAAATGGGAGTTTTCCCTGCACAAGCGCTCTTCTCTTGTCTGCCACCATTTGAGAGGTGCCATTCACCTTCTGCCATGATTGTGAGGCCTCCTCAGACACGTGGAACTGTAAGTCCAGTAAACCTCTTTCTTTTGTAAATTGCCCAGTCTCAGGTATGTCTTTATCAGCAGCATGAGAATGAACTAATACAGTAAATTGGGACCAGGAGTAGGGTGTTGCTGAAAAGATATCCAAAAATATGGAAGCAACTTTGGAACTGGGTAACAGGCAGAGGTTGGAACAGTTTGGAGGGCTCAGAAGAAGATAGGAAAATGTGGGAAAGTTTGGAATCTCCTAGAAACTTGCTGAATGGCTTTTTGACAAAAATGCTGATAGTGATATGAACAATAAGGTCCAGGCTGAGGTAGTCTCTGATGGAGATGAGGAACTTGTTGGGCACTGGAGAAAAGGTGACTCTTGTTATGTTTTAGTGAAGAGACTGGTGGCATTTTGCCCCTGCCCTAGAGATTTGTGGAACTCTGAACTTCAGAGAGATGATTTAGGGTATCTGTTGGAAGAAATTTCTAAGTAGCAAAGCACTCAAGACATGACTTGGGTGCTGTTAAAGGCATTGTTTCATAAGGGAAGTGGAGCATAAAGGTTTGGAAAGTTTGCAACCTGACAATGCGATAGAAAAGAAAATCACATTTTCTGAGGAGAAATTCAAGCCGGCTGCAGAAATTCGCATAGGTAACAAGGAGCCAAATGTTACTCCCCAAGACAATGTGAAAAATGTCTCCAGAGGATGTCAGAGGTCTTCACAGCAGCCCCTCCCATCACAGGCCAGGAGGCCTAGGAGGAAAAAATGGTTTCATGGGCCAGGCCGAGGGTCCCCATGCTGTGTGTAGTCTAGGGACTTGGTGCCCTGTGTCCCAGCCACTCCAGCTGTGACTAAAAGGGGCCAAGATAAGCTCAGGCTGTGGCTTCAGAGGGTGCAAGCCCAAACTCTTGGCAGCTTCCATGTGGTATTGAGCCTGCAGGTGCCCAGAAGTCAAGAATTGAGGTTTGGGAACCTCTGCCTAGATTTCAAGAGGATGTATGATATGTCTGAATGTCCAGTCATAAGTTTGCTGCAGGGGCGGGGCTCTCATGGAGAATCTCTGCTAGGGAAGTGCGAAAGGGAAATGTGGGGTTGGAGCCCCCTCACACAGAGTCCCTCCTGGGGCACCACCTAGTGGAGCTGTGAGAAGAGGGCCACCATCTTCCAGACCCCAGAACAGTAGCTCCACCAACAGCTTGCACCGTGCTGCTGGAAAAGCTGCAGACACTCAGTGCCAGCCCATGAAAGCAGCCAGGAGTGGGGTTATACCCTGCAAAACAACAGGGGCTGAGCTGCCCAAGACCATGTGAACCCACCTCTTACATCAGCGTGACCTGGATGTGAGACATGGAGTCAAAGGAGATCATTTTGGAGCTTTAAAATTTGACTGTCCAGCTGGATTTTGGACTTGCATGGGGCCTGTAGCCTCTTTGTTTTGGCCAGTTTATCCCATTTGGAATGGCTGCATTTACCCAATGCCTGTACCTCCATTGTATCTGGAAAATAACTAGCTTGCTTTTGATTTTACAGGCTCATAGGCAGAAGAGACTTGCCTTATCTTAGATGAGATGTTGGGACTGTGAACTTTGAGTTAATGCTGAAATGAGTTAAGACTTTGGGGGACTGTTGAGAAGGCATGATAGGTTTGGAAATGTGAGGACATGAGATTTGGAAGGGACTAGGGGAGGAATGATATGGTTTGGCTGTGTCCTCACCCAGATCTCATCTTGACTTGTAACTCCCTCAATTCTCACATGTCGTGGGAGGAAACCAGTAGGAAGTGATTGAATTATGGAGGCAGGTCTTTCTTTTTTTTTTTTTTTGAGACAAGAGTCTCAGTCTGTAGTCCAGGCTGGAGTGTAGTGACATGATCTCGGCTCACTGCAACCTCCACCTCCCAGGTCCCGGTTCAAGCAATTCTCCTGCCTCAGCCTCCTGAGTAGCTGGGATTACAGGCACATGCCACCATGGGGGCAGGTCTTTCTTGCACTGTTCTCATGATGGTGAATGATTCTCATGAGATCTGATGGTTTTAAAAATGGGAGTTTTCCCTGCACAATCTCTGTTCTCTTGTCTGCCACCATGTGAGATGTGCCTTTCACCTTCTGCCATGATTGTGAGGCCTCCTCAGCCATGCGGAACTGTAAGTCCAATAAACCTTTCTTTTGTAATTTGCCCTTTCTTGGGTATGTCTTTATCAGCAGCGTGAGAACAAACTAATACAGGAAGATAGGAAAAAGAAAAGAGACAAACAAAAAAGAGAGAAAACAAAGAGAAAAAAAATAAATCAGTGGACTAAAGGCTTGAGGCTCCTCTCCAGTGTCTGCCTGCTTCTGAATGCTCTGCAGTGCCTTCAGGTAGTTGCTTTTTACTTTGCCCAGAGTTTACAATTACCCTCTCTGGGTGGGGTGGTCCAAGAGGAGCTGACTCAAACATTACTGGAAGTTGTGTCTCATTAGTTAGTTTTGGCAACAATGCCTTTGGTTTTGTGTGTGTGTATGTGTTTTGGTTTCTGTTTTTTTTTTTTTTTGAGACAGAGTTTCTCTCTGTCACCAGGCTGGAGTGCAGTGGCGCAATCTTGGCTCACTGCAACCTCTGCCTCCTGGGTTCAAGTGATTCTCCTGCCTCAGCCTCCCAAGTAGCTGGGACTACAGGCACACGCCACCACGTCCAGCTAATTTTTGTATTTTTAGTAGAGACGCGGTTTCATCATGTTGGCCAGGATGGTCTAGATCTCTTGACCATGTGCTCTGCCCGCCTCGGCCTCCCAAAGTGCGGGGATTACAGGCGTGAGCCACTGCGCCCAGCCCAATGCTTTTTATTCATAACTAGGCTTAGATTTATTAAAGAAGCACTCTTACATAAACAGCACGAGTATCTGTGCAGCTATTAAATATGTTCCATAACTCTCAATTTGGAAATCTCACATAAATTTCTTTCATAAAGTAAATTTCATTATTTTGATATATTATTGAAAATAAAATTCCATTCCTTTTTATGTTCTTATATATGAGAACACAGAGAGGTACAGGAAAAAGTATCAAACCAGATGTATGAAACAGAAACCAATTCAGCTCTTGGTCACTGAGGACACCTACTGGCTCATTTGTGGCAGTGATTTTGTGCAGAATGTATTATGGAAGTGAGGGAGGATTACCGTCATAACATAAGTTCATTTCTTTACCCCAAGTTCAGATGAAATAAAGGCATTTTCTTCATGCTGGGGGTTAGCAGTATACTCAGCATGTGCAAAACCAAGCCCATGTCAACTCCTCCAAACGTGGTCCTCTTCCAGTGTTCCCCATCTCATTGAATGTTGCCACCATCCATCCAGATGCGGAAGTCAGAGACTAGGTGTCATGCCTATACCCCACTCCTCCTCTCTCCTCCATATCCAGTCCATCACCAAGCTTCGTTGATTTTTACTCCCAGATATCTCTATCCACATCTCTCATCTCCACCTCCACCTCTCTAAGTTATCATCACCACCTCTCATCCAGACACTCTTTGAAAGAACTATGTTCTTTCCATGTATAACATCACTCTGATAACTTCCCTTACATTAACTCATTTAATTTCACATTGACCGTTATCAGCTCAAGCAGCACTGTCTTCTCAGGAAGGAGCTTTGACTGTAGATTTGAGAATTCTTTTCTAACATAAGCATCTAGTGCTATAAATGTCCCTCTAAGCAATGCTTTAGCTAACATTCCACAAATTATGATATGTTGCATTTTCATTTTTTGTTCAGTTCAAAATATTTTCTAATTTCCCATGAAATTTCCTTTTAACCCTTTGATTATTTAGAAGTAGTTTTTAAATTTACAAGTATTTAAGTATTTTTCCATTTATCTTCCTGTTACTGATTTCAAATTTAATTCCATGTAATCAAGGACCATATATTATATGATTCCAATTCTTTTCAATTTGTCTAGGTTTGTTTTCTGACCCAGGACCGTCTATATTGGTGACTATTCCATATGTACTTAAGAGAAAGTGTATTTTACTATTTTGAGGTGAAGTGTTATGTGAATATCAATCTAATCCAGTTTGTTGATATGTTATACAGTTCTCTTACATCCTTACTAATTTTCTGTCTGCTTGTCCTATATTACTGAGAGAGAAGTGTTAAACTCCCCAACTATAATAGAGGCCCCAACTATAATTGTGACTTTGTCGGTTTCTCTTTTCAGTTCTAACCATTTTTATTTCTTGTGTGTTAAATTTCAGATGTTAGGTATGTACCCACTTAGGATTACTATGTCTTCTTGGTGAACGATCTCTTTTATCACTATGTAGTGCCTGAAGTCTACTTTGAATGGTATATCTTTTCTCATCCTTTTTTTCTCTTAAGCTACCTATAGCATAATATTTAAGGTGGGCTTCTTATATATAACATATAGGTCAGTCTCTCTCACTGTGGTTTTCATTTGCATTTCCCTGATGACTTCTTACATGTTGACTATCTTTTTATACTTCTAGTGGTTTTTGATACTTCTTTTTTGAAGAGGCTATTCAAGTCTTTTGTCCCTTTAGAAAACTGAGTTATCTTTTTATTTCTTGGATATCTTTGACTTGTTCCTGGTCTTAGGAAAAAAGTGTTCAGTATTTCACTGTTAAGTAAGATAATGCTAGTTTTAGGTTTTTTCTTGTTGCATTTTGCAATTTGAGGACTCTCCCTTCTATTCCTAGTTTGTAGATAATTTTTTAAAAATCATAAATGGGTGTTGAAATTTGTCAAATGTTTTTTCCTTACCTCTTAAGATGATCATATGATTTTTCTTATGGCAAATTATAATGATTGATTTTCAAATGTTAAATGTGATTACCCAGGAATGTACATTTGAATTCCTGAAATAAACCCCAATTGGTTATGACATAATGTCCTTTTTATATATTGCTAGATTCAATTTAATAATATTTTGTTTAGAATTTTACTTTCTATATCTATGAAGGATACTGTCTGGTAATTTTCCTTTCTTGTAATGTCTTGTCATATTCTGGGGTCATGTTTTTTCTGGCCTTATGAAATAAGTTGGGAAACATTTCTCCTTCATCTGTTCCTTGGAAGAATTTGTATAAGATTGGTATTATTTCTTCTTTAAATGTTTGAAGAAATTCACAGGTGAAGCCACCTAGGCCTGAAGTTTTCTTTGTGGCAAGATTTTTTTTTAATTATAGGTTTAATATCTTTACCAGAGGTTATTCACATTTTCTATTTCTTCTTATGCCAGTTTCAGTAAATTATGGTTCTCCAGGAATTTATCTATTTCATCAATGTTGTCAAATTTACTGGTATAAAGCTGTTTATAATATCTCCTTATTGGCCTCTTAATGTCTGAAGGATCTGTGATAATGTCTCTATTTCCATGTCAGATGTTAATAGTTTGTTTTCTTTTACTTTTTAAAAAAGTCTTAATAGTCTCACTATGCATCTTTCAGTTTTATTAATGTTTTCAAAGAATCAACTTTTGTCTTTTTTAAAATTTTCTCTTTGGTCCATCTGTTTTCTATTTCATTAATTTCTACTCTTATCTGTATTATTTCCCACTTTCTACTTTCTTCAGGTTTAACTCACTCTTCTTTTTCTAGCCTCTTGATTTGCTAGCTTAGATCACTGACTTTAAATCTTTTATCTTTTTTTTAATATACACAATTAAAACTATAAATTTCCATCTAAGTACTGTTTAACCTGTATCTCATTTAAAAAATGAATTTTTCAAAGAGTCATTCAAATTTTTCTTTGGTACTAGGTAAAAAATACTCTCTTGGGAATTGGGGAGGAGTTGAATGGAAAAGAATCTAAGGGAATGTTTCTCCATAATCCTAGTATGAATTGATTTACTTCTCAGTAACCTTACCTTATTACCATCAAATAGACAGAGGCGTACATGTCTGCTGAGAACCTGTATGCTCATTCCTGGAAGAGGAATCATTTTACAGCTCCATAATGTCAGAATCAATGAAATACGACTTGGTCTCGACCTAATCTGAAAGAAAAATTAGTTATAAAAAAGTTTATTTTTATGATTTCTAACACAAATCTGTCTTTTGTGAATTCGGCTTATGAAAATGTATACAGAATTTTTAAAAAAGAAAAAATTTACACATATACAATAAAAGTTTCAATACTCTGTTCATTGAAAATTAAATCAGTCATTTTAGGTAAATTTTTCATAGAGTTACATTTGAAATATTGCATTTTTCTTAAATACTTAAAAGCTGTGATGAAAGGAACAATAAATATTGGCAGGCAAAATGTATATGATCTATGACTATAGAATCACTGTATTCCAGTCCCGGTTCACTCCTACAGAATGTGGGTAAGTGCAGAAGGCTAACGCAGCATAAAACCAATGCCACCTGGCATTAAGATTATCCCCACTATTTTTTATTCCAAGCAATTATCTGCATAGTTCCTTAGTTTCTTAATAGGTGTTTTAACAGAGAGAATGCACTATCTGATATATTTATTCAGATCTGCTTCATAGGTATAATTCAGATTGTGAGTAAATAAATTGGCATTCTGATTTTTTATTTTTTAAGAACAGCTTCAATTCATTAAACTTTACATTCTGCTTTACGGTCATAAGCCTTTTCATTTAAATAACTTATATTAGACTGGGACTGGTGGCTCACACTTGTAATCCTAGCACTTTGGGAGGGATAGGAGGGCAGATTGCTTGAGCTCAGGAGTTTGAGACCAGCCTGGCAACGTGGCAAAACCCCATCTTTACAAAAAATACAAAAATTACCTGGGCATGGTGGTGTAGGCCTGTGGCCCCAGCTACTCAGGAAGCTGAAGTGGGAGGGTCGCTTGAGCCCAGGAATTTGAGGTTACAGTGAGCCATGATCACACCACTGCCCTCTAGCCTGGGTGACAGAGGGAGACCCTGTCTCAAAAATACTACTACTACTGCTACTACTACTATAAATGATAATAATGGCTAACATCTATTGAGTTCTTTTCATATGCCAGGCATTATTCAAAACCCTTCACACACATAATTATCAAAATAACTTTATGTTGGAAGCATTACTATTACTCCATCTTTACAGATGAAGAAATTGAGGCAAAGAATGATTAAGATAGAAACCTAGTATTATTTCCTTTCTAACAATGAGAGAAGAGTGCAATGGAGAAGAGAAACAAGATAAAGTCAAGGTAGCAAGTCCAAATTCTGCCTTAGTTATAAAAATATCGCTATTTTCAAAATTATCATAAACAATTTTTTTGTTTTTTATAATTCATTAGTCAATTAACATGTTGTTTGTCTAATTGCAACTATGACAAAATCTGGAAGAGTTACACTTTTACTGATAGTAACTATACTTACAGTGCCTTCTGTAGCATCCCACATCAGATCTCTGAAGGCCAGTTGTGAAGGCATGAGCTCTGGTTGTAAGAAGTAATTTGCTCGAAATTGATTCCCTGAAAAAATCATTTTTTCTTCATTTTCTTACAAAGAAAGAAACTCCAAATCAAAAATCCATAATGTTATGCTATGAACTAGAGTACAGGCACTTCCAAAATGCCACGCTGCTTACTAAGAACTTGCTTTCCAAAATAGAAGCGCCAATATAGATTTATGGATAAAAACAGCAGTACAAAACTTACAGATACAAACACATAAAAGATCATCTTAAAGCACCTTTAAGAAAGACTTTTAGGCCAATAATATGCCCCATGATGACAAGGATTCATTCAAATATTTTTGTAAAATGCAGAAATCTATGAGCACTTTTTGGAGACTTCAGAAAAAACAAAGTCGTTAGTTTTACTTCTTAACACAAAAGCATTTTATGCTCTTCCTCCATGCTTTAGTCATGAATAATACTTTTAATAACATCATTTATCCATTCGAGAAATAATTTTTGAGCTTCTACTCTTGCCAGATGCTACACCAGGTTCTAGAAATACAAAGATAAATCAGAGATATGTCCCCTGCCCTCCATAGTTTACAGTTGAATGGGAGGAAAATTTTCTTAGAAAATAAGTAGACAAGCAAATAAATAAAATAATTATTAGGGGACATAGAGCTATAAAGGGTGTTCACATGAATGGGAGTAAGGGAAACCCACATTACTCAAGGAAGGCATCTCTGGGAAGGCAGAATTTACCGCGAGACCTGAAGGATGAAAAGATGGGAATTTAGGGAGTACTGGGAAGAACCTTCCCAGCAAAGGCATCCTCAAAGCAGCCCTTCCATGACAACTCAACAACTCAGGGTATACAGGACACCCCTTGTCCCCCAGCATGAATCCTCTTTAAAATGAGCTTATAGACAAAAGTTGCCAAATACAGGGAAAGCCAAGAATGAGTAAGGAAAATGAAAATTCCAAATGGAGATAATTCTTTGGAAAAGTCTTGCTTGGAAGAAGATCAGAGAAAAGGAGGTTTTGGCTAGAATGGGATAGGATTCAAGGGGCTGATCCTTTAAGGTGGGGAGAATTAGGTGTGCTGATAGCACAGATGAGGGAATGAACCAGTGTGGGGAAGGTGGGCCAGCTAAAGACACAGGAAAGGGCTGAAAATTAAAGGAGTCACATTTTTGAAAAAAAGAAAGGGGCTGGAACCCGGAGCACTGGTAAACAGGCTGGCCTCTGATAGGATCAGGGATCTTTCCTCACTGTCATAGGAAGGATGAGGAAAAGATGAGCACCAAAGAGATGTGAGATTCAACATCTTCTTCAACAATGTGTTTTGCCTGTGACAGAAAAATTAGACGTGGATCTTGACTGCTTTGCTGAAAGAGTGCAGTGGCTGATAGGCACGCATTACCTTCCTCCAGAAGCTGTGAGAGCGTGGAAGGCCTGAACCCTGCAGGAATAGCTCCCATCGTAGTTAACACATCAACAGTGTTTATCTGCTGAAGACAGTAACATCAAAATGGATTTGTTTTCAGTCATGTTTCTGCATCTCTATAATACTTTATCACTAGAGTAACTATAACCCAAAAAAGAAAAATATAAACATACAGACTTTAGTGGAAGAATAATACGATTTGGCCCCAAATTCCTGAGAGGATGCCATCACAGCACCCTGGCCTCTCCTAAGGACCTAAGCCCCATACAGTGCCCAGCGTGCAGAGCTGTGTGTTCCGGAGCAGCTGCTTCAAGTATACCCTTATCAAAATGTCCCTGCTCCTGTCCTGCTCCACCCTGCGCTTCCATTTCACAGGTAAGTTAATGTCTATTGGCAAATCACATGCACTGAAGAATTAATGGATTTTTTTTGTATACACATACACACTACTCATAGACACACACCCTCACACATACAAGGATGTACTTATAAGTAATAAATAACGAAAAAGGTCAGGAAGGACACGTACTAAATTGTTAATGGTGATTACTTATGAGTTTGAGGAAGAGAATTTTCATTTGGCTATGTAATTATTTTTTTGTTTTTTGAGACGGAGTCTCACTCTGTCGCCCAGGCTGGAGTACAGTGGAGTATTCTCGGCTCACTGCAACCTCCGCCTCCCAGGTTCAAGCAATTCTCCTGCCTCAGCCTCCCCAGGAGCTGGGACTACAGACATGCGCTACCACGCCCAGCTAATTTTTCTATTTTTAGTCGAGGTGAGGTTTCGCTGTGTTGACTAGGCTGGTCTTGAACTCTTGACCCCAGGTGATCCACCCGCCTTGGCCTCCCAAAGTGCTGGGATTACAGGTGTGAGCCACTGTGCCCATGAGCCACTGTGCCCGGCCTGTAATTTTTTTTTAATGACAGAATTATGGATCATTTCTCCTTTAAAAAAATGTAATTAATTACTTTTTTTTTTTTAAGACAGGGTCTTGCCCTGTCACTCATGCTCTGGAGTGCAGTGGCACAATCACAGCTCACTACAGCCTTGACTTCCCAAACTCATGCAATCCTCCCACCTCAGCCTCCCGAGTAGCTGGGACTACAGGCATGAGCCACCACACCTGGCTAATTTTTCTTATTTTTTGTAGGATAGGGTCTCACTATGTTGCTCAAGCTGGTCTTGAATTCCTGGCCTCAAGTGATCCTCCTGCTTCAGCTTCCCAAAATGTTGGGATTACCAGTGTGAATCACCATGCCTGGCCAATTTCTTACTTTTTATTAAAGGCTTTCAGGATTTTTCGAATAGTAAATAAAATTTAACATCTGTTTCCACTCAAATGATAGGAAAGCAGGATCAATGAGAATGTTTCCAAGTCCTCAAGTGACACCATGAATTATCTATTCTTTTTGTACAAAAAAAAAAAAAAACTAATGAGAAATGTTACTTGGAGCACAGGCTTAGAAACCAGAAATATACGTCCTCTGCTCTGTACATTCCATGCCCTGAACCCTGTTTCAGATCCATTGGTGTCTTCCACAGTCTCCATCCTATTTCGCATCAGAACTATTAGGTAGCAAAACGAGACATGATTAACAAGACAGAAGATGCCCGCCTCTGAAATCGCTTTCTGAACAGCACTCCAGTGGGGATCAGTTCTGGGGAGACAAAATAGCAAAGTGAGTCAGGTCAGGTTATGCCTATTCACTCAATTAGGGAACTTCTTTAATCACAGTTGATAATCATCAGTAAGTTTTGAAAATCTAACAGTTTCCAGATGAAAACGAGGTAGAGCTAAATGTATTAAAAATAATTACAAAACTAAAACAGTAATGATCTTTAAGCAGACAATAGTATGAAAAGCTCTCCAGGTACAAGTTGTCTCCATTTCAAGAAAGTATTGAATTAGTTATAATAATAAAAATAAACAAATAAAATGTTTCCTAAACCTACTTTGATATCCTTTCCCACTTTTGTACCTTTGCTTAACTTCTGCTCCATCTGCTGTTTCATCCACCGCCTCTACATCTTCTTCACTGCCCTCTTCACTTGACTCTTGGCCTTCTTCTTCTTCACTATAAGGCTAAAAAACCATTGAAATGTGAAGTGCTTTTTAACTAATGCAAAAAACAACCAATAAAAATACCAGTACTGCCACCTAACCCTCCAGTAAAAACAAAAACAAGCTTTTCTGTTTAAAAACAAAAAAACAAAAGCATCAGTACTTTCAGAAAATCTTGAGCATAGATGGGAATTTAGTATATATGATGAGCATATAAAACTCAGTGGGAAATAAATTTTCAACACATGGTTAATAACTTTGCTATTTGAAAAAATAAGAACTGAGATAGACAGCAAGTTTAATCAAAATAAATTCCAGATGGAATTTACTTAAATAAAAAAGAAAAGACGTAAAGATAAAAATAAAAGAAACATAAAAGCATTAGAAGAAAATAATCTAGAGATGGGGAAGCCCTTTCCAATCATGATACAAAATCAAAAATCATAAGTGGAAACACTGACAGATTTAGCTACATAATAAATAAACATGACCTAAAGTCAACAAAGAAAATATCTAACACATAACTTAAGCATATCCTGAGGGGAAAAAAAGAAAATAGCTCACACAAATATCTAAGGATTAATATCCTGATTATTAAAATATTATAAAAGCTCTTAGAAATCAATGAAAGAGTTTTTTAAATCCCTTAGAAAAAAATATCCAAAAGAACTGAAAAGGTACCAACACATAAAAATGATAAGCACTCAAGGTGATGGAAATCTCAAATACCCTGACTTGATTATTACACAATCCATACAAGTAAAAAGCACTCACACAAATACATAAAATATTATGTATCAATAAAGAAAACCGAAAGTGCCATTCGCAAAGAAGATATACAAATGGTCATAAAGCATATGAGATGATGCTTAACCTCATTAGGAGTACAGTAAATGCACATTAAACCACTAATGACACTTTTTTTGCTGGTCATATTGGCAAAAATTTTAAAGATTGCTAACAGCCATCACTGGCAATTGTGTGAGGAAACAGCACTCACTGATTGTTAGAGGTGGGAGTACAAATTGGCATAACTTTTCTAAAAGGCAAATTGGAAAAATAAATCAAAATATAAAGCTATAAACCCTTTGAACCAGTGATGAACATCTAGGAATTTATCTAAGGGGATAATCGGGCAAGTGTGCAAAGATGCACGCAGGCTTGATGACAACACAAGTTGCTGGCTGGCTACCACCTATTCCCCACCTCCTTTTTCAAACAAAATCCCTGATTTAACAATGATCCAGTTAAAAGACTACATTTCCCAAGACTTCCTTGCAGCTAACTGTTGCCAGAGAACTAAATGCTGGTCAATGAGCAACAGTTGAAAGTTTTTTTGTGTAACTTCCAAGAAACCTTCTTAAAAAGGCAGCAGCTTATGCCTTTTGAATTCTTTCCCCTTTTGCTCCTTGGAATCCTTAAAAGATCCAGCAGCTGACTTAAAACTAAAGAGATAACTCTAGGCAGAGCAGCCTCACATCAGAAACAGGATAAAATACTGGATAGGATCTTAACCAATTATTGATTGCTTTTCTCCACACTTTTATGCTTGAGAGAAATAGGCTTCTACCTTATTTAAGCTACTTTTTGGGGGGATCTTTTTGCAACTGACAGTGGATGCTAATCCCATGTTCTTTGCAACATAATCGATAGTGATTATAGGTTGGAAACAACTTCAATGACCATCTAAATGAGATTAGAAGACTTGCTGCCATTGAAAAAGATGATCTAGACCTGCCCTATGTAATACAATAGCCCTTTGGCCACATGTAGCTAGTGAGCTCTTGAAATTAATCCAAACTGAGAAGTGCTGTAAATGTAAAACACACATTGGATTTTGAACTTAATGTTAAAAAAGCAAAACAACTCAATATTTTTAAATATTGATATGTCAAAATAGTATTTTTGATATACTGGATAATATAAAATATATTATTAAAAATAATTCTACCTGTTTCTTTTTACTTTTTAAAAATGTGTGTAATGAAAAACATGTATTTGTTCTTTGTCACTGATTCCTGGCACAGAGCTCCTGAAACCCTTGGAATTTCCTGAATGATAGGAGTATGTTTTCTTACTCATCAAGAGTCCCCTTCAGTCACTCCTGAGTTTATGTTAATGAGGTAATTCTAGGTGGGCACCTAAACAGCTTCAGGAAGGGGACAGGTTACCAGAAAAACCAACCCAGGTATTAGAGGTTAGAACTTTCAGCCCCACCCTCCAACCTTCAAAGAGGGGAGAGGAGCTGGAGACTGAGTTAATCACCAATTGCTAATGATTTAGTTAAACATGGCTAATGAAACCTTCAGAAAAACCCCTAAATGATGGGGTTCCAGGAACTTCCAGGATGGTGAACACAGCGAAGTGCTGGGAAGGTGGAAGGCCCAGAGAGTGCATGCCAGCCACCCCCAACCAATACCTCACTCTATGGCTGTTCCTGAGTTGCATCCTTTATAATAAACTGGTAAATGCAAGGAAAGTGTTTTCCTGAGTTCTGTGAATCATTCTAGTAAATTACTGAACCCCTGAGGTGATGGTATGGGAACTCGTGAATGTATAGCCAGTCAGTCAGAAGTATGGGTGGCTCTTGGGACTTGTGACTGGCAACGGAAGTGAGCAGCAATCTTGTGGGACTGAGCCTTTAACCTGTGGGGGTCTGTGCTAGCTCCAGGCATTAGCATCAGAATCGAATTGAATTGCTGACACCGGTTGGTGTAGAAGAACTGATGTAATAACACATATTTGGTGTCAGAGAAAAACCACATACTTGGTGTCAGAAGTGGCATCAGCAAAAAGATATCTCAGTGTGGCTACTGAAAAATTTAAATTACATGTGTGGTTTGCATCATAGTTCTACTGGACAGTGCTGATCCAGACAGAAATCTATATATCTTGGCACAGAAAATGACCATGTTATTTTATGAAATAAGAAAATACAAGCTACAAACACACATGTATAGTATGTTCACATTTTAGTAAGGGGATCACATATTTGTGGAAGTTAACACAAAGTTAACTGCAGTTATGTTTTACAATAAACAATAGACACCTATTATTTGTTATGATCAGCATTAATCCACAAAGCATCCCCTCATTGTGAGATCACGTTCCAGGGCTCACATGCGTAAGAGCACTTCACAGGTCCCCAGGACCATTAATACACAATGTTTTTCCCAGGTCCTGTCCCTCCAAAATTAAAGCAAATTCTATATCTCAAGTCATTCACTAGTCAACTGACAAAAGAACACAGCTAAATGTTTTATTAAAAGCGAAAAAAAAAAAAGTCTTAGAAAAGGAAGGCATAAACCAAGACTAACCTCTAGGTAGGTTCTGGGAACAAGACCTTCATTTCCTTTGGCATCCTTAGCTATCCACCAACCATCAGGTTTTTTTTCAATTACAAGGAGAATTTCCCCTTTCTTAAAGCAAAACAAAGTAAACCATTTTAAATAAAATTCAATAATCATGAGTATATGTCAATACCAATGATTCAAAATATGTGCTGAAAAAAAGGCAAAATCTTTTTTTAATCCAATATTTATCCTAAGGTTTATCAAAAGCTTCCCTATCACCCGACCCCTATGTATTCTGCCTAACTCACCTAAAACCATAAATGTGACATAGTTTAATGAATCATTCCTTTTGGTTACCTAACATACACTTGAGCCATTTATGCAAATGGGAACCATTTTTCACAATCATTTTTAAGGCCCCATACTTATTCCAAAAATTCAATTACTGCGTAAAATATTTTTGAATGTTTTAATATCTCTGGAAAAGTGTCTTTCAGAAGCAGCATATAAATTCCCAAAGAATATCAATTCCATTAAAGTTAAACCCTATTTTTGAGCAAAAATAGTATTTACTGAATATAATTACCCACTTAATTCACCAGATATGTTTTGAATAACACTCACTCATTTATAAAAATAAAATTCATCTTTGAAGACAAAAGCATTTCCACCACTAAGGACACTACAAAAGCAAACACTTAATTAAAATATACATTATTGTCTAATATTGATACCATTTTCCAGGAGAATTTGAAAAAAAAATCTATAAATCAAACCATATAATTATTTGCATAATATTCTTATGTATTTTATTATTAATCAGTTACTAAACTTTGAAGTTTAATATAAGAACTAAAATTCATATATTCACTTAAATTTCTTTGGCTCATTTCTCTAGCAGAAAACACAGGCTCAAAATCACAACTTTAAAAATCACAACTTTATTGTTCTGTCCCACCTGCCACTTATTTATGCCCAGGCCAACCAAGCATGGATGTAAGCCCCTCTCATATCTAAGCTAACAGGAAAGACTGCTACAAAATGGCAGGAAGTGCTCCCTTCTACCTCCACCTATGGACATTGCCTAACTCACTTGAATGAATTTATACATGACATTCAATAACAAATTATAAAATTTTACCCCTAAATTAGGAATTCTCAACATTAAAGCTACTTTCAAAAATCTTTAGAAGAGGTAACTTTAGTAACACAATCTCATATTACTACTGCTTGTAAATTGTAATTATTACTTATTTAAATAGATTGTTATAAAACTGCATTTTAAGAATCTGTAATACAGGTGTACAGGCAGAGTTTTCTTATTCTGTTAGGTATGGACATCGACCCTTAGGTTAGGTTTCAGTCTTATTCTACCTACCTTAAATGTAAGATCTCCAACTTGCTGAGCAGTAAAATCTCCAACAGCGATGTATTCTTCACCGGTTGACCATTTGTGAGATTCATTTTCCTCTTTCTCTTCCTCTTCCTCCTCTGCATCTTCTTCCTCCCCACCACTGTCTTCACTATCTTCACTTTCACTTTCTTCCTCTTCTTCAGTAGGTGCCCCAACTCTACAAAAAGTGTTTCTGAGTAGGACTACTTGAAATAATATACAAGAACAGACCAGCTATGAGTGTAACTTCTACATATACATGAATATCCCATATTTGGAGCTGGCAAATAAAAGAAATAAGGGAAAATACAAAGAACAGTTTCTACCATCTAGCTAAGACCGTGTGCCTGGAGAGACTGAGGCGGAGAGGGAGCTGAGTCATGTATGTGAGATGGCAGAGCATCACTGGACTTGAGGCCAGGAGACTCCGAATTCAAGTCTTGGATTCATCCATTCAGAAAATGCTGTTGAAGCATTATTATGAAGTACTTAGAGCATAGGCTCTGCTAAATTTAAATTCTGGCTCTATTCCCTCTTTGCTGGGTGACCTTGAGTAGGCTTCTTTTAAGCTCTCCATTTCTCATTGGTAAAGTGGAGATAATAATAGAACCTGCCTTCTAAGATTGTCATGAGGATTAAGATGAGTTACTACTTGCAAAGTGTTTAGAACAGTGCTTGCCCATAGCAAGCTTTCCATAAAAGTCAGTTATGATGATGACACTGATGCTGTAGGTCAAGTTCCGTGTCAGAGAGATACACAGTGGACACAAAGGTAAACCAGACATGATTCCCCATCCTCAAGGAGCTTGCAGTGAGACAATCTAGAAAATGGAGAATTATAAAATAGTGCAATAGGTACTAGAGTAGAGGTATACACAGGATACTAAGAAATCAATCACACAAGAGGGACACCTAACCCAGGTTGCACGAATGGGAATCATAAAAGGCTATAATTAGGTCTTGAGAGATGATATGGAATTAATCAGGTAAAATGGGAGTAGAAAGGAAGGGCAGGGAGAGGAGAAAGGAGATTTAAGATTAGGAAACATCAAGTAGCTCATGAATGGTAGGGCAAGGCTTAAGGAAAATGAGTGAGAGTTGAGGCTGAAAAGAGGTACGCGGAATGTAGCCCAGGTGAGCTTTACCTTTAAAGTCGCCCCTAAAAATGAGTAGGGGAAGGACATGATATGATTCCCACTTTAGAAAGGAGACAAAGGTATAATGTGGGGAACAGATTAGAAGAAAGGCTAAAGGTGAGGGTGGCTGTTGAAAGTGAGAAGTGACAACACTATGAACTAAGAAAACAGCATAGGGATGAAGAGAAAGGAGGTGAATCTGAGGGTGAGGAAGAGAGAAATGCCAAAATAATGTTAGCTTGGGCACGTCACTAAATCTTTCTGAATTTTATTTACTCATTCAACATTCAGCAAAGTTTAAATTTTGGGGAGCACCTACTGTGTGACAGACACTATGTGCTTGGGCTATAACAATGAACAAAACCAAGATCTTTGCCCTCCTAAAGCTTACATGAGAGAAGCTTATCTTTAAAATGGGAAAACAATACTTAGACTAATGCAAATGAACATCATTAACTATAAAACTAGTCAACTACAAGATTTTCTCTGGAATAAAAAGGAATATTAGCTGAACTTTGTTTAAAATAATGGTAGGACACTCTTATACCACAATGATCTAAAACATAAACAGGGATGTAACAACCATTTTTATACCACAAGACTAAAAAATCCATAAAATGTCATATTGATTTTCAACGCGTCTCTTTCCTTCTTTAGGAGATATTTTGCACATATTTTATATGGGTCAATTATTCTAAAATGTTGCCGAAAATAATGTGAACTTGATAACGGTTTTTCCCCTTCATTAATGTAGTGAATTTCAATGATTGATTTTTTAATGTTAAGCCAACCTCACACTCTGGAACAAATTCCACTTGGTCATGATGTATTACCCTTTTGAAATGCCTCTAGATTTTACTTGCTAATATTTTATACTGAGTTTGTGCATGTGTTCATGAGGGCCTTGCAATTTTCTTCTAGTGTTCTTGTCATGTTTTGATATCAGTGTTATTGAAAGCTTATAAAATGATTTGAAAGTGTTTCTTCTTTGTTCTCTGGAATGATTTTTTAATATTGGCACTATTTCTTTCTTAAATGTTTACAATAAATTCACCAGTAAAGCCACCTGAGAGTTTAATCTGTGGAAAGGCTTTTAATTACAGATTCAACTTCTTTAGTAAATATTTTAGTAGAACTTTTAAGATTTTCTGTTCATCTTGTGTCAATTTTAGTACATTTTCTTTTTAAAGAAACTAATTTTATCTAAATTTCAAACTTATTCACACAAGTTGTTCATAGTCTTTTCATAGTATCTTTTTAATGCTTGTGGAATCTGTATTGATTTTTTTTCTCTCTCTCTTTTCTTGATCAGTAATGCTAGCAGCTTATCCATTTAATTAATTTTCCAAAAACCAGTTTGGCTTTGTTGATATTGCCTACTGTATGTCTGTTTATTGTTCACTGTTTTCTGCTTTTATTTTTATTATTTCTTTCCTGCTCTCCTTGGGTTTGTTGTCCTTTTTCTGGCCCCTAAAGTTGGATGTTTTAGTAATTGATTTTCAACTTTTTTTTCAAACTATACATTTAAAGATATAAATTTCTGGCCAGGTGTGGCGGCTCACACCTGTAATCCCAGAACTTTGGGAGGCTGAGGTGGGAGGATTGCATAAGCCCATGAGTTCAAGACCAGCCTGAGCAATATAGTGAGACCCTGCCTCTACAAAAAATTTAAAAAATTTGCCAAGCGTAGTGGCACACGCCTGTAGTCTCAGCTACTCAGGGAGGCGGAGGTGGAGAGGATCACTAGAGCCTGGGAGGTGGACGTTGCAGTGAGCCAAGATTGCACCACTATACCCAGTCTGGGTAACGGAGACCCTGTCTCCAAAACAAACAAACAAAAGATAGAAATTTTCCCTTTAAGCACTATGCTGGTTGCAACCCAGTCATTTTATTATCATTCCAAATATTTTCTAATTGCCACTGTTATATTTTCTTTGACTCACAGTTTATATAGAAGTGTGTGACAATTTGCAAACATGTAGTAATTTCTTTTCTTTTTCTTTTTCTTTTTTTTTTTTTTTGAGACGGTGTCTCATTCTGTCACCAGGCTGGAGTGCAGTGGTATGATCTTGGCTCACTGCAATCTCCACCTCCCGGGTTCAAGCGATTCTCCTGCCTCCGACTCCCGAGTAGCTGGGACTACAGGCATGCACCACCATGCCCAGCTCATTTTTGTATTTTTAGTAGAGATGGGGTTTCACCATGTTGGCCAGATGGTCTCTATCTCTTGACCTCGTGATTCGCCCGCCTCAGCACAGGCGTGAGCCACCGCACCTGGCCACATGCAGTGATTTCTAATTATTTTTCTGTCATTGGGTTTTAATGTCATTCCAAGTCATCAAAGAAAATATATATATATTCTACATAATTTCAAACTCTTGAAATTTGGTGACAATTACTTTATGGTCCAATATGGTTCATTTTGGTTAATGTTACAGATGCACTGAAAAGAATATGTATTTACATAATACATACTTAGGTGCTGTGTTCTACACATATATAGTCATGTGCTGCACAACAATGTTTCAGTCAACAATGGGCCACATATACAATGATGGCCCCATACATATAATACCATATTTTTACTGTACATTTCCTATTTTTGGATATGTTTAGATACACAAATACACCATTGTGTTACAATTGTGTACAGTATTCAGCACAGTAACATGCTGTACAGGTTTGTAGCCTAGGAGCAACATGCTATACTATAACTATATAACCCAAGTGTATGGTAACCTACACCTTCTAGGTTTGTGCAAGTACATTCTATGATGTTTGTACAATGATGAAATCACTTAATGACTCATTTCTCAGAACATATCCCTATCACTAAGAAAGGCTTGACTATACATGTAATTAGATCACGGTGGTTAAGGATTGTGAATTATCTAGCTCTGTTTTAGTTCTGGCAACTTTTGCTTTATACATTTGAACCCATATTATTAAATGTATACTCATTTAGGAAGATTTTTTTTCCTACTGAATCGACCCTTTCTTTTATCATTATGAAATGTCCTTTCTTAAATAGTAAATTACTTTTAGCCTTAAATATCTGATATTATTGTAACCGTATCACCTTTGTTTTGGTTATAAAACAAATAATATCTTTGTTGTAGAACATGGAATACCTTTTTCCAGTTCTTTACTTTCACTCTCTCTATAACTGCATACTAAAGTCTATCTCTTCTAAATAGTATATATTTGGGTTAAAAAAATTCAATCTGACAATCTTTGTTGTAATTGGAGTGTTACTCCATTTACATTTAATGTAACTATCCAAATGGCTGCATTGAAACCATATTACTATTTGGTTTCTATTTGTCTCATCTGTTTATTTCTCCTTTCTTGCCTTTTTTGGGTTAATCAAATCACGTTTAGTATTCCATTTTATTGTGTTGTTTCACAAGCTACACTTCTTTGTATTATTTTGTTAGTGATTGTTTTAGGTATTACAATATGCATCCCTAACTTATCATAGTCTAATTTAAATATCACATTTCACCAAAGATAAAATAACTTTAAGATAAATAATTCCATTTACCTGCCAGCCTTTGTGCTATGCTGTGCTATTGTCACATTTTCCTTCTACATATAGTCAGTCCTTGTAACATGCAGATTCTGTATTTATGAATTCATTGGCTCACTAAACTTTATTTGTAACCTCCTAATTAATACTCACAGTGCTTTTGTGGTCATTTGTGGACATACACAAAGCAGCAAAAAATTTGAGTTGTCTGGCGTACACATTCCCAACTGAAGCTGAACATGGTGACACCTGCCTTTTTTTTTCAGCTCTCATACAGGAAAGTGTCCCTTTTTTGCAGTCTATTTAGTGCCACAGTTTTTGCATTTTTGTGCTTTTTTTTTTTTTTGGTGATTTTGTTGTTTAAAATGGCTCCCAAACATAGCGCTGAAGAGCCATGTGGTATTCCTAAGCACAAGAAGGCTATAATGTACCTCTGGAGAAAATAAGTGTGTTAGATAAGACTTGTTCATGCATGAGTGATAGTGCTGTTAGTGTGAATTCAATGTTAATGAATCAATAAAATATATGAAATAAAGTGTCTTTAAACAGTAACACAAGGTTGTATGTTACTCAGTTGACAAAAACATTGTGACCAGAGGCTCACAGGAGTCTTAAGTCTGCATTTCCCCAGGAGCAATGGTTTAGCATTTACTAATCGAGTATTCCTGGCAACTTTATAGAACATAACTACTGTAAATAATGAGAATCAACTGGATATTATAAATCCCCAAATATATATTTTGCTTTACATAATTGAGTGTCTTTCAAAGGCATATAGAAAAGAAAAAATAGGCTTTTATATGTACCCACGTACCCATCTTCTTCAATCCTTTTTGAAGGTCCAAATTTCAATGTGGGATCATTGTCTGCTAGCCTGAAGAACTTCCTTTAACATTTCTTATACTGCAGATCAGTTGACAAATTTTCTCAGCTTTTGTTTGCCTGAAAATGTCTTTATTTCACTTTAATTTTTTATACTTTTGCTGGATACAGAATTCTGAGTTGATGGTTTCTTCTTTCAACGTTTTCAAGATGTTACTGTTACTGCATTGTCTTCTGACCTGTATTTTTTCTCATAAGATGTCAACTGTAATTCTGTCATTTGTCTCTACATGTTTCCTTTTTTCCCTTGGCAGCTTTTAAGATCTCCTATTTATCTTTGGTTTTCGGTAGTTTGAGGTACCTGTGTGTGGGTTTCTTTATATTGATTCTGTTTGGGGTTCCCTGAGATTCTTGGATCAGTGGATTGATATCTCTCTTAGATCATAATTTTTAAATATTTTCAGTCACTATCTCTTTAAATATTTCTTGTGCTTCATTCTCTCTCTTATTCTGAGACTTCAATTACAAATCTGTTACAACTTTTAACAGTGTCCCACCTCTCTCTTACATTCTGTTTTGTTCTTTGCATTTTTTTATTTTTGTGTATCAATTTGAAAAACTTTTAAGCTGTCTTTGGGTTCACTGATCCCTTCTTCTGTTGTATCCAATCTTCTATTAAACCACTCAGCAATTTTATTTCACATATTGTATTTTTTTAGTTCCAGAATTTTCATTTTGGTCTTTATTAGTTCCCATTTCTCTGCTTAAGATTTCGCTCTATTCATCTTATCAATCTTTTCCTATAAATTATTTAACATATTAAAAATTGTTGTTTTATGGTTATTTGCTAATTCTCACATCTCCGAGCTACTGATTATTTATTCTCTTGATTTTAATATATTTCCCAGATTTTTGAGTCTATATGTTGAATCAGATTTTGGAAGTTCTCAGTCATTACTTTATCAAATATTGTATTTTTTAGTTATAGAATGTTCATTTGATTTTTCTATATTTGAATTAAATACACCCATTTCCCATTTCATTCATCTTTTCTTCTATTTTCTTTACTGTATTAATCATTTTATTTAGAAGTCCTTGTCAGCTAACTCTATATCTGGATCATATCTGGGTCTGTTTTTAGTGACCATCTTGTCACTTATTGATCATGTATTTTCCCCTGCTTTTTTGCATTTCTGATTTTTTTTATACTGGTTGCTGTGATGGACACATTACATGACTCACTTACAGACTTTGGATTATGTTATATTCCTCTAAGAAATTTTAAATTATTTTAATGTTACACAGTTAAATTATCTTGTTCCTGATAAGGTCTGCTTTTAGGCTCTTTTAGAGAAGACCTACCTCAGCTTTGTCTTTATTCCTAGATCATGGTTGTTACTCTCAGGGTGTTTTCTTTACTCCTAGGGCCTGGGCCTTCTGTGTCCTCTACTAAATGCCTGAAACATTTCCCAAGTCTCTTTACTAGAACTAGGTACAAACTCCAGTGTTTTTCCAGGACTATATGATTACCAGAATCCATTAAGCTCTTAGTCTCCCAGCAGGTACTTTCTGCCAGGCCTTGCAGGCATCATGCCCTATACAGCCCAGGAGACCTTTCAGATTGCTGGAGTTGTTTCTGTGCAGCTCCCTTCTCTCTATGGCACCTTGCTCCACAACTCTCAGTGAACTGAGCAGCTCCAAAGTGTGATCTCTGTCTCCTCAGTCGAGTAAGACTACTATTCCCTGCTTGGAATCTACCTTCCTCCACCACAGCTCATAAATTATTCCCAGGGAAAAGGTCTAGGTGAATGTAGGATTTGCTTCATGTGTCTCCCTATATCAAGAATATCAACCCTGCTTGGTAGATGCTCAGTGGCTTCAAACAGATGCTTTGTATATTTTGTCCAGACTTTATAGTCATTTATGGTGGGAAGGTTAGTCCAATACCAACTACTCTGCCATTCTCAGTACTAAGAATCGGTGGAAATTCTAGATCCTTGCATCTACCACCTTCAGCATTTTTTCCCAGGATACAGTATAAAGGTTGGAGAACAACACTGAAATAGTCTGAATAACTGATTTTTTTCTTTTGCTTCCCACAAATTGGGTTTGTTCGTACAGGTTGGGTATCCCTAATCAGAAAATCCAAAATCCGAAATACTCCTAAATCTGAAACTTTTGGAGCATCAAAATAACACTCCAAGGAAATGCTCATTGGAGTCTTTCAAAATGTAGATTTCCAGATTAGGGATGCTCAACAAGTAAGTACAATGCAAATATTCCAAAATCCAAAACAATCCAAAACTGAAGATACTTCTGATCCCAAGCATTTCAGATAAGGAATACTCAACTTGTATATGTAAGTCTTCTTTACAACTTTCAGAAGCTATTATTAACATACACTCTGGCAGACAAACAATGCATGTCCCTACTTCAATTTTTTTTTTTTTTAATAGAGACAGTGTCTCACTCCGTTGCCCAGGCTGTGCACTGAGGTGATTATAGCTCACTGCAGCCTGGAACTTCTGGGCTCAAGCAATCCTCCTTGCCTCAGCCTCCCAAGTAGCTGGGACTACAGGTACGTGCCACCAAGCCTGACTAGTTTGGGTTTTTTTGTAGAGATGGGGTCCACTGTATTGCCCAGGCTGGTCTTGAACTCCTGGCCTCAAGTGATCCTCCTGCCTCAGCCTTCCAAAATGCTGGGATTACAGGTATGAGTCACCACACTCAGTCTTTGCTTCAAATTTTTAAAGAATGTTTATGAAAGGGAGAACAATGCAAGTAGACATTCCAAATCATTTCCCTTTTACACATCAACATTGACATTAAATATATCATCTTTATTTTCTAACATTTGTTCATTTAGCTTTTCAGATCTCTGTTTTGTTTCAACTAAATTATAAATTGCCTGAGGGCAGAGACTATGACTTACACTTCTTTCCATCTCTCATGGGATCTAACACCTTCTATTATACACAATAAATAAATGTTGACTGATTCTATTGTTAGTGTCATTTGTTTATATCTATACTGCTATATGTCTTTGAGTTAAACATTAAAGCTATTGGTGATATATCTTTAAAAAAGAAAAAAGAAAGGTAGAAAGGAAGCATACTCAGTTATATTTTCTCTGCTTATTGTCACAGCAAGGCCCTGCAGTTGTTGGGTAAGCTTGTCCAAAAGAGTATGCTCCTCTTCTTTTCTCTGATTATAGTTTGCAACAGGTGCAGATTCATCAGCCTATGAGAGAATATAGGTCTATTTCACTAAAAAATTAATTTCAGTTTCCTAATTTCAAAAGAACAACAAAAAATTCCAATAAGTGCTATATAACAAAGTAAATATCAGTGTGACATTACACCTATCTTAGGGAAATAAATTAGATTTAAAAGAAACAGGCAATTGTGTTGGAATGCAAACCAAATGAAAAAATAAAATTATACCACTTGTTTTAGGTTTCTCTTTTATTTTCTTGCTAAGTATTATAGACCTTCCATAGTCAGTAAGAGATATGTTCTGACAGAAGATCGGCTTTAAAGTCAATGAGACAGGCACCAATCCCAAGTTCTGCCACTTATTGACAGAAGAGGCATGGATGCTTCACCACTGAGAGCTTCAATTTCCTCACCTGTGAAACAGAAATAATTAGGTTTTCAAACAGTCTAAGTTGAAAAGTTTTGTGTCACTGGAGAAATTTGGAGGAGCTCTTCAGTGACCACATATCTCAGATGCAGTAAAGGGGAGTAATATACAGCTGGAGAGCTGACTTTCAGGTGCCTTCCACTTTAAAGACTCCATGAGTCTCTGGACCTGGACATCTAGCTGTAGCCAAGGCTCATGTGAAAAAAAAAAAAAAATCCTGAAGGGATTGTCAAGGTTAAATTCCTGTTCCTCTTGTTTCTGCAGAGACATTGATATCAGAGCTGCCATTTGATACAAGAAGCTTCTTTACCACTTACCCTCAGGGCCAGATTATGCATTATTTCCCCACAAAGAAATTAAAATAAAAATAATTCTAAACTGTAAAACAACTCACAAAATGCAAAAATAAAAATAGCTCCTTCCAGGATTGTCTGAATCCTTAATAGCAGGTGAGTTCATCAAAGCTGAACATTTTTCGGTAGTTGGAGCCCTGGATTTTGCTTTGCTCCCAAGCACAGACTTAGCAAGCCTGTTCGGCAAGCCAGCACTGGCTGCAGTTAGACTATATCACTAACGTAAACCCAGGAACTTACCAACTTGAATTAACTTCCACTTAATAAAAATACTTGTATAGGAAGAGATGTTTTAATAATGTGATTAACCTCAATACTTACTTTGCTTAATTTTTGAAGAGCATTTTTATTTTCATCTATTGCCTGCTTTAACTGGATACATCTAAATTAAGAAAAAAAAGAAAATATATTGATTTTTCTATTATCAGAACCAGAAAGCTATTTTATAAAATCATTCAGTCGTTGAGCAGGCAAGGCAATTAGCCACTGTATGAACAATACTAAAAAACTGACATATAAATGCTTTTCCACCTATTAGCTCAGATGATCCTCATAGCCAAGCTGTAAAACACATAGACATGATAACCAAGCCTCAGAAACCTTCAGTGTCTCTGGGCATCAGTTTCCTCTCTCTAAAATAAGGAAGAACGCTGGACTTTAAAATGCTTCTCCAGCTCTACAACTCCATAAACCTAGGAACTAGCCTCAGAGACAAAACTGATAATAGTACCTAAAGTTTACTGTGTGCCAACCATGTTAAGCAGTTTACAAACATTACCTCATTTAAGCCTCATAACAACCCTCACTCCACTTAAAGAAAGAGAAGTTCTACATAGCTTCTCAAGCTATGTGTACCAAGTCCACATAGCTGCTCAATGGTACAGCAACAATATGAAGGCAGTTTAGGATTCCACAGTTGGCCTATTCCCACCACAGCACACTCCTGCTTTGAGCTTGCTTGTCCAGACAGGTCCAGAGTTTTATTTATTCCACAGATGCCTCAATTCAGCATTAAGTCTTAGATACCCAAATGAGAAGTACAAAAAATGACCAAATATGAGCTATAGCTCATGATGAGATTTTTTTAATTCAAATGCTTTACTAAACAATAACCTACAAAAGTCACTTTTTTATGCCGTTTGAGTCTTTTTTTTTTTTTTTTTTTTTTTGCTTATAGATGTGAGTGAAATGAAATAAGCAGTGAAAAAGGGAATAACAACGTTGATCCAAGATGGCCAATTAGAAGCAGCTGTGGTCTATGGCACTCACTGAGAGGAATGAAGAAGGGCAAGTGAATTCAGCACTTTAAACTGAAATATCCAGGTTCTCACATTGAGACTGACAAGGCAAACACCTTGACCCATGAGAATGTAGAAAAGCCAGGGAACAAGGGGAACAAGAGCCAACCTGGGAGTGGCATGCAGCCAAAGGAACCCCCATCCCCAACCAAGAGAAGTGGTGAGTGACCATGCAACCCTGCCCAGAAAACCATGTTTCTCCCACGGATCTCTGCAACCCACAGATCAGGAGATCTCCTGAGTTCATGCCACCAGGGCCTTGGGTCCAATACACAGAACTGTGTGGTGTCTCAGCAGAGCAGCTGCTCAGGCACATACAGTGACCCAGGAATTTTATATACTCTGGCCCCAAGATCCCCAGCAAGGGGGGATATCCATCTGTATATATCCCTAGAAAGGGAGCTGAATCCAGGGAGCCAAGCAGCATTGTTCCGTGGGCCCCACTTCCATGGCCCCCACTTCCATGGCAACTCACAAGTTAAGACCCACTGGCTTGGAATTCCAGCCAGCCAACCAAAGCAGTCTGGAATCTTTCTGAGGCAGTTCCAAGTTACCGGGGCAGGGGTGGCTGCTATCTCTGGGGTTCAGTAGACTTAGCCATTCTAGCCTGCTGGCTTTGGAGAATACAAATGGTCCAGAAGAAAGAGTCCCCTCCTAATGTATCATATGTGCTCTACCAAAAAGCAGCCAGACTGCTTCTTTAAGTGGGTCTGTAATCCCATTCCACCTGACTGGGTGAGACCTCCCAAAAGGGGTTTCCAGCCACCTCCTACAAAGTGCGTTTGGGCTGGCAACAAATCAGTACTCTCCTGGGACAGAGCTTCCAGAGGAAGGAGCTGGCTGCCATATTTGCTGTTTTGCAGCCTTCACTGGTGATACTTCCAGGTATGGGAAAAACTGAGGCAATTAGGGTCTGGGGTACAGCAAACCACAGCAACACTACAGTAGAGTGTCCTGACTGTTAAAAGAAAAACAAACAGAAAACAACAACAACAACATCAACAATAAAAACTCAACAAAAATCCTATTTAAAGGTCAGCAACCTCAAAGATCAAAGGCAAATAAGCCCACAAAGATGAGAAATAATTGACACAAAATGCTGAAAACTCAAAAAGCCAGAGTGCCTCTTCTGCTCCAAATGACCACAACACCACTCCAGCAAGGGCACAGAAGTGGGATGATGCTGAGATGGCTGAACTTACAGAAGGAGGCTTCAGAAAGTGGGTAATAAAAAACTTTGTTGAGTTAAAGGAGTATGTTGAAACCCACTGCAAAGAAGCTAAGAATCATGATAAACCAATACAGGAGCTGATAGCCAGAACAGCCAATTAAGAGAGGAACATAACTGACCTGATAGAGGTGAAAAACACAAGAACTTTATAATGCAATCACAAGTATCAATAGCAGAATAGACAAGGCAGAGGAAAGAATCTCAGAGCTTGAAGATTATGTTTCTGAATTAAGACAGGCGGACAAGAATAGGGAAAAAAGAATGAAAATGAATGAACAAAACCTTAGAGAAATATGGGATTATGTATACAGACCAAACCCGTGACTTATTGGGGTACCTAAAAAAGACAGGAAAAATGGAACCACGTTGAAAAACATACTTTAGAATATCATACAGAAGAATTCCCCCAACCTAGCAAGACAAGCCAACATTCAAATTCAGGAAATCCAGAGAACCCCAGTAAGGTACTCCATGAGAAGATCAACCCCAACACACATAATCATGATTCTTCAAGGTCAAAATGAAAAAAAAAAAAGTTAAAGGCAGCCAGAGAGAAAGGCCAGCTCACCTACAAAAGGAAGCTCATCAGACTAACAGCATACCTCTCAGTGGAAACCCAAACCCTATAAGCCAGCAGAGACTGGGGACCAATATTCATCATTCTTAAAGAAAAGAAATTTCCAACCCAGAATTTCAAATCCGGCCAAACTAAGCTTCATACATGAAGGAGAAATAAGATCCTTTTCAGACCAAGCAAATGCTTAGGGAATTTGTCACCACCAGGCCTGCCCTGCAAGAGCTCCTGAAGGAAGGACTAAATACGGAAAGGAGAAATTGATACCACCCACTATAAAAACACACTGAAGTACACAGACCAGTGACACTATGAAGCAACCACATAAACAAATCTGCAAAATAACCAGCTAGAATAATGATGATAGGATCAAACTCACACAAAACAATACTAACCTTAAATGTAAGTGGGTTAAATGCCCCAATTAAAAAGACACAGAATGGCAAGCTGGATAAAGAGTCAAGATCCATCGGTATGCTGTCTTCAAGAGATCCACGTCATTTGCAAAGACACACATAGGTTCAAAATAAAGGGATGGAGGAAAATTTACCAAGCAAATGGAAAACAGAAAAAAGCAGGGGTTGCAATTCTAGCTTCTGACAAAACAGACTTTAAGCCAATAAAGATAAAAAAAAGACAAAGAAGGGCATTACACAATGGTAAAAGGTTCAATTCAACAAGAAGAGCTATCCTAAATACATATGCACCCAAAAAAAGAGCACCCATGTTGGGAAGAGACCCCGAAATCTGGCCATAAACTGGCCCCAAAACTGGCCATAAACAAAATCTCTGCAGCACTGTGACATGTTCATGATGGCCATGATGCCCATGGTGAAGGTTGTGGGTTTACCAGAATGAGGGAAAGGAACACCTGGCCCACCCAGGGCGGAAAACTGCTTAAAGGCATTCCTGAACCACAAACAATAGCATGAGCGATCTGTGCCTTAAGGACATGTTCCTGTTGCAGATAACTAGCCAGAACCTCCCCTTTATTTCGGCCCATCCCTTTATTTCCCGTAAGGAATACTTTTAGTAAATCTATAATCTATAGAAACAATACTTATCACTGGCTTGCTGTCAATAAATATGTGGGTAAATCTCTGTTCAATGCTCTCAGCTCTGAAAGCTGTGAGACCCCTGATTTCCCACTCCACACACTATATTTCTGTGTGTGTGTCTTTAATTCCTCTAGCGCCGCTGGGTTAGGGTCTCCATGACCGAGCTGGTCTCGGCAACCCAGATTCATACAGCAAGTTCTTATGATTTTCAAAGTGACTTGGACTCCCATACAATAATAGTGGGAGACTTTAATACCCCACTGACAATATTAGGCAGGTCATCCACACAGAAAATTGATAAAGATATTCAGGACCTGAACTCAGCTCTGGATCAAGTGAACCTAATAGATATCTACAGAACTCTCCACCCAAAAACAACAAAATATGCATTCTACTCATCACCACAAGGCACTTACTCTAAAATTGATCAAGTAATCGGAAATAAAATATTCCTCAGCAAATGAAAAAGAACTGAAATTATAACAAACAGACCAAAATGCAATCAAATTAGAACTCAAGATTAAGAAATTCATGAATGGCACTAGCGGCAGACCCAACTGGTAGTTCCTTCCCCAGGAGAGATTCCTCTGCCGTGGAGTCTTACGATACAATCACCAACCAGCCTGTCATGATCGACAATGAATCTGGTGTGATTAAAGCTGGTTTTGCTGGTGATCAGATCCACAAATACTGCTTTCCAAAGTATGTGGGCCTACCCATGCATATTCGTATCATGGCAGGAGCCCTTGAAGGTGACATCTTCATTGGCTTCAAAGCCAAGGAGCACCAAGGGCTGCTCTCAATCTGCTATCTCACGGAGCATGGCATTGTCAAGGACTGGAACGACATGGAACACATCTGGCAATATGTCTATTCTAAGGACCAGCTGCAGACTTTCTCAGAGGAGCATCTCGTGCTCCTCACTGAGGCACCTTTAAACCCACAAAGACACCAGGAATGAGCTGCCAACGTTTTCTTCAAGAGCTTCAATGTGCCTGCTATTTTCATCTCCATGTAAGCTGTGCTCAGCCTTTATGCCACAGGCAGGACCACGGGGGTGGTGCTGGATTCTGGGGATGGCATCACCCATGCTGTGCCCATCTATCAGGGCTTTGCCATGCCCCACTCCATCATGCGAATTGACATCGCAAGCTGGAACATCTCTCGCTTCCTGCACCTCTACCTGCATAAGGAGGGCTATGATTTCCACTCATCGTTTGAGATTTCCACTCATCCTTTGAGTTTGAGATTGTCAAGGCCATAAAAGAAAGACCCTCCTACCTATCCATAAACCCCCAGAAGGAAGAGACACTAGAGACAGAGAAGGCTCAGTACTACCTGCCTGATGGCAGCACCATTGAGATTGGTCCTTCCCAATTCCGGGCCCCTGAGCTGCTCTTCAGGCCAGACTTGATCAGGGAGGAGAGTGAAGGCATCCACAAGGTCCTGGTGTTCGCCATCCAGAAGTCAGACATGGACCTGCAGTTCACACTTTTCTCCAACATCGTCCTCTTGGGAGGCTCTACCTTGTTCAAAGGTTTTGGTGACAGGCTACTGAGTGAAGTGAAGATCAGGATATTTGCACCTCAGGAGAGACTGTATTCCACGTGGATTGAGGGCTCTATCCTTGCCTCCATGACACCTTTAAGAAGATGTGGGTCTCCAAGAAGGAATATGAGGAAGACGGTGCCTGATCTATCCACAGGAAAACCTTCTAATGTTGGGATATCATCTTCACCTCTCTCTGAAGTTAACTCCACTTTAAAACTCGCTTTGTTGAGTCAGAGTGTTTGTGAGGAATTGCCTGTGTGTGTGAGTGCATGTGTGTATACAAGTGTGTGAGCACATGCAAGTGCCATGTGGCCCAGGGACCCCAGGTCCAGAAAGGATGAGGAACTACCCACGATGGTGATGGCCTGAGGCCTGGGGGTGACCATTAACTGGCTCCTGACAGGGAAGAACACTGGCAGAGGCTGCACTCCCTCCTCAGGTGGGCCTCTGACTGGCTGCAGGGAACTCCGTTTACTACCACGGGGAGACAGAGGGAGATAAACCACCCCCTGGGAGACCTTGCTGCTGCCCATCCTAGGCTGGACTGGCCCCACCCTCACTCCCACCCACCAGGGTGCCCTGAGGACCCAGGCAGCTGCTGCCTCCCCTTGCTGGTCACTCCGCTATCAATGCCCCCTGACTGGGCACTGAGGACTGGGGCTGGGGTTGACCTCTGTCTGGTTTTGTTGCCATTTTGGTTTGGGAGGCTAGAAAAGCATCCCAAGAGCTAATACAGAGACTGGAAAGTCAGGAGGGAGCAGGAAGCCCTCATGTTCACCAGGGAACAGGACCACACCAGCCACTGGAGGAGGGCAGGAGTAGTACTCCCCCTGAATGGCTGCAGAGATAATGTTCCCAGCCCATTCCCCTTCCAGGGGCCTTGGGAGAGTTTAAGGTGCCTGCTGATTCCAGGTCCTTGCTTTCCATCCGTTCTTGTTGCAATGCCATCTTCAAACAGTTTTATTTATTGAAGTGTTTGTTCAGTAAGGGGATGGAGAGAGGGAGCTCACTGCCTCCTGCCCTGCCACACTAATGTTTATAGCACCTAAGCTTAGCCTAGCCTCCAGGGCCCCGCCTCTCCCTGCTGATGGTAAGCGGACAGTGTCCACAGGTTGCAGGACCATTTGAAATTGGTAGCTATACTCAAAGACACTCCCACCAGCCTCTTTCTCCCTCTTTCTCTTGCTCACTGCCATAGAATCAACAGGCTGGTTGCTGGTTAGATTTTCTGAAACAGGAGGTAGAATTTTTCTTTGGCAGAGGCCCCTAAACAAGGAAGGGGTGTTGGAGAGCCAGTGTCCTTAGGACTGGAGAAAGCTGCAATTAACCATGTTGCCTTTTGCCACTATAGCTGACCAGGCAACTAAGCTGTAGAGGTGGGATGGCCCCCTCTTGGCTGATCTTGGGCCACTCTTGACCTTGGACCTGCTTGGTTAAGGAGGGAGAGGGCCAGACCAGAGTGCCAGGAGCTAATGGAGCCAGGCCTGACTCCTAGGAGTAGTCCAAAGGCCTTTAGCCCAGGTGGTGCAAAGCTGGGGCCAGCCTGTCTTCACCGGCACCCTCACCTGTGACACCATGACCCACCCCAATCCCAGACTCCATGCAGTAGTCTCCCCCATGCTGTCCTATGACCAAAGGCCCCTGCCAGGTATGGGCCAAAGGAGCAGGTGTGTGTGAAAGCGATGTAGCACCCCACAGACTGCAGTGCACTTAACAACTCACCTCCCTTCTCTTAGCCCAAGCCTGTCCCTCGCACAGCCTTGCACAAACCACACTGCCTGATGGGGCTCAGTGTACTGAAATAAAGTCATTCTGATAGACACATTTAAAAAAAAGAAAGAAAGAAAGAAAGAAATCCAGTCAAAATCACACAACTACAAGGAAAATAACCACCTGTCCCTGAATGACTCAGGTAAATAATGAAATTAAAGCAGAAATCAAGAAGTTCTTTGAAACTAATGAGAACAAAGAGACAACGTATCAGAATCTCTGAAATGCAGCTAAAGCAGTGTTCAGAGGAAAATTTATATCACTAAATGCCCACATCAAAAAGCTAGAAAGATCTCAAGTTAACAACCTAACATCTCAACTAAAAGAACTAGAGAACCAAGAGCAAACAAACCCTAAAGCTAGCAGAAGACAAGAAATAACCAAGATCAGAGCTGAACTGAAGGAGATAGAGACATGAAAAACCCTACAAAGAACAAATTCAGGAGCTGGTTTTTTGAAAAAAATTAATAAAATAGATACACCACTAGCTAGACTAATAAAGAAAAGAGAGAAGAATCAAATAAACACAATCAGAAATTATAAGGGGGATATCACCACTGACCCCACAGAAATACAAACAATCAGCAGAGAATACTATAAACACCTCTATGCACATGAACTAGAAAATCTAGAAGAAATGGATGAGTTCTTGGACACATACACCCTCCCAAGACTGAACCAGGAAGAAATTGAATCCCTGAACAGATCAATAATGAGTTCTAAAATTGAGGCAGCTTTACCAAATAGCTTACCAACCAAAACACTCCCAGGACCAGATGAATTCACAGCTGAATTCTACCAAAGGTAAAAAGAAGAGTGGGAACCATTTCTACTGAAATTATTCCAAACAACTGAAAAGGAGGGACTCCTCCCTAACTGATTGTATCCAGCATCCTCCCGATACCAAAACCTGGGAGAGATACAGCAAAAACAGAAAACTTAAAGCCAATATCCTTCATGAACATCGATACAAAAATCCGCAACAAAATACTGGCAAACCGAATCCAGCAGCACATCAAAAAGCTTATCTACCATGATCAAGTTGGCTTCATCCCCAGGATGAAAGTTTGGTTCAACATATACAAATTAATAAATGTGATTCATCACATAAACAGAACTTAAGACAAAAAAAAATGACTATCTCAATAAATGCAGAAAAGGCTTTCAATAAAATTCAACATCTTTTCATGTTAAGAAATTTCAATAAACTAGATATTGAAGGAATATACCTCAAAATAATCAGAGCCATATATGACAAACCGACAGCCAATATCATACTGAATGGGCAAATGCTTGAAGCATTCCCTTTGAAAACAGGCACAAGACAAGGATGCCCTCCCTCATTGCTCCTATTCAATGCAGTGTTGGAAGTTCTGGCCTGGGAAGTCAGGCAAGAGAAAGAAATAAGGAGTATTCAAATAGGAAGAGAGGAACTCAAATTATCCCTGTTTGCAGATGACATGATCCTATATCTAGAAAACCCATTGTCTTGGCCCAGAAACTTCTTAAGCTGATAAGCAACCTCAGCAAAGTCTCAGGATACAAAATCAATGTGCAAAAATTGCTAGCATTCCTATATACCAACAACAGGCAGGCAGAGAGCTAAATCCTGAACTCACATTCACAACTGCTACAAAAAGAATAAAATACCTAGGAATACAGCTAACAAAGAAAGTGAGAGGGACCTTCTCAAGGATAACTACAAACACTGCTCCAGAAATCAGAGGTGACACAAAAAAATGGAGAAACATTCCATGCTTGTGGATAGGAAGAATCATATCGTGAAAATGGACATACTGCCCCAAATAATGTATAGATTCAATGCTATTCCCATCAAACTTCCATTGACATTCTTCACAGAATTAGAAAAAGCTATTTTAAAATTTATATGGAACAAAAGAAGAGCCCAAATAAGCAAAAAGAACAAAGCTGGAGGCATCACACCACCTAACTTCAAACTATATTACAAGGCTACAGTAACTAAAACAGCATGGTACTGGTAAAAGAACAGACACATAGGCCAATGGAACAGAATAGAGAACTCAGAAATAAGACTTGCACACCTACAACCATCTGATCTTTGACAAACCTGACAAAAACAAGCAATGCGGAAAGGGCCCCCTATTTAATAAATGATGCTGGAAGAGCTGGCTAGCTATACGCAGAAAATTGAAACTAGAACCCCTTCCATACACCATATACAAAAATTAATTCAAGATAGATTAAAGACTTAAATGTAAAACCCAAAACTATAAAAACTCTAGAAGAAAATCCAAGCAATAGCATTCAGGACATAGGCACAGGCAAATATTTCATGACAACAAAAAGCCAAAAGCAATTGCAACAAAAGCAAAACTTGACAAATAGGATCTCATCAAACTAAAGAACTTTTGCACAGCAAAAGAAACTATTGTGTCCAGAATTGGTGGGTTCTTGGTCTCACTGACTTCAAGAATGAAGCCGTGGACCCTCGCAGTGAGTGTTATAGTTCTTAAAGGCGGCGTGTCCAGAGTTTGTTCCTTCTGACGTTCGGATGTGTTTGGAGTTTCTTCCTTCTGGTGGGTTCGTGGTCTCGCTGGCTCAGGAGTGAAGCTGCAGACCTTCACGGTGAGTGTTACAGCTCTTAAGGCGGCACGTCTGGAGTTGTTCATTCCTCCCAGTGGGCTCATGGTCTCGCTGACTTCAGGAGTGAAGCTGCAGACCTTCGCGGTGAGTGTTACAGCTCATAAAGGCAGTGTGGACCCAAAGAGTGAGCAGTAGCAAGATTTATTGCAAACAGCGAAAGAACAAAGCTTCCACAGTGTGGAAGGGGACCCAAGCGGGTTGCCATTGCTGGCTCCGGCAGCCTGCTTTTATTCTTTTATCTGGCCCCACCTACATCCTGCTGATTGGTCCATTTTACAGAGAGCCGAGTAGTCTGTTCTGACAGGTTGCTGACTGGTGCGTTTACAATCCCTGAGCTAGACACAAAGGTTCTCCAGGTCCCCACTAGATTAGCTAGATAAAGAGTGTCCACACAAAGGTTCTCCAAGTCCCCACCAGAGTAGTTAGATATAGAGTGTCGATGGGTGCATTCACAAACCCTGAGTTAGACACAGGGTGCTGATTGGTGTGTTTACAAACCTTGAGCTAGATACAGAGTGCCGATTGGTGTGTTTACAATCCCTGAGCTAGACATAAAGGTTCTCCAAGGCTCCACCAGAGTAGCTAGATACAGAGTGTCAATTGGTGCATTCACAAACACTGAGCTAGACACAGGGGGCTGATTGGTGTGTTTACAAACCTTGAGCTAGATACAGAGTGCTGATTGGTGTATTTACAATCCCTTAGCTAGACATAAAGGTTCTCCACATCCCCACCAGACTCAGGAGCCCAGCTGGCTTCACCCAGCAGATCCCGCACCAGGGCTGCAGGTGGAGCTGCCTGCCAGTCCCACACCGTGCGCCCGCACTCCTCAGCCCTTGGGTGGTCGATGGGACTGGGCACTGTGGAGCAGGGGGTGGCACTTGTCAGGGAGGCTCGGGCCGCACAGGAGCCCACAGAGGGCGGGGAGGCTCAGGCATGGCGGGCTGAAGGTCCCGAGCCCTGCCCCGCGGGAAGGCAGCTAAGGCCGGGTGAGAAATTGAGCACAGCAGCTGCTGGCCCAGGTGCTAAGCCCCTCACTGCCCAGGGCCGGTGGGGCTGGCTGGCTGGCCGCTCCAAGTGCAGAGTCCACGGAGCCCACGCCCACCCGGAACTCACGCTGGCCCACAAGCACCGTGTGCAGGCCCGGTTCCCACCCGCGCCTCTCCCTCCACACCTCCTCGCAAGCTGAGGGAGCTGGCTCCGGCCTTGGCCAGCCCAGAAAGGGGCTCCCACAGGGCAGCGGCAGGCTGAAGGGCTCCTCAAGTGCCGCCAAAGTGGGAGCCCAGGCAGAGGAGGCGCCAAGAGTGAGCGAGGGCTGTGAGGACTGCCAGCATGCTGTCACCTCTCACTATCATCAGAATGAACAGACAACCTACAGAATGGGGGAAAATGTTTACAATCTATCCATCTGATGAATGTCTAATATCCAGAGTCTAAAAATAAGCAAATTTATAAGAAAAAAAAACCCCATTAAAAAGTGAGCAAAAGGACATGAAGTGACACTTCTCAAAAGACACACATTCAGCACAGTGAAGTACCATCTCATGCCAGTCAGAACGGTGATTATTAAAAAGTCAAAAAAACAGATGTTGGCAAAATTGCAGAGAAAAAGGAACACTTGGGGCGGTTCCAAGATGGCCAAATACGAACAACTCCAGTCTACAGCTCCCAGAGTGAGTGACGCAGAAGATGAATGATTTCTGCATTTCCAACTGAGGTACTGGGTTCATCTCACTAGGGACTATCAGACAGTGGGTGCAGGAAAGTGGGTGCAGCACACCGAGCATGAGCTGAAGCAGGGCGAGGCATTGCCTCACCCGGGAAGCACAAGGGACAAGGGAATTCCCTTTCCTAGCCAAGGAAAGGGATGACAGACAGCACCTGGAAAATCGGGTCACCCCCACCCTAATACTGCGCTTTTCCCACAGTCTTAGCAAACGGCACACCAGGAGATTACATCGCGCACATGGCTCAGAGGGTCCTACGCCCAGAGAGCCTCGCTAATTGCTAGCACAGCAGTCTGAGATCAAACTGCAAGGCAGCAGCGAGGCTGTTTGTTAGCCATTGCCGAGGCTTGAGTAGGTAAACAAAGCAGCCTGGAAGCTCAAACTGGGTGGAGCCCACCGCAGCTCAAGGAGGCCTGCCTGCCTCTTTAGAGTCCACCTCTGGGGACAGGGCATAGCCAAACAAAAGGCAGCAGAAACCTCTGCAGACTTAAATGTCCCTGTCTGACAGCTTGGAAGACAGTAGTGGTTCTCCCAGCATGCAGCTTGACATCTGAGAACGGACAGACTGCCTCCTCAAGTGGGTCCCTGACCCCCAAGTAGCCTAACTGGGAGGCACCCCCCAGTAGGGGCAGACTGACACCTCATACAGCCGGGTACTCCTCTGAGACAAAACTTCCAGAGGAATGATCAGGCAGCAACATTTGCTGTTCACCAATATTCGCTGTTCTGCAGCCTCTGCTGCTGATACCCAGGCAAACAGCGTCTGGAGTGGACCTCCGGCAAACTCCAACAGACCTGCAGCTGAGGGTCCTGACTGTTAGAAGGAAAACTAACAAACAGAAAGGACATCCACACCAAAACCCCATCTGTACATCACCATCATCAAAGACCAAAGGTAGATAAAACCACAGAGATGGGGAAAAAACAGAGCAGAAAAACTGAAAATTCTAAAAATCAGAGCGCCTCTCCTCCTTCAAAGGATTGCAGCTCCTCACCAGCAACAGAACAAAGCTGGACGGAGAATGACTTTCATGAGTTGAGAGAAGAAGGCTTCAGATGATCAAACTTCTCCGAGCTAAAGGAGGAAGTTCGAACCCGTGGAAAACAAGTTAAAAACCTTGAAAAAAGATTAGACGAATGGCTAACTAGAATAACCAATGCAGAGAAGTCCTTAAAGGACCTGATGGAGCTGAAAACCATGGCACAAGAACTACGTGACGAATGCACAAGCTTCAGTAGCTGATTCGATCAACTGGAAGAAAGGGTATCAGTGATGGAAGATCAAATGAATGAAATAAAGCAAACAGAGAAGTTTAGAGAAAAAAGAATAAAAAGAAACAAACAAAGCCTCCAAGAAATATGGGACTATGTGAAAAGATCAAATCTACATCTGATTGGTGTACCTGAAAGTGATGGGGAGAATTGAACCAAGTTGGAAAACACTCTGCAAGATATTATCCAGGAGAACTTCCCCAATCTAGCAAGGCAGGCCAACATTCAAATTCAGGAAATACAGAAAACGCCACAAAGATACTCCTCGAGAAGAGCAACTCCAAGACACATAATTGTCAGATTCACGAAAGTTGAAATGAAGGAAAAAATGTTAAGGGCAGCCAGAGAGAAAGCTCGGGTTACCCACAAAGGGAAGCCCATCAGACTAACAGCTGACCTCTCAGCAGAAACTCTACAAGCCAGAAGAGAATGGCGGCCAATATTCAACTTCTTAAAGAAAAGAATTTTCAACCCCGAATTTCATATCCAGCCAAACTAAGCTTCATAAGTGAAGGAGAAATAAAATCCTTTACAGACAAGCAGATGCTGAGAGATTTTGTCACCACCAGGCCTGCCCTAAAAGAGCTCCTGAAGGAAGCACTAAACATGGAAAGGAACAACTGGTACCAGCCACTGCAAAAACATGCCAGATTGTGAAGACCATCGAGGCTAGGAAGAAACTGCATCAACTAATGAGCAAAATAACCAGCTAACATCATAATGACAGGATCAAATTCACACATGACAATATTAACCTTAAATGTAAATGGGCTAAATGCTCCAATTAAAAGACACAGATTGGAAAATTGGATAAAGAGTCAAGGCCCATCAGTGTGTTGTATTCAGGAAACCCATCTCATGTACAGAGACACACATAGGCTCAAAATAAAGGGATGGAGGAAGATCTACCAAGCAAATGGAAAACAAAAAAAGGCAGGGGTTGCAATCCTAGTCTCTGATAAAACAGACTTTAAACCAACAAAGATCAAAAGAGACAAAGAAGGCCATTACATAATGGTAAAGGGATCAATTCAACAAGAAGAGGTAACTATCCTAAATATATATGCACCCAATACAGGAGCACCCAGATTCATAAAGCAAGTCCTTAGAGACCTAGAAAGAGACTTAGACTCCCACATAATAATAATGGGAGACTTTAACACCCCACTGTCAACATTAGACAGATCAACGGGACAGAAAGTTAATGAGGATATCCAGGAATTGAACTCAGCTCTGCACCAAGTGGACCTAATAGACATCTACAGAACTCTCCAACCCAAATCAACAGAATATACATTATTCTCAGCACCACACCACACCTATTCCAAAATTGACCACATAGTTGGAAGTAAAGCACTCCTCAGCAAATGTAAAAGAACAGAAATTATAACAAACTGTCTCTCAGACCAAAGTGCAATCAAACTAGAACTGAGGATTAAGAAACTCACTCAAAACCACTAAACCACATGGAAACTGAACAACCTGCTCCGGAATGACTACTGGATACATAACGAAATGAAGGCAGAAATAAAGATGTTCTTTGAAACCAACGAGAACAAAGCCACAACATACCAGAATCTCTGGGACACATTTAAAGCTGTGTGTAGAGGGAAATTTATAGCACTAAATGCCCACAAGAGAAAGCAGGAAAGAAATAAAATTGACACCCTAATATCACAATTAAAAGAACTGGAGAACCAAGAGCAAACACATTCAAAAGCTAGCAGAAGGCAAGAAATAACTAAGATCAGAGCAGAACTGAAGGAGATAGAGACAAAAAAACCCTTCAAAAAATTAATGAATCCAGGAGCTGGTTTTTTGAAAAGATCAACAAAATTGATAAACCGCTAGCAAGACTAATAAAGAAGAAAAGAGAGAAGAATCAAATAGATGCAATAAAAAATGATAAAGGGGATATCACCACCGATCCCACAGAAATACCAACTACCATCAGAGAATACTATAAACACCTCTATGCAAATAAACTAGAAAATCTAGAAGAAATGGATAAATTCCTCGACAAATACACCCTCCCAAGACTAAACCAGGAAGAAGCTGAATCTCTGAATAGACCAATAACAGGCTCTGAAATTGAGGCAATAATTAATAGCTTACCAACCAAAAAAAGTCCAGGACCAGATGGATTCACAGCCAAATTCTACCAGAGGTACAAGGAGGAGCTGGTACCATTCCTTCTGAAACTATTCCAATCAATAGAAAAAGAGGGAATCCTCCCTAACTCATTTTATGATGCCAGCATCATCCTGATACCAAAGCCTGGCAGAGACACAACAAAAAAAGAGAATTTTAGACCAGTATCCCTGATGAACCTCGATGCAAAAATCCTCAATAAAATACTGGCAAACCAAATCCAGCAGCACATCAAAAAGCCTATCCACCATGATCAAGTGGGCTTCATCCCTGGGATGCAAGGCTGGTTCAACATACGCAAGTCAATAAACGTAATCCAGCATATAAACAGAACCAACGACAAAAACCACATGATTATCTCAATAGATGCAGAAAAGGCCTTTGACAAAATTTAACAACCCTTTATGCTAAAAACTCTCAAGAAATTAGGTATTGATGGGACGTATCTCAAAATAATAACAGCTATCTAAGACAAACCCACAGCCAATATCATACTGAATGGGCAAAAACTGGAAGCATTCCCTTTGAAAACTGGCACAAGACAGGGATGCCCTCTCTCACCACTCCTATTCAACATAGTGTTGGAAGTTCTGGCCAGGGCAATCAGGCAGGAGAAGGAAATAAAGGGTATTCAATTAGGAAAAGAGGAAGTCAAATTGTCCCTGTTTGCAGATGACATGATTGTATATCTAGAAAACCCCATCGTCTCAGCCTATAATCTCCTTAAGCTGATAGGCAACTTCAGCAAAGTCTCAGGATACAAAGTCAATGTGCAAAAATCACAAGCATTCTTATATACCAATAACAGACAGAGAGCCAAATCATGACTGAACTCCCATTCACAATTGCTACAAAGAGAATAAAATACCTAGAAATCCAACTTACAAGGGATGTGAAGGTCCTCTTCAAGGAGAACTACAAACCACTGCTCAATGAAATAAAAGAGGATACAAACAAATGGAAGAACATTCCATGCTCATGGGTAGGAAGTATCAATATCGTGAAAATGACCATACTGCCCAAGGTAATTTATAGATTCAATGCCATCCCCATCAAGCTACCAATGACTTTCTTTACAGAATTGGAAAAAACTACTTTAAGTTCATATGGAACCAAAAAAGAGCCCACATTACCAAGTCAATCCTAAGCCAAAAGAACAAAGCTGGAGGCATCACGCTACCTAACTTCAAACTGTACTACAAGGCTACAGTAACCAAAACAGCATGGTACTGGTACCAAAACAGAGATATAGACCTATGGAATAGAACAGAGCCCTCAGAAATAATGCCATATATCTGCAACTATCTGATCTTTGACAAACCTGACAAAAACAAGAAATGGGGAAATGATTCCCTATTTAATAAATGGTGCTGGGAAAACCGGCTAGCCATATGTAGAAAGTTGAAACTGGATGCCTTCCTTACACCTTATACAAAAATTAATTCAAGATGGATTAAAGACTTAAATGTTGGACCTAAAACCATAAAAACCCTAGAAGAAAACCTAGGCATTACCATTCAGGACATAGGCATGGGCAAGGACGTCATGTCTAAAACACCAAAAGCAATGGCAACAAAAGCCAAAATTGACAAATGGGATCTAATTAAACTAAAGAGCTTCTGCACAGCAAAAGAAACTACCATCAGAGTGAACAGGCAACCTACAGAATGGGAGAAAATTGTTGCAATCTACTCATCTGACAAAGGGCTAATATACAGAATCTACAATGAACTCAAACAAATTTACAAGAAAAAAACAAACGACGCCATCAAAAAGTGGGCAAAGGATATGAACAGACACTTCTCAAAAGAAGACATTTATGCAGCCAAAAAACACATGAAAAAATGCTCATCATCACTGGCCATCAGGGAAATGCAAATCAAAACCACAATGAGATACCATCTCACACCAGTTAGAATGGCGATCATTAAAAAGTCAGGAAACAACAAGTGCTGGAGAGGATGTGGAGAAATAGGAAACTTTTACACTGTTGGTGGGACTGTAAACTAGTTCAACCATTGTGGAAGTCAGTGTGGCGATTCCTCAGGAATCTAGAACTAGAAATACCATTTGACCCAACTGTCCCATTACTGGGTATATACCCAAAGGATTATAAATCATGCTGCTATAAAGACCCATGCACACATATGTTTATTGTGGCACTATTCACAATAGCAAAGACTTGGAACCAACCCAAATGTCCAACAATGATAGACTGGATTAAGAAAATGTGGCACATATACACCATGGAATACTATGCAGCCATAAAAAATGATGAGTTCATGTCCTTTGAAGGGACATGGATGAAGCTGGAAACCATCATACTGAGCAAATTATCACAAGGACAGAAAACCAAACACTGCATGTTCTCATAGAATACTGTGCAGCCATAAAAAGGAACAAAATCATGTCCTTTGGAGGGACATGGTTACAGTTGGAAGTCATTATCCTCAGCAAACTAATGCAGGAACAGAAAACCAAACTCCGCATGTTCTCACTTATAAGTGGGAGCTGAATGATGAGAACACATGGACACAAGGAGGGTAACAACATACACTGGGGCCTGTAGGAAGGAGGTATTAGAGGAGGGAGAGCATCAGGAAGAATAATTAATGGATGCAGGGCTTAATACCTAGGTGATGGGATGATCTGTCCAGTAAACCAGTATGGCACACGTTTACCTATGTAACAAACCTGCACAATGCCATACATGTATCCCTGAACTTAAAGAAAAAAATAAAAAACAGTAATAAATAAAAAACGTTTTAAAGGGAACAAAAGTCCTTTGTCAAAAGGGTAGCAAAAGAGAAGGGGAAACATCAAACTGGGGCTGACCCTACTAGCAACCTCCCCAAAAGCCCCTTTCCCACCCTTCCTCTTTGCTGGCAGTCAGCTTCCCACTGGCACCTATGTTCTCAGCCTCCACTGCAGGCAGGGTGAGCAGGGGGCCCACGGCTGCCAGTGTAACATAAAACACGTATATTGGGATTGCCTCCCATTTTATCCTCCCTTACCAGGCATGAAAAGAATCTCTCCTACATCTGCTCTTAGATACTGAGGGTATGGACTTTGTAACCATGAGGAGAGACATCACCAACAAGCAAAGGATGGCAGAGTGGAATGACATCAAAGGCTGGTCTTTGAGGATATCACAAGCCATGAATCCACCCTGAGAGAACCTAGCTGCAGGCTTTTGTCAAATGAGACTGACAGTAAAGCCGCTTATTTTGGCAGGTGTCATGTTACTTGACCAAAAAAATCTCTACTGAAACTTAGACTCAGAAATTTCGCTTAAAGCCCAGAGTGGAAAACTATTTTAATATAATGTACCAAGAAAATAAATTACTTATTACAATTACCTCCTTTATAACTATGTAATTATTAAAATCCTCAAACAGTTGATATTTTAAGACTCCTGGTTCAGGATAAAAACTAAGCACACATTCATCTTCACTGGCTCCTGAAACCCCACAAAAAATGATTAAAACGTTTGAAAAGGTAACAAACTCTGAACACTGCAAAGAAGGAAAGAAGGACAACTAGCCAGCAAGAGATTTCAACAAATTTCTGCTCCATGGAAAAAGGCTGGAAGCATGTTCTCCTATAAAGGGTGGAAGACGCAACACAAGCATAAGAGGGAGATAATCTGCCAGGCCGAAAACTCTAGGACTTGAGTCAGCAGACATAAAGGACCAAAGGTTAACTAAACTAAATCATAGAGGGACACATTATGAAATTCTGCTGATGAAAAGACATGCACAGTGGCTGGGGTTTACTTTATAAATTATCTAATATTATTGTGTTATATTGTGTAAATTAAATCATATGCATACATCTAAGCTTTGAGGAGGGAAATCAATGTTAAAGCAATCTAAGGTCTTTATATTAGTCAAGGGAAGATTAATGATACTGATTACGTTTAGATTTAGTTGGGGTTCTTTCTTTTAAAAGTCTATTTACAGAAAACCTGAGCCAGTTAGCTCCCTTTTCCCCTCTCTGCTCTCCCTCCTTACCAGGGGATTCTTCCCTAAAAACAAAAAAACAAACAAAAACAATTAACAAACGACCTGAAGAGAATCATGACTGCTAAAGAAGTTTCCCATACACCAGGGTTAGAGCCGGCCCTATTCTGGCACTGGGGGATCCTCAGACTAAAAGCTACTTCCGAGCCTCTGATAAGCCCTATCAACATACAAAATTTCATTCTTATTCAGGGGATGGTACTAGCAGGAAGGACCCCTCTCTATCTAACAGTAGAAAAGCCCATGAGAGCTCTCTGGAATAATCAACCTAGTCCCTCATTGTTCAATAAAAATAGATAAGCCAGACCTAATAAAGAAAACCGGCAACGTGAAGATAAAATTTAAGAATAACCAAATATAAATTAATTAATTAACTAATTAAAAGGAATCTGAGCCCAGAGAAAGCAAAGACAATTCAGAGAACAGAAGAGAACTTAAGGAGAAAAAAAAAGCCTCCTAGTCATGGAAGTAGTAAGAAGGCAATCAATATGAAAACAGGAACATGATGCTATGAAAAAAGAACAATTCGAGAACAAGAGAAAACACTTGTAAATTAACAACATGACTGATGATGGCCAGGCACGGTGGCTCACGTAATCCCAGCACTTTGGGAGGCCATGATGGGTGGATCACCTGAAGTCGGGAGTTTGAGAGCAGCCTGGCCAACATGGTGAAACTCCGTCTCTACTAAAAATACAAAAAATTAGCCGAGTGTGATGGCGTGAGCCTGTAATCCCAGCTACTCAGAAGGCTAAGGCAGGAGAATCGCTTGAACCCAGGAGGCAGAGGTTGCAGTGAGCCAAGATCATGACAGAGTGAGACTCCATCTTAAAAAAAAAAAAACCAATATGACTGCTGAAATAAAACAATATGGCTGTTGAAATAGGTAATAAAGAAAAGTGTTAAAGTCAAGAGAATTGCTAGCATGGTAGCTCGTGGCGGGGGAGGGGGGCATCCCTTGAGCCTGGGAGGCAGAAGGTGCAGTGAGCCATGATTGTGCCACTTCATTACAGCCTGAACGACAGAGTGAGACCCCCCACATCCCCCCAAAAAAACATCTCCCATACAAACAAAGAAACAGAAACTATTAACAGGAAGTTATGGGATATAGAGGATCAGTCCAGGATATCCAATACCTGACTCAAAGGTGTTTCAGGAAGAAACAGACAAATGGAATTAACGAAATAATCTTTTTGTAAAATAAAATCTCCCAGAGCTCATGAGACATGAGTTTTCAAACTGAAAAGACTCAGAGCACTGAGCAGATAAAAATGATACCTAAATGACATTTTCAGATATGCAAATGTCAAAGTGAGTTTTTAAATGACAGTAACAATCTTCTTTTCATGCACAGAGAAGACTATGGTTACTTGGGCTTAAAAATAATTATTAGGGGCCGGGCGCGGTGGCTCACGCCTATAATCCCAGCACTTTGGGAGGCCAAAGCAGGGGGCATGAGGTCAGGAGATTGAGACCATCCTGGCTAGCACGGTGAAACCCCATCTCTACTAAAAATACAAAAAATTAGCCAGGCATGGTGGCGGGCACCTGTAATCCCAGCTACTCGGGAGGCTGAGGCAGGAGAATCGCTTGAACCTGGGAGGTGGAGCTTGCAGTGAGCCGAGATCATGCCACTGCACTCCAGCCTGGGCGACAGAGAGAGACTCTATCTCAAAAAAAATAAAACATAACAATTATTAGGCTGGGCACAGTGGCTCACACCTATAATCCCAGCACTTTGGGAGGCCAAGGCTGGGGGATCCCTTGAGGTCAGGAGTTCGAAACCAGCCTGGCCAACGTGATGAAACCCATCTCTACTCAAAATACAAAATCCAGCCAGGTGTGGTGGGGCACGACTGTAATCCCAACTACTCAAGAGCCTGAGGCAGAAGAATCGCTTGAACCTGGGAGGTGCAGGTTGCAATGAGCCGAGATTGCGCCACTGCACTCCAGCCTGGGTGACAGAGTGAGATTTAGTCTCAAAAAATAAAATAATAATAATTATGATTTTTAGTTTACTAACATAAAATTTAAAAACGTAGTTTTCCCTTGGCCTTCAAATTCAGTCTATAAATCTTACTCTGTTTTTAAATCTAGTAAAGCAAGAACAATAACCTTTGCTTTTCTTTCATTACTGTTAATTCAGCTTGAACTAAATCCCTTAATCAATCCTACTATTATAAATTAAATTCATTTGACATTTCAAAATTCATTTGTTTTGCCTTTAAGCACTCTGAATGCCTGACTTAAGTAAAACTTCTCCAAACAATTACAATTCACTTAAATTAATAGAATGAATCTCATGTTCTTTGGAATGTAATAAAATCCTTAAATATCTCAAAAACAAAGATTATCTTAATGATGTCCTAAACTTAATACAAATGTTATGAATTAATAGTCTAAATTTGATGTAGTTCATCACGTCTATTTAAACTCTCCCAAGGATTTTTTTTTAAGTAAAAACAAATACAAAACAAAAAACACCCACCTAGAAAACAGTGTTGTCTTCTCATGGGAGTTAAAGTTGACATCCCAATGAAGTACTAATTGCTTATAGACAGAGGTTTCTGACCAGGTCACAGGATCTGGGCTACATAGGCTAAGGATTTAGGGTAATCCTGCCCATGTCACCTATGTTTACATTAAGCAGTTTTTATAGTTGCTGTCACAACAGCAAGTCCGCAACCATCAGGTTTAGGTTGGTTTCTTCTACATTCAACTTACAACACTATGTGATTCTTCCATTTGATTCCAAAGGACCAATCTCTATGCCTTAAATACTATGCATTGAAATGTAAGTGCGGTTCCTGTAAAGCTTATATAATTTAGCATACTTTACCTTTGATAAATATGTTGTCTTTTATTGGGTTCTAGAGCTTCTTTCAGTTGGCTCTCAGAAAGCAAACTATCAACCTATGGAGACCATTTAAAATATCACATTATTAAATACCATATCGCCTTAGGAAAGAAAACTTCTTTTTTTATCCAATATTTTATAATGAACACTTTTAAACATACAACAAAGTTTTAAAAATTTTACAGTGAAAACCCATATACCCGCTACCTAGAAAAAACATTAACATTATACTATACTTATTTGATCTATCCGTCAACCCACCTTATGCCTTTCAAAGTAAGTTGCAGTTATCAATACATTTCTCCCTAAATAATGGACTATGGATGTCACTAACTAAAGTTCAATAGTTGATGTAAAATATGTATATAGTGAAATGCACAAATACGAGGCATACATTTGCTGAGTTTCGACAAATGCATACATCTGTGTAACCAAAATTCTTATCAAGATGTAGAAAACTACCATCACCCTAGTAAGTTCCCTCATGCCCTTGCCAGTAAATCCCCTCCTTATTCCTCCACAGACAAACCTGTTTTGATATTTTTCCAACATAAATTAGTTTTGCCTGTTCTTGAAATTTTATATAAATGGACTCATACAGTAAGCACTCTTGTGTAACCTTTCCACAAAGCATGTTTTTGAGATACTTCCATATTGTTGTGTGTACCATTAGTTCATTCCTTCTCATTACTGAGTGGTATCCATTGTATTGAATGTATCATGACTTTGTTTCTCTTGACTTAGTAGTTTGTTTACTAACACTATATGTAACTTTGTCAATATACTCTCCAAAAAGGCACATACTTCTTTGGTCTGTTTTCTATAGATTACGTAGAGAAGATAAAGTGGATGAAAAAAGAGAAAATTCCATTAGTTTCTTCTCTACTCTTGCAATTTGGCATCCATCTGAGTGTTATTTACAAAATTCACACACCTAGTGATAGAGCCAGTCATCACAGGCCTGACTCAGAGGGGCTGTTGATTACTTGTCCTACAGACACCGAATAGAAAATCTGTTCCATATTCAGCTTCAGGTGTCCTCTGTGAAGACAGGGAAGAATTAGCTAATACTATCAAAACAAACTTTCCAGATAGTCAAGGTATCAAAAGGCTCCAGAGCCAATATTTCTCCAGGGAGAATAATCTTTCTAATAGTTTGTTTTAATAATCATTTTTATAGTTTCCTTCTAAAACTTTTCCTGGTTCTCCTAATGTCCCACTAAATTTAAAATTAACTCATCATGACTAATCATCAGAGAAATGCAAATTAAAACTACAATGAGGTACCATCTCACACTGGTCAAAATGGCTATTATTAAAAAATCAAGAAATGACAGATTCTGGTGAGGCTGACAAGAAAAGAGTACACATATACACTGTTGGTGGGCATGAAAATTAGTTCAGCCACTGTGGAAAGCAGTTTGGAGATTTCCCAAACAACGTAAAACAGAACTATCATTTGACCCAGAAATCCCATTTCCGTGTATATACCCCCAAAAAAGAAATGATTCTACCAAAATGTCACATGCATGTGTATGTTCCCTACAGCACTATTCACAATAGCAAAGACATGGAATCAACATAGATGCCCACCAATGGTGGACTGGATAAAGAAAATGTGGTACATATACACCATGAAAAAATATGCAACCATAAAAAAGAATGAAATCATGTCCTTTGCAGCAACATGGATGGAGCTGGAGGCCATTGTCCTAAGTGAATTAGCATAGGAACAGAAAACCAAATACCATATGTTCTCACTCGTTGAGTACACATGGACATAAAGATGGGAGCAATGGACACTGGTGACTGCTGGAGTGGGGTGGGGGAGGGAAGAGGAATGAAGACTGAAAGACTGCCTATTGGGTACTGTGCTCACTGCTTGTGTGATAGGCTCATCTGTACCCCAAACCTCAGCATAACACAGTGTTCCCATGTGACAGACCTGCACATGTACCCCCTGAATCTAAAATAAAAGTTGAAATTTTAAAATAAGACACAGAACCATATTAAGATCCACCGAAGTTCAGCATAAGTCAATGCCCCATCAAGTTTTATTTTTTATTTCTACCAGAAGAGTATTTAGCTTTTGTTGCACCACTGTGATTCCAATACACAGTCACCTAAATATTTACCTTCCAAATCCTTTTTACTTTAAACAAGAGAACAAAAATGGATAAAATATGAGCATCAGTGAATCTCTTACCGGCCTCAGATTATAAAATAATTTTACTCAGTGGAAAAATACTTGGTAATAGATCACATGAAAAAAATTAAAGTGAAATTAAAATGTCAGAAAATAAACCCACTGGTTGCTATTTACTTTTTTCTTATTTTTAATAAGAACTCAGTGTATTTTTAAAAAGTTTTTTTTTTTTTGAGACCAAGTCTTGTTATGTTGCCCAGGCTAGTCTCGAACTCCTGGGCTCAGGTGATCCTCCTGTCTCAGCCTCCCAAGTAGCTGGTACTACTAGCATGAGCCACCACACCTGGCCTAAAAATTTTTATAAATATGAAAAAGAATAAAGAAAATCATAATAATCATCAGCATCCTGTCACACAGAAATACCATATTAGCCTGTTCCCTTCTATGCTGTTCTGTGTATATTATATAAGTAACAATGTGATGAATACTTTTATACATCAATCTCTGTCCTACTTTCTAATTATTACACATAGCAGATCCCTGGAAATGTAATTTTTGAGCCTAGGTGCATACACATATGTTACACCTTGTCAAGCTGCTTTCCTGAAATGCTGTACAAGCACCTTATACACGGGAGCAGTGAATGTGCCTGCTTCATCACACCTTCCTCAAGACAGAGTGTTGTGATTTTTAACATTTTTGTGATACCTTATGTGCTTTGCAATTACTTGAGTATCTTTGAAGTTAACATTCCTCGTATGTTTATGAGTTACTTGTATTTCCTCTCTCGTTCACCTCCTTTGCTCATTTATCAGATCTTAATGTTCTTGCATATTAAGACTATTTCTTGACACCTATTTCGCTTGAGTTCACGGAGGCAATAATAATCTCCACTTGAGGAAGGCTGAAAGGAAATGGGCTTGGAAAGTGGAGGAGAGGAGCTAGGCTCAGAGTTGGGTTGGAAATGGTTACACCACTAAGTTTAGATTGGGAGATAAGGTGGGTTAGTGAGTTGTTAGGGTAGGAGGTTGAGACGTTAGGTGGGAGTGAGGGTCGGAGGAGGGGGCGCTTAGTTGATGGTCACGAATTTTGGGAGGTTTCGCCTTTGGCTGGGGGTTGAGTTGGGATCAGGAGGGGTTTGAATCGGGGTTGGGTGCTGGAATGTTATGGGGTAAGGGGGCGTTACAACCTGGGAAGGTAAGTAGGTTGGGGGCAAGCTCCCAGGATTAGGTGGGGTCACGGTGGGAAGGCGCAGTGCGCGCAGCTGCGTCCGCCTGTCGCCCGCCCCAGGGCCCTCTGCACAGCCTGACCATACCTGTTGCTTCAGCTCCTGATTGCGGCGCCGCAGGGCCTGGAGAGGATCTCGCTGTCGTCTCGCCAGCATCTCCCTGGCTGCGGTGCTCTGATTGCTCCAGTTGCCAGGGAAACCAACCGGCGGCGCCAGAAGGTGACGCCATCGATGTGCGCCCGCCTCCCAGCCCCGCCCCGCCCGGGCCGGTCCCGGGAAGGGTCAAATGTTCTCTTGCGGTGGTCATCCCACGCCACCAGGCAGGTCACAGCCGGGGGAGTCACTTTTCCTCGGCAATTCCTAAGGATAGGGGAACGTCCCCCGGCGTCTGAAACTACATTCCCCACAATACATCAATAATAACACCACCTTCTTGCTGGGATACCTGTTTTATGGCATTTGCTTTCTGATACCAATTTTGTAAGCTAATGTTAAGATACAATTTTAGTATCTTAAACTCTTTCATTAACTCCAAGGATAGCTTTCCTATGGAATATATGGTTCTGTTCCATACTGTCACTTCAAAAGGCAGTTTTTAATTCTTTGCCATTTAGGCTACTGAAGTTTCATTTCATTCTAATATTGCACGTTGTCAATTCTGAATTCTGTAAGGATGGTAATTGTTCTACAGCAAATCTATGAGCAAATTATTAGTTCTCATTATGATTCCCAGTTTACATCAACTCTCAGGAAGGTTGTCATGTTTCCCCCATATGGGACTGCATCCCATGAATCCAATTCCAAAACTCCACTACACCAAAATTGAACTTGAATAAGAATGATGATGCTTGGGGCTCACCTTCCAAATGATGGACCCCATTAATACAAATGAATGTTCTTCAGAACAGCCACAGGCCAGGATGAACCATTATTTATGTACTTTTTTCTTCAAGTATAATACATACAGAGAAAAGTCTACAGACTTTGTGTGCAGCTCTGAAAACCCTCCACCCCATAACAGCACCCAGATTATGAAACAGAACATTATCTGCCCACTCACACTCTTCCTGTCTTTCTAGTCCTTGCCTACCCCCAACCTCTCAACCCTCTCACTTCTCTACCACACACCAAAGGTGAACAATATCCTAACTTATAAGAGCACAAACTTGTGTTGCCTTTTTTTGTACTATACAATGAAATTATGCACTGTGTGGTGGCTTCTCCTGTCCTTTAAATATCACATTTGTGAGATGCATCTATACTGTGTGTGTCTGTAGTCTGTTCATTCTCATTGCTGATATTTCACATATGATATACCCTAACATACTGATTCTACTGTTGCTGGGTAAGTGGGCAGTTTCCAGCTTAGGGCTAGTATAAATAGCGCTGCTAAGAACGTCCTGGTGCAAGTCTTCTGGCAAACACATAACACTGCTGAGTCACAGGCATGTTATACGTCAGCTTTAGTAGATACTACTACCTGGTTTCCCAAAATGGTACTAATTTATACCCTATCAGCAGTGTATGAGTTTTTGTTCTTTATGTCCTTGGCAAGATTTGGTATTGTCTGTTTTGTTGTAATTCATGTCTTATTTTGAATTAATTTCTCTATTATGGCTTATGATAATTAGTTCACTTAAATAGTCAAACATAGGATTTCCATTAAAAATCTTTACAACAAATGAGAAAATGCTATAAAATATTTCTAAGTGGATTATTAAATCAATAATTACAGGTGATGAGATGAGCAAAACGAAAAAAATTGCTCTAAAATACAGCTATTACTTATGAAATTCTCAGTCTACAAATAAATTAGAAAAAATTATTCTGCATCTACTTATTTATAGGGATTTCCACATTTTAAATGGAAAAGTTAATAGCATCATGGATACAGTTTAATTCTGTTGGTAAAAATAAACTAATAACCCCCCCTAAATATGTGTGAATATATGAACAATAAGGAAAGGTGCAAAAAAAGTGTATTACTCATTCACCTCAGGTGTGAAGATGTTTGACTTTATACATTTTTGCATCATATTGTTTCGGTTACAAGTATTCATTACTTGCGATTCCTAGATCAGCATCATCACCACCTGGGACCTTGTTAGAAATGCACATTTTCACATTTTCAGCCCCACCACAGTCCTAGGAGAATCAGAATCTGTATTTTAACAATACCCCAGTGTTTCATGTGCACATTCAAGTTTGAGAAGTACCACTGAGGTATTCAGTGTGCTATAAATGATATGATTACTCAGCTAATGATTTTTCACTAATAACTGTAATATTCAGGACAGTCACATTAATACTAGTCATTGCTCCTCTGTAGTTATACCTTGATGCCATTATAAAAAACAACATAACCTAAAACAAGAGAGATCTGCAGTGAGGTAGCCAAAAGAAACTAAAGCAAACCATGGCCAATGTTTCTCCTGAGAGCAAGCTACTTCATAAAACTCATCATGATTTCTATCAGTGTGTTAAAATGAGTAACAATTTTGAATTGCTTCCTCACAGGTCATACTGAAAAAGAATTTAACAGCTTCCAAGAGACTCATAATGTAGACAGAACCAGTGGAACAAGACGACTTGGAATCAATAAAAAGATTATAGCAAAGAGAATAGAGAAAGTGTGCAGTTTTAGGGCCTTAAAAGAAAATTCAGGCTGGGCACGGTGGCTCACGCCTGTAATCCCAACACTTTGGGGAGCCGAGGTGGGTGGATCACCTGAGGTCAGGAGTTTGAGACCAGCCTGGCCAACATGGCGAAACCCTGTCTCTACTAAAAATACAAAAATTAGCCAAGTGTGTTGGCACATGCCTGTAATCCCAGCTACTCAGGAGGCTGAGGCAGGAGAATCACTTGAACCTGGGAGGTGAAGGTTCCAGTGAGCTGAGATCACACCAGTGCACTCCAGCCTGGGCAACAGAGTGAGACTGTGTCTCAAAAAAAAAAAAAAAAAAAAAAAAAAGAAAGAAAGAAAGAAAGAAAAGAAAAGAAAAGAAAACAATCCACCTCAAATAAAAATGACAAATATATACCTTGGTGCAAGGCACTGTTTAGGCCTGTGGTACAAGATGTTTAATACTGCTCTCAAAGAGCTTCCAAGCTACAGTAATAGACTAGAAACATGAAAATTGTACCAACCACTTACCACAGAAGTGCTACCTGGTGTACAGAATTCCCCGCCAAATGAACAGCTTATGATTAAATACACTGAGCTCTACAGTAAGGTCATGCATTGAATATGTCCACTAGACAGCTGAAAGGGTGAAGCTGGAATTGAAGGAAAGGATCAGAGGGAGGGGGCTCTGCTTGGATGTGCTAGTTAAGCCAAGAGAATGGCTAGGGTAATCACAGGAGAGGACAGGGCAGAGAACCAAGGCAAAAGTTTGAGGAACTTGAGAAAGGCAGCAATAGTAGCAGTTTGGAAACTCAATAAACTTTTGTATTAGAGAAGCAAGGGAAGGAGAATTTCAAGGGACAAAGTGGCCTCATCAAATACCCTCAAGGTAAAATGTGAGGATTCAGAAGAGCCATAGATATTAATGTTTCTGGAAGGTGCAGAGGGCAGATCACAGCAGACCAATGGGCAAAATATTTGGAAAGAAAATATTGGCAAATGATAACATCAACTAAAATAAATTTTAAGTCAAAATCCATGCATTTGTTAGCCAGGCATGGTGGCAGGCACCTGTTATCCCAGCTACTCGGGGAGGCTGAGGCACAAGAATCGCTTGAACCCGGGAGGCACAGGTTGCAGTGAGCCAACATCACACCACTGCACTCCAGCCTGGGGGACAGAGTGAGACTCCGTCTCAAAAAAAAAAAAAAAAAAAAAAAGAAAAGAAAAAATATGCATTTGTAAATAGAAAGCAGGCAGAGACTGCAGACGCAACAGAGATGATGTACTGGAGAACAAGAAAGGTCCTGAGGGAGATGCAGAATTCTGCAGAGGCCAAAGAGGAGACAGCCTTGGAAAGGGCCCGTGTGTCTTCTCTCCTGGTAAAGGAAACCTAATGAGACAGAGCTTCAAAAACAGTAGTTTTCAACCTCAGGTGACCATCACAATCACCTGAAGAACTAAAAATTCTAATACCCAGGCCATATTCCAAATGACATGAATCAAAATGTCTGGACAGTGGCATGCAAGAATTAGTATTTTTAAAGCTCCCTAGATGATTATAATGTGTAGCCCTGTTGAAAACTACTGCTCTAGACAAAACTATTGAGTAGGATGAAGGAATTCCCAGCTAACAGCCTTTATCTTCTCATATGGTTGATCTACTAGGAATGAAAGGCATCAAGAAAACTGGGAGTTTCAGGAACTCAGGTGCTAAGAAATGAGACAGATGCAGTCACAATAGAACGAATTTGTAGTGAGCCAAGTGAGAAAGGTGAAGTCTTTCTTTCAAGTTCAGTGGCTCAAAAGAGCAAAAGCAGTGGTGAAGGTAAATGTACAAGAAGGGATGGAGTCTAATCTGACCAGGGAGCCCAGGATGACTTATGAGGTTAACTGGAAGGGTGAGACAACTAATAGTCTCCAGAGTGGGCAGTTCTATAGGAGATGTAGAGGATGTAAGCTGTCCTAATGAGGTGGCGTTACCCCGAGACTAAACAGACAAGTACAATATAAAAAAGTCCAAGCCTGTTGATGATAAGGTCCGGAGTATGGCTGAAGCAATGTGGAATAGAACAGGTGGTCTGGGAAGCCCATATTGGGGGAGAAAAGGAGGCAGGGTAGGGTAGTAAAAGTGGGCCAAGACATGTAGATGCCATGACTAAATGGCAGTGAAAAATGGAGGTGGGGGAATATAGATTCAAGGAGTCAACAGTGTGTCATTTCCAAGTTATGACTGGCACTGACTCCTGGCTCCCAACTTTCCATTTCCAGTTTTGGCTAACGTAGGAAAAGTACTATCTCCACAGTATTTTGGGGGGGAAAAAACTACCACATTTAAGTAGAGCAAAGGTAGAAAAAGTGACAGAGGTAACGTCAAAGGTAACTGCCCACTACAGAACTGGGGAGTACAGTCACAGTGTAAAAAGGTAGTAAGCAGAAAACTAGAAAATTAGGAGCAGCACAGAGTGGCTAAAAATCCCATAAGGATATGGACAGGACTCGGAAGTAACACATGCCCAGAGGCAGGGATACCTAGAGGAGAGACAGGAGAGGGGCATGACTGTGTCAGGGTGCTGTACATAAGCAATGAGAAAGAAAGAATCAACATTGGAAGGACCAGGTCCACCAGGAACATGGCACAAGAATGGGTCCAAACAGGCAGAACTAGGCCAGTCACAATCCAGATGCTTAACCAGGCACATTCCAACAGTTTGGGGGTAATATGTCCCTCAAGAAACCTACCTTGTCTCAAAGAGTCTCAACTCTTGGAGCCTCAATTAGGGGTGGACACTAGGAAGCTTCAGCAAACTGCGGCCCAGATGGGACTGAGCTCCAGGAACCATTTCAATCCTTGACTACTACATTCGCAGAATGAAAACAAAGTTGGAGGTAATAAGGCATAATAGCCCCACTAAAATGGGGGGACGGTGGCGGGTGCTTCATGTGGAAACAACTTTCCTATGTTAACATGAGGTTGAGACACGGAATTAATCTTTGTAGGAATGAGCAAGGGTGGTGTTCTAGAAACACTCCTTGCAAATCAAAGGAACCAGGCACTCACTCTTGATTTTTAGATATAGGTAGGATTTATCACTAAGCTCTGTTCAGGAGGGTTTCTCCTTCATGTGTATTCCATAATGACACGTAAAAGAGATTTTTGCCAATAAAAACTTATACACTGGCCATGCACAGTGGCTCATGCCTGTAATCCCAGCACTTTCAGAGGCCAAGGCCGGTGGATCACCTGAGGTCAGGAGTTCGAGACCAGCCTGACCAGCATGATGAAACCCCATCTCTACTAAAAATACAAAAATTAGCCAGGCATAGTGGCACATGCCTGTAGTCCCAGCTACTTGGGAGGCTGAGACAGTAGAATTGCCTGAACCGAGGAGGCAGAGGTTGCAGTGAGCCGAGATTGTGCCATTGCACTCCAGCCTGGACAACAAGAGTGAAATTCTGTCTCAAATAAAAAAGAAAAAAGAAAAAACTTATACTCTGTACTTGGAACACACTGTTTCGTTTTGGGTTGAGACAGGGTCTCGCTCTGTCATCCAGGCTGGAGTGCAGTGGTGAGATCACAGCTCACTGCAACCTTAACCTCCTAGGCTCAGGTGATCCTCCTGCCTCAGCCTCTGGTTTACAAATTAGCTGGACTCACAGGTGTGTGCCACCACGGCCAGCTAATTTGTAAGTTATTTGTAGAGACTGGGTCTCCCCATGTTGCCCTGGCTGGTCTCCAACTCCTGGGCTCAAGTGGTCCTCCCACCTCAACCTCCTAAAGTGCTGGGATTATAGGCCTGAGCAGGGCCAAGGAATACACTGTTACTCTTGGAAGTTCAAAGGTCTTACATATAGCACCCTTACCTCAGTTATGTTTACACAGCCCCCTGCTTTCCAAAAAGTTCGGTAAAAGAACCCATAATGGTCCCACGGCCAAGTCTGCTTTGTGCCTGTACCAAAGAAGGGGCACGAGTTACATAACACATCTGCTCAAAAACACTAGTAAGTCAGTTTTGAAAATGCAGATCTCTTGATGCAGTAAGGTGCAAGAAAAACATGATACTTCCCCTTATGAAAAAATAAAAGGGTCAAAGATGTTTAATTTTTTTATTTTAAAAATAAAATTGATTCATAAAGTGCAAGAAGAAGTCATTTCTTTCCGGTAGTCTATATGCATCTTCAACAAGCTGTTAGAAACAGAAAAGAGAAAAAAATTAGAAATACACAATCTGAAACTTCAAGCCGTACTGTGGTATTAAACCATGAACCATAAGATCTGGTTTACGACAAGAAAACTGAGGTCCTGAAAATTGATCATGCACAGCTCTTCTGAAGAGCTAAGACTGGATGCAAGGTTCCTGACTTCCAGGCCACTGCTCTTTCCACTTTACCAGGCTGCCAACAACCTAAGAATTCAGTTTGGAGTTTACAATCGCCAAGGCGAAGATGTGCTAACAAGGATGTTACTGAAAAGAATTGGGGGTGGCAAGATCACCTCCCTGGTTCTTTTTTTCTTTTGTTCTTTCCAGTATTTTCTATACTGATGTTTAATGTTGTCAGGATGAACGACGACATAGCACGTTGGTAAGACATTCTCATTAAACACCCAGTGAACCAAACCAAGATACCGAAGAGCAAGTTATCAGGGAAGACAAAACTTCCACCTTCTGGTGTCTGTGGGAACAAGTCCTGTCTTCTGCGACCTAGCCAGAGTTGATCCTAAGATATCCGCCCGACCCCAAAGTCTCCCTTTGCAATGTCACTATGTGTACTGCTCACCAACACTCCAGGAAGAGCCGGCCATGGCAGGCGGGGACTGTGTGGCAAGCCTGGTTCTGGGCGCCGGCGGACCGGGGCTCCGGCGCGGACATGGCAAGGTGGCCATGAGGGGGACAGAATGGGGCGGAAGGCGCAGAGTCTCAGGCCAGGTCCAGCTTCTTCTGCGTCGCCGCCAGCTTGTCCTGCAGCCTCCTTTTCCTCCAGTCCAAGTAGCGCCTCCGCAGTCGGTTCGCCTGCCAGCCCAGGAGTACTCCAGAAGCGAAGGCTACTAGCACGGACAACTGCAGTGTCCTCTCTGACACATCCGCCATGGCTGCCGCCGGCGTGCAGCGCGGTCTACGGCGCGGCGGCGGGGTCAAAAGGCGCCGCGCGTTCAAGGGTGGGGCGTGAGACAAAAATGAAGCGAAGGCGGCGAGGCGTTGGATCTCTCGAAACTCACTAATAGTCCCATCTGTCTCGCCTTCAACTGAAGACTTTCCCAGGCTTTGGACGACCCCACCTTCCACTTTCCTGAACCCCCACATTTCTTGTTGATGCCTTACATCATTAGCTAACATTGGGGGCGTATCTTGCTCACCCGACTGTAAGCTCTTCACCGCTCTGTATTTTCTCTCAGCAATAGAATGGGAGTGACTGGCGTAACTTTAAATTTTCTGGTAACCTGTTTTTTAAAAAATAAAAACAAAAACATGGAATTGTTTTTAATAATATATTTACTTATCCCAACATATAGGGGATGTTATCATTTCAACATGTAACTCGTTTTTAAATTATTAAGGAGATGCTTTATTTTTTTCATACCAAGTCTTTGAAAACTGGTCTGTATTTTACAGCGAAAGGCACATCTCAATTTGAACACTGAATTTTCAATGGAGATACCTATCAGTGTCTAGATTTCATAAAATGTACAGTTGAAAAAGTAGATTTATATACCCAAGCTGTTCTAAAAACACAAACATTTTTCCAATAACCGAATGGAGTACCAATTTAAATTTAAATTCATTAAAATTTTTTAAAAATTATAAACTCAGTTCTTCAGTCACACTAGCCATATATGGGACCAGTGGCTACCATATTGGACAACCCAGGTCTGGGGGTCATGCTGTACCAGAACTAACGTGGGGTCAAAATTGTTGGGATAGGAAACAAACAAACACATTTCTAATGATGAAAGTCATTTTGACACCCCCCCACCATGACTTCCACCTCCTAGTGTTCAGGCCTTTGTGTAATCCACTCCCCTTGAGTGTGGGTGTGACCTGTGACTTGCTTCTAACTAATATAATAAAGCAAAGGGGATGAGGATGTCACTCCTGTGATTACTACGTATATTAATCTGTTCTCACACTGCTCATAAAGACATACATGAGACTGAGTAATTTATAAAGGAAAGAAGTTTAATTGACTCACAGTTCCACATGGCTGGGGAGGCCTCACAATCATGGCAGAAGACAAAGGAGGAGCAAAGGCACATCTTACATGGCAGCAGGCAAGAGAGCCTGTGCAGGGGAACTTCCCTTTATAAAACCATCAGATCTCATGGGTCATATTCACTACCACGAGAACAGCACGGGAAAGACCCACCCTCATGATTCAATTACCTCCCACTGGGTCCCTCCCATGACATGTGGGAATTATGGGAGCTACAATTCAAGATTTGGGTGGGCACACAGCCAAAACATGTCACTGTGTATATAACATTTTTTAGCAAGTTAAAGACTCTCCTGTGGCTTGATGAAGTGGACGTGCTGGAGAAGCTCACAGAACAAAGAACTGCAGTGGCCTCTAGGAAAAGCCTCCAGCCAACAGCCAGCAAAAATCTGGAACCCTCAGTCCCAAAACCACAAGGAAATGAACTCTGCCCACAACCTGAATGAGCTTGGAAGCAGATTCTTCCCCATTTGAGCCTCCAGATGAAAACACAGCCTTACACATTGATTGCAGTCTTGTGAGATTATAACAGAGGACCCAGCTTAATTGTGCTTGGATTCCCGATCCATGGAAAATGTGAGATAATAAATGTGTATTGTTTTAAGTGACTACATTTGTGGTAATCTGTTACATGGTGTAAGATATGGGACAAAACAGAGTGTTTTTCCCACCTTAACTCTCAATACAGACCACCTCTGTTCACTAAACAATACATTCAATACTCTGACACCAGAGTTGGGGTGAGGGAGACCTTTTTCCTATACACCAATGAATTCTGCAGCAGACAACAACTGGGTGTCCTCTAATTCAATTTAATTTTGACACTTACCTACCTGGATGTAGCATCAGCCTCCATAGGTTGAGGGCTCAGTCCCATAAGACTTCTTCCTACTTCCAATGCCAGTCACAAATAGCAGGTTGTCACCTATACCTCTGAAGAACTGGCTATAAATCAGGAATTCCAACAACCCCCTCCTTAGGTTTGATTAATTTTCTAGAACTGCTCAGAGAACTCAGATAAACACTTTACTTACTTTTACCCACTTATTATAAAGGATATTACAAAGGATACAGTTAAACAGCCAGGTGGAATAGATGGATAGTGTAAGGCATATAGGAAAGGGCATGGAGCTTCCATACCCTGTTTAGGACCACCATCCTCCAGGAACTTCCACATGTTTAGCTATCCAGAAGCTCAATCAAACCCAATCCTTTTGGTTTTTACGGAAGCTTCATTACATAGGCATAACTGATTACATCATTGGCCATTGGTGATCAAATTAACCTTCAGGTCCTTTCTCCTCCCTGGAAGCTGGAGAGTAGGGCTGAAAGTCAAATCATGCCCTGGCATTTCCTGTGGCCAGTCCCTGTCCTAGGGACCTGCAGTCATCTCATTAGCATACAAAAGTCATTCTTATCAATCACTTGAGATTCCAAGGATTTTAGGAGCTGTATGCCAGGAAACAAGAATGAAGACCATACACACACACACACACACACACACACACACATATATTCACAATATCACACACAGTAATAGAAAATGAATAAAGTCCTGAAAGGAAGGTCAGCAAGTGGAGCCTGAACTCAGCCTCTCTGCAGAGATCAGCAAATGGACTTTCATACTTGAGGCAAAACGTATCTTAGGAGGGAGATGATAAGGACAGTGTTGGGTCCAATGTGAATTCACATCTGCCACACTTAATGTTCATTTACTCAACAAATATTTATTGAACGCTGCAGTAGGCATTGGGAATGTAAAGGTGAATACAACACAAGGTCTGCCCTTAGCTTAGCACAAAGTAGAAGAGGTAGAAAAGAAATTTATGACACAGTGTGATGAGTTGGAATATGTGTGTAAGCATGTTGCTTAGACTTAAAAAAAGAAGAAAAAATCCTCATCATTTTAGTTTGTGAAAGCAAAACAAAACAAAACCCTCAGACATTCTTTCTCTTAAAATCCATCCAATCTCTCAGCCAATCCTGTTGGTTCTATTTTTAAAACATAGCCAGAATGAAATCGCTTCTTACCACTCTACTGCTTCCAACAGGTCCAAGCTGCCATCGCCTCTTTTCTGAGTGATTGCAATAGCCCTATCAGGTTTCCATGCTTCTATATCTGTCCACCACATTCTCTTCTCAATACAGCAGCCAGAATGGGCCTTTGAAATCAGAAAAAGTTGAATCATGTCACTTGTGAAAGTTGATCGTACCATTTGGGTCATTCTTGTCATACCCAATTAAAATAGATTTGAGAGGGCAGAGGGTAAGGCACTTAGGACACGAAACATTGCTCCAAGAATGTAAAAATTCTCTGCAAGCCTGGCTGCTGAAACTACCTGCTATAACCTGAAACCAGTCCTATCTATAGCTACTGAAACAATCTCCCAAAACTCTAAGAATAGTTTAACCCATTGCTGTCACTTACCAATCAAAACTTGTCAGCTCCTCAAAACCTTACTAGTGCCAATGAACTTCCTGAGAGCAAAACATAACATTTCTCTTTTTACAATGAAACCTCTAAGCTTCTCTTTGTTCTGCAGACATACCGAAGACCACCCAGTCTGCATGTATGTCCCAAGTTGCAATTCTTTCTTTCCAAATAAGATTTCCAAATTTCAGAGATTTGTCTCCATGTTTTGACTTTGACACACTCTTCTGCTAGAACTCTGCAGTGGTCAAAGCCCCTATGGTCATCCCAAGTGTTCTGCAAGCCTGTTTCCCGTCCACCCCTGAAGCTGTCGTTTGCTCACTGTGTCTTGAACTCCCCAGGCATGGTTCTGTGTAATAGCATTTGCATGTGTGGTCCTCCTGCTTGGCATACTCTTCCCCAGATCCTTGCATGGATAACTTCCTCACCTCCTTTAAGTTTGTGCCAAATGTCACCTTCTCAACGAAGCCTACTAAACTATTTAAAAATCACAAACTCAACCATCTCCCACTCAGGCACTCCTGATCCCCATGACCCGGTTCTGTTCTCCTCCAGAACTTACTGCCTTCAACATTTATTATACTCACTGTTTACTGCCTGTTTGCCATGCTAGAATGTAAGCTGCTCCAGGGCAGGGATTTTTGTCTCCATTGTATACTGGTGAATCCCAAGTGCCTAGAACAAGGGCTGGCATATAACAGACACTCAGTAAATATTTGGTGTTGATGACAGTGGAGAGTGGTCAGGGAAGGCTTCTGAGTGGATGGCTGAAATGTATCTTGAAAGATAAGTCACAAATTGAGAAGAGACTAAA